>NC_000001.11:111675047-111978077 GCF_000001405.40 Homo sapiens | reverse complement strand
CTGTCAGGGCTTGAGGATGGCTTTTCTATGCAGCCTCCTGCACTACTGGGGAAGACCCTTTATGCTTTGCCCAGGTTTCCCTTGAGCCCCCTGACAGCTGAGTTCCCAAATGCTCCATTTGAGGTTTAATTTCCATCCTCATAATTGATGCTATAAATAAAATAAATCCTCAATTATCTCAGTTAACAGAGGGAAGGGATAACATAGAACTCCCAATATTAAATAAGACCAACCTAACTACTTTGAGAATGTATTATATGATGTAAACTCTCTCAAAGCAGATTTCCCTTCTTAACTTCATTTGACTTTGTTTGGCATCATGATTGTCCCGGACAGTCCATGGGGGAAGCTCAGGAGGGACTGGGAAAGAGGAGAGCATGTGAGAGTAAAGCCTTGCAAGCGAGCATCCGCAAGGACCATGGGAGGCCAGTCCCAGGCCTGGTTTTGATGAGGCTGCTCTTGGGTATCCTAGGGAAGGGTTCAGAGCAGTGTCCGATCCCGATGAGATGGCTCACTGCTACTGGTTGTCTCAGTTATGTAATTGAGACCGGCAGCCTATCTGTCACCCCATGCTCTGAGATGAGAGAGCGTTTGACAGTGTCCAAAAATCACTTTAATGAAAACGGAATTGATTTTTACTTCTTCCAAGCAGGAAGCCGCCTCCAGGTGATTTGCATTTCACTTTAAAACATAATCCTGGAAGGGGCCTGCCTGAGGTTCGAAGAGGCGAGGAGACTAAGCCTGGGAGATCAATACAGGCACACCACAGAATGGGGTACTTGATAAGCCTCCCCACAGTGCCAGAAGTGGAGCCAGTCTGAGATCTGCTTTTGTTAACCCTTAAATACCTGAAATTTTATCTGCACCTTTATCTACTGCCTCCGGAGCCCATCAGTGCTCCTCTCAATGCCCAAGCACCTTGGCCCCAGGACACTGGCTAATAGTGTCCACCTACTTGGGGGTGGGCCCCTGCCTAGGGGACTTGGATCTTAGGACACCTATTGGGAACAAACGACCTCAAAGCCTTTTCTTTGTTGACATTTCTCTGTTGACATTTCTTTGTTGACAGTTCTCTGGTGCTGAAATTCTTAAGAGAGGGTGCAGAACTGCATCTCAACAAGGAATCTTTCATTCGTTCAACACTTATTGAGTGCTTCCTACACTCCAGGCAGCATGGCAGCCTCTGAGAATACACAGGCACTATGATTGCACATCAGCCAATGTAAGGAACAGGCAACATGAATTGAATGAGACCCAGTTGTCTTCCTTTGAACTTGAGCACTCTTTCTGGTGCTCCAGAGACTACCCTTCACTCTGCTTCTGTGTCTGGCTGATACACATCATCCTTCAAACTCAGCCCCACGTCACCTCCAGGAGCTGGGTACACTTCTCTTGCCTCCTCTTGTAGCCCTTTCATTACTCTGTTTTGTCATTGACACATTTTGTTAACTTCAGCTGTTTATGTGTCTTTCCGCCAGGATGTGAGCTCTCTGTTCCAGAGATCATGCATGATTCATGCCTTACACAGAGCTTGATATATAGTGTGTCTCAATAAGTATTTGTTCACTCAAACAGGTTCGTTTGTTTACACAGCTTTAGTTTTCTCATTTGATAACCATCTTCTGGCGATATGAGAACCGATGAATGTGCTATCAAAATGTTAGCTATATAGTCATGGCAGACATGATATTTGTGGACAGAGTGGAGATAGGGAGGCCAGGCAGGGCATTCTGTGGTTCTGATTTTAGGCTTAGGAGGGTTGGGGCTTTCTTGCAAGGGAAGTTTGCCTCCAACTCTTGGCTACTTGGCTACGCTTTTTCCTGCAGACTCTGGAGCCAGGGAGGAGGAGAAGGGGAGCCATAGGTAAGCCCCTCTACCCATGATGTTTTTCTCCATTCAGTTATTTACTCAACAAATGTTTATTGAGTACCTACTAGACACTGGGAATACAGCAGAGAAGAAAATAGTCTCTGATCTTGTGGAGGTTACATTCTAGTGGACAGCACCCAACAGCAAATAAATAAATACATTTTATCAGGTTGCAGAGAAAATTAAAGCCGGATATGACAAGTATGGAGTGCTGAGTGTGGGGGCCTGGGCAGAGCAAGGGATAGTTTCTATTTCATGTTAGGATGTCAAGAAGGGCCTCTCAGATATTCGAGCAGAGACCTGAAGGAATGAGGATAGCCTGGGGAGCAGCATTCCAGGCAGAGGGAATAGCAGATGCAAAGTCCAACAGGCAAAGTCCAACAGGCAGGAGGGACCTTGGTGTGCTGTTCTTGAAAAAGTAAGAAGGTCCAAATGGTCAAGCTGCAAGAGCAGGAGACAGGAGAGTACCAGGAGATGAGGCCAGAGAGGTAACAGGGGAAGCAGCTCATGTAGGGTCCTCATGACCACCACAAGGACTTTTTCTTTGCTCTGCTTGGCATGGGAAGTCACTGGAGGGTTTTGAGCCACTGACTTGCATTTTTAAAGGATTGCTCTGGCTGCCAGATAGTAAATACCTTGTAAGAGAGAAGCTAACACAATAATCCAGGCAAGAAATCAAGGTGGCTGGGACTGAGGGTGGTGGCAGTGGAGATGGGAGAAGTAAGCAATTCTGCGTGTATTTGAATGTAGAGGCACCAGGAAGCTTTCTCAGGAAGTGCTTGTTGGTCCTGCTCCCACCAAGCTTCACCAGCTCCCACAACAGGGGACTGGCTCAGAAGACACAGTCCTGAAGATCTTCTCTACCCCTGGGAGAAGCATTTCACAAGAAGAAACCTCAAGGCCTCGCAGGATGGCTTCAAGGCCAGGGGCAGCCGAGACCTCAGAATGTAACAAACCAGCCAGAGCACCTGAGTTGTAGCATCAGCATCTCAGAGTAGGCCTGATGCTGACAGTAAGCAGGCAGCATCTGTATCTGGGTGGAACTTTCCTTTCAACCCGGGCAACATTTACTGAGCACCTGGCAAGTGGCTGGGCACAGTTATCCCTGCCATGAGGAGGACAGTGTTGACACAGACACGAAAACAGAGAGGCCACTCTAAAACTCAGCAGCTATGATAGCTGCAGCAGAGGAAGCCAGAGGGCTTCAGGCTGCAGAGAAGGGAAAGATTAATTCACACCATAGGATTTGAGCCTTTTGGGTGCTTCACACCGGGAGCATCACTTTGAATTTGTCTTCTGATTCAGCAATTCAAATTGCTGCAATTTTTGGAAAGGGATTTCTAGGCTGGTGCCCATTTCACAGATCTTTTCTGGAATCCCTCAAAATCAATCCCAATCTCTCTCTGTATCTCTCTGTTTGGTTTTGTTTGGGTTTCCCTCTTTAAACACACCCATTAAACACAACCGGGATTCCTCCTGAGGAGCAGCAATTATTCTGCCTCAAGATAGTATAAATAAAAGGCAGCATTTCCATCTTCAGGAGGAGGGAAATGCCCCTCAGTAATTACTTGAGTATTTTTGTTTCTCCCACCCAGGAGGGAGCTCCTGTCCCAGGCCATTGCAGGGCTCTTGTCCATGCTCCATTGTAGCTGGGAGCTCTTTCCCATCAGGGAGAGGAGCAGAGACTTTTAGCTCTGAGTCTCCTCACCTCCCACCCGCTATCCTCAGGCAGGTGGCTCTGCACACAACCAACCACTTCCAGGAAGCTGATACTCTACCAAATACTCATACCTTAAGTGTTCATCCTCTAGTGATGTCCAAGTTTTTTTTTTTTTTAATCTGGGAAACAGGGACCAGACCCCCAGAAATTTATTTGGAAGAAGTGCACAGTATTGACCTCAAACCAACTTCTAGTGACAAGCAGGAAGGAGTTCCCACAATGCTTTTGGGTATCCAAAGTTTTTTGCCAGAAGGCTCAGCTGCCACAACCTCCAGAACAAGTTCAGACTCCAGCCTCTGTCCAGCCTGCTTTTCTCCGGCCAGAACACAGGCATCTTTTCCCCACTCTTACCTCCCTCCAACTAGCTCAATGCAAATGATGGGTGTATGGGAAGATGGGGACTGGAGAGGGAAGATAGCTGAGCCTTTGCTGACCATGACTGGATGGAGGAAGATTGCATTTAGCTCATGTAATCTTATTCTGGGTGTCAGGACTCGAATGAGTGTCATTAAACTGAATCAGAAAAATCATTTTAATATAAGTGCCACCTCATACACAAGCTAGTTGATGGAGAGATGGATGAGGCTGGGGACGCCTCCTTTGTAATGTGATGCTGTAAGATCCTATCACCCTCATTATTTCCCACTGAGCCAACGCATCATAATACCCATGAGTGGCAGAACAGCTTGAATTTAATATACAGAAAGTCCAATCAAACAATAAATGGATGAAACTATATAAAGAAACCATTTTCTGGGAGGCTGGCTCCATTCTTTGGGATTCAGCTCCCTGACACAAGAAATGTGCATCAATTTTCTCCAACTAATGCAGCTGCCGAATCTACCACATGTGATATTTGTTTGCTTCAGAAGTGGAAAAGGGGAACTTCCCCCCTACATTATCTAGCTATCACTGCAAAATTGCAAACCACATTTTCTTTGATTTGCACCCAGTGGTTTCCAGTGGCACAGCCAGCAACTTCCGATCCCAACAGGACTGGAAACATAGCCCTCCCTCCATCCCAGAACCTTATCAGTCCCAGTAGAACTTTGTTATCTTCTTTATATGAAAACAAATTCTGGACACCAGAGTGGGCTGTTTAGGAGACTGGGAAATCTCTACCCTTTGCAGTCATCCAAAAGAAATGGCCAAACCATGGGGCCTTGCTGACACACTCCAAGTGCCTATGATGTTCCAGCTGTCCAGAGCCTTGCCTTCGAGGTTGTACAAAGTAAATGTTTCACTCTGAACTGGATTTCTCCCAGTGGCATAGTCCTCCATCTTTCCTTCCATCTCTATTTCCCAGCCAGTTATTGAAAGACTGTAAATGCAAATATTAACTGATCAGCCAAACAATTAAAAAGGCAAATCAGCTGCTTAAAAACTAAACAATGCATGTCAAAGACTGATGGAAATAATGTTTTTATGATTCTTGATGTGGGAATTTTTCCAGTGCTATTTTCCCAGTGGCATGGATAACCAAGAGTTAACCATAATTACAGGCTTATAGCTGCTGAGGAGTATCATTAGTTTATTTTTACTTCTTCCTGGACACGCATACTTAAGCAGAAAAGAAAACTAAGAGAATTAAACTAAATGATATCAAAACCATGGACAGCACAAATCTTGATTCAATTCAACAAACATTATTCAACATCCAGTTGAATTTGCAAGGCATATTAGTAGGCATTTTGGGGGATAGAGAAATAAAGAAAACATGAGGCTTGTCCCTAAGAAGTTGTCAATATAGTGGGGAATTGGAGTATGTCCATGAGAGTGTACAAGAGAGAATGGGGCATGTGCTGAAAAGATCAGGAGTACAGAATAAATGCTTAATAAACATTTGTTGATGAATGAACGATTGGCTTCATGGTAAAGAGATTTTAGCTAGACCAACAATGGTGAATAGGATTTTGATATGTGGAAATGGGAAATCCTAATAAATTGCAAAAGGGCTTGATGTTTGGGAAGCTTAACTAATATGCTGGTTTGCTAGTGTTTAAGATATACAAATAGGGGCCGGGCGCGGGGGCTCACGCCTGTAATCCCAGCACTTTGGGAGGCCGAGGCGGGCGGATCACGAGGTCAGGAGATCGAGACCATCCCGGCTAAAACGGTGAAACCCCGTCTCTACTAAAAATACAAAAAATTAGCCGGGCGTAGTGGCGGGCGCCTGTAGTCCCAGCTACTTGGGAGGCTGAGGCAGGAGAATGGCGTGAACCCGGGAGGCGGAGCTTGCAGTGAGCCGAGATCCCGCCACTGCACTCCAGCCTGGGCAACAGAGCGAGACTCCGTCTCAAAAAAAAAAAAAAAAAAAAAAGATATACAAATAGGAAAATAGCTAGAGATAAGCAGTAACAAAATATTTGACAGAGATGCAGAGAGCCTAAAATATTAGGCTAAGGAATTCATTTGATAGGCATTAGGGAACCACTAAAGGTAGTCCAGTGTGTATTGATCAGGAAGATTTATTTGGCAGCTGTCTTCTGGATGAATGTGGAAGGGAACCCTTGGACACAGGAAAGTCAGCCAGAAGATTAAGCCAGGTAAGAGATAAAGAAGGCTTGACTAAGACAGTTGCAATGAAACAGAAGAGAAAGGACTGGAATGGAATGACACCCCGGAAGAGAAGTCAAAAGAACTCTGGAATTATAAGACTGGATGAGTAGAGGTGTGGAGTTGGCATGAGTAGAGGTATGGAGGTTGGAGTTCCTTAGAGAAGGAACAGGTTGTCAGGAGGTCAAGAGGGAAGACAGAGCCAGTGAGCTTAGCTTTGGACCTGTAGTGTTTGCAGTTAACCCTGGGTGTCCTTGAGGTGTTTGGCAGACAGGTGGAAAGATGGGTCTGGAGCTTAGCAGGGAGAAAGGATAAACAGGCCGTTTCCAAAATCATCAGCTGAAGCAGAAAAAATAGATGAGATTGGCCAGGGAAAGATGAAGGGAGGGAAGAGAAGAGGGCATGGGGAGCATTTCCTGCCTTGTGCCCTACTTCTCTGGCACCTGCCCCCAGTAGGAACTTTGGTGCTGTCTATGAACAGCTTTGCTGAAGCTTGGATTCAGTCTCTCATCTTCACCTGTGGAAATTCCCTTTTATACTGTGTTTCTGCTGAAGCCAAAAGGTCACACTGGGTTTCTGAGTAAAACAAGGGTTTTTGTTTGTTTGTTTGTTTTGTGGTGTTTTTTTTTTTTTTTTTGCCTCCTGCAATGATTATTAAACAAACAGTACCCACCCAAGAAAGCAGAATTTATGAGCTTTGCTAAAATAATAATAATAATAAAGGGACCCTTACATTGGCATGTGGATGGCACATGGGGTCTAAATGGCCACAGACCAAGGACCATTTCTCCTTGTCCAAGGGTGATGCTACTTCAGAGTGGTACTACCTTCGTGGGTGACACTGTCCTGGTTCTTGCAGTGCCAAGCTCTTGGCAGAACTTCCAGACACTTAAGACACCACTTCTCTCATTTACTCCTTCCTTTCCCTTGGAGAAAAATGTCAGATGCACCCGCTGGTATCACTGGGAGCATCCTGTGACCTGCCCCCTCTAGGAGACATCTGTCTTGGGCCCTTGGTAAGAAACTAGGGGAAGTGATGGTTCACTAATTCAGCAAACATGCATGGAGCTGACACTATGAAGATGACCCAGTCCTAGTTGATATGAGGGGCTGCAAAGAGAGAAAGAGGTGGGGACTAAATCCCTCGAGGTGGATGTTAGGTTCCCATTCTACATATGAGAAGATTATGAGAAGATTAAAACATTGTGCCCAAGCTCCCACATGGTAGTAGCATTACTGGGTTTAGACTGAGGTCCTTTGACTTCATTAGAGTCCACTGGCTTCATTAGGAGCTTTAGTCCAGTAAGAGAAATGCCTGTGTTCACAGGGCTATACATTTCTGGGCTCAACAATGTCAGAGGCGTGAGTCAAGGACAGGAAAGTGTGAGGAGAAGATGGAGGAGGCAAGGATCAGGGAAGGCTTCTTGGAGGAGGTGGCATTTCAGCTGGCCCTTAAAAGATCATTTTGGTGGAAAAATTAAATACATTAATTCATTTGATTGTTTATTCAACAAATGTTGTGGGTCTGCCATGCAACAGGCATCATGCTGGAGGCCAAAGACGTATCTGTGAACAGAACAGGCAAATTATCTGAAGTAGACCTTTTAGTAAGAGCAACACATGATCAACAAATGAATGTTTAAAATGAGAAGGATTGGGAGGCTGAGGTGAGTGGATCAACTGAGGTCAGAAATTCGAGACCATCCTGGCTGACATGGTAAAACCCTGTCTCTACTAAAAATACAAAAATTAGCTTGGAGTGGTGACAGGCGCCTGTAATCCCAGCTACTCAGCAGGCTGAGGCAGGAGAATCTCTTGAACCTGGGAGGCAGAGGTTGCAGAGAGCTGAGATCGCGCCATTGCATTCCAGCCTGGGCGACAAGAGTGAAACTCCATCTCCAAAAAAAAAAAGAGAGAGAGAGAAGGAAAGATTGGAATAAAAGCTATGAAAAAAAGAGAGAAAGCTGGTAAGAGGAGAGACAGTGAAGGCCATTAGCTTGCATGTGGAGTGAGCCAAGGGGTCACAGCAGGAGAGTGCACAGGGGCAGCCATCCAGCATCCCCCCAGGAAAGTGTCATCCGCAGTTGGTTTTGAGATGGAGAGAGGCTGCCCCACAACAGAGATGACGATTTAATAGCTGTGTTTGAGTCTCTTTAGGGTTGTTAGCCAGAAGGTGGAGAAACAGCTGTTTGCCACTCCACTGAAGATTGAATGAGTAGAAATAGGTTCACCCTGACATGTGAGATGACTGTCATTATCCCTAACAACAACAATGACAGCAATAATAACAGCTAATACTATTGAGTCTTTATAATGTTATTAATTATTTTTACGTATTTTGCTCTCCCAATAACCATATGAGAGCAGTATTACTATTATCTGTGTTTTGTAGCTGAGGAAGCCTGCTCAGAGCTTACCACTGATCAGTGGAGAATTTGGGATTCAGACTGGCAGTGAGCTGACCAGTGTCTGCTCTTGCCTATCATTTTCCACTGGGATTGCCACTGGAGGCATTTGGGAGCCTGAAATGCCTTCCCTGGAAGGTGGAGAAATCTCCTTCCACAACCTCTGACTTGAGCATAGGAGAGGAAAATACATGTGCCCCCAATGTCCTACCACACCAGGACCAAAGACTCTTGGGCTCTGTTGGCACAGGTTCTGAGGGTGAAGGGTGGACACAGAATGGACGAAGAATGGACAAAGGGAAGGTCAGAGTCAAGGGAGACAAGGTCAGTAGGCACACGAGGGTGGGCATGGAGGCTCGTGTGGCCAACAGGGATATGGACACCCGTGGCAGGCAGGCAGTGGTTCACCAGCAGGGGAAGCACATACTGGCGAAAGGGAAGGAAAACAAAAAAGAAGGAAATGGGAAACTTTCATGTATTATAAACTTCGTGTTTTTGCCCCTCCAAAGAAAAAAAAAAGCCTGAGAGGGTAAATATGCATACTATGTAAATATCTTTTATAATAACTTTTAAAATCTCATGCCGTCTCCTGCTCTTGAGAGATTCTGGTTCCAGGGAGCCTTGTTGCTAGTGTCCTGGACTGGGAGTTGGTGACGTCCCTACCCACTCCACAGTGGCTTTGGGTATCACTCAGCCTTTCAGCCGATCCCCTCCTAGTCCACTAGAGAGATCACAGCCCAGCCAGCAGAGAGCTGGAAGCCAGTTCCCACATTTCTGGGGACCAGGTGGGGGAGCCTGTCAGAAGCCCATGACAGAGCACAGGTTCCCCCGTCTGCCATATGCCCCTCTGCAGTAGGTCCTGGCATTGACCTGCAGACACTTCTGGTTCCAGGAGATAACAGAGATGGGGCCGGGGGTAGGGGAGGAAGATCCTCCTGGAGATGTCACCCCTGGGTGTAACAGGACAGGCATTGCCTCACAGCCTTCCTGAGGAACCCCCAGTCACCAGGTATGGATCTTTCTTCATAAGTTGTGATCCTCACTTTCTCCTCTGCTGGCTCTTCTGACGTTGTAGCTGTTGGCCTCATTCTTTTTCATGCCATTTTTGCACAAGATAGATGAAGATCAATACAGCTTATGTGACCCTAGATTTTTTTTTCTTTTTTCCCTTCTTCTGTGGCCCATTTCTCTTCTGCCTGCAAAAATTGCTTTGAGTTCCTGAGATTTTTGTACCTGAGGACTCGTGCCCCTGCCTTCTGAGCCAAATCCCCCTTCTCTCCTTTCTTTCCTCACTGCAGCAGAAGCTTGTCTCAAGCAAGCAAAAGTGTGTTGTGTGGATTAATAAAAAAATTCTGCAGCCCAGCTGGCATGCTCAGAGTTTGGGCAGGGCTTACAGAGAGATTATGAAGCATTATGCCCACCTCCCTCCTTCTCACCCCCACGCATTGTGTGTGTCTTTCTGAATATTTCCATGTAAGGTCAGCTTCTCATCCGAGGAGCAGAGGCTGCTGTGTCCCTGCTCTGAGTTAAGTGCTTTATGCCTGAGCTGGCCCACATAGGTTGCCTGAATCCTTTGGCTAGAGTGGGGCTCTGTAGGACCCTGGCAAGACCACTGGATTGGGAGTCAGGAGATGTGGGTGTGGGGCCAGCTTTGGCAAGCTGTGTGACCTAGGGCAGGTCACTTCCTCTCTCTAGTCCTCAGTATCCTCTTCTGAATGGTGAGGGGGTTGGATTGAATGAATTCTCATCTACTAGCCAGCTGCACAAGGCTTAAATCTCTCACTTTTCCAAAGTAAACTGGTCATTAGCCCAGTAGCCTGGATAATCCTTACCCTGGAGAACCAGCCCCTAAGAAGGTAGCGCACTGGGGTCCTTCTATTCCCATTTCTTCTCCTCCAAAGAAGCAGAAGTTAAAGAGTCCTTGACTAAAGCAGCCATCAGAAATGCAAGTCTGCAGAGAGGCCTGGGAGGCCCTGCCTGCAGACTCCTCCAGGGTGCGTGAACAGGGTACTTGACGGTGAGCTGGCAGGACGCAGATCAAGGTCAACAGCCTCGCCCACACAGGGCTGAGGTGCCGTGCTTGGAGAGAGCAGGGAACTGTGAATTCAGCTCCCTGGATGCCTCTCGTTGGGCCAGGAGAGGGAAAAGCATAAGACATTAACCCTGGGACCAAGAGGCTTTTTAAAGGATGAGCTCAGACGGACACTTAAGCCCCACACATCCTAGATTTAGGGTCTAGTTTGCTATTCCCTTTGGAGCTGGGCTGTCTTCAGCACCCTCCCCAGCAGAGGGCAACAGGTCTGCCTGAGTATTTCCAGGGATGGGGAGTTTACCCCCCGACCCCGTTTTTGTTTTGTTTTTTTTTTTGTTTTTGTTTTTTTTTTTTTGAGACGGAATCTCACTCTTGTCTCCCAAGCTGAAGTGCAATGGCGTGATCTCGGCTCACTGCAATCTCTGCCTCCTGGGCTCAAGCGATTCTCCTGCCTCAGCCTCCCAAGTAGCTGGGATTACAGGCATGCGCTACCATGGCTAAATTTTTTTGTATTTTTAGTAGTGATGGGGTTTCTCCATGTTGGCCAGGCTGGTCTCAAACTCCTGATCTCAGGTGTTCCGCCCACCTTGGCCTCCCAAAGTGCTGGGATTACAGGCATGAGCAACCATGCCCCATGAGTTTACCCTTTTTGATGCAGTTCATTCCACTGGTAGAGAGATTCAGTGATCACCAACCTCCTCTTTGTGTTGAACTCAAATCTACTTTCTCTATACCTCAGAAAGACAAGAGCTTTGAGAACCTGGAAGGTTCTGTTATGAAACAGTTCTGGAAGGCAGGTATAACTCAGATCAGGGAAGTCATTAGGGGACTCTGTGTCAAGAGGACCTGTGATACATCTGTCCTGGCACAGACTTAGGGTGACCCAGGCCCAGCCCTGGAAGAGTGAAGTCCGTCGGTGGGTGGAGGCTTCCCCAGTGAGCCACCACTCAGGGACCTCACCAGGCCCTCTAGGATAAACAGCCAAGGACGTTTGCAGCATGAATGGGTGGGTTATGGGGGTAAGCAGAGCTCTCACCCCTTCTTCTGTCTCCTACCACCCCAGCCCTACTGATACCTCCACTAGTGGCTGGTTTCCTCCATTCCCACTCCCATCACCAACTTGTTTTTCTTCCCCTATTATCCTGTTGGTCTGTAAATGGCCCTTTCCTTCTCCACCCCCAGTATTTTATTACATGAGTTCCCTGCAAAATGCAAGGGAATCTATATATTGCTGTTAGCATCCGTGTGGGCAGCATGGCTTATATTACCTTGAGTTATTTGAATGAAACCAACCATTAAATGATCACAGAGGGCTGGAGAGAGGGTAAGCGTGTGGGCTGTCTCCAGGATGTGAGCATCTTCTTGACTTTCCTTCCAGTGTGCAGAGGGGATAAGGACTGGGGAGCCAGCAGCAGGGTGGTGCCAAGGAAGGCCAGCTTGGTGGGGTGAGCCAGGTGAGTGAGTCTTGTAGGGAGGTCCCAGTCACCACCATCTGAAAGCCTCCTAAACAAGCCCTGCTTGCATTGGCAGCTCTTGCTCCCCAAAGCCGGGGCAATTGTCCTGGAACCCAGCTCCCAGCAGAGTGCCTGGCACACAGAGGGGCTCAGTGGACATATACCGGTCCATTGCTGCCTTGTCATGGTCATGCTGGCTCACTTCAGACAGGGAGAGGCGCCTGCACATGTGTGGATCAAACATACTGAAGGATAAAACTTCAAAACAAGCAGGAGTCAAGTGCAAGGTTTGTATATTTCATGAAATGATATGAGGGAGGGTGTGCCCAAATTTGGAATGGCATATGTAATTTGGGGACATTTCCTATCCAGATAGGGGCTGCAAGGGGATCATCAATCTGTTCCACTTAGAGAAATCACAGAAGAGCTAGAACTTATAGGAGGGTGTAAATCACATGAGAAAGCTGGTTTGGAGAGCTGGAAAGGGCAAGTACTCTGGGCAAAAAGTGGAAGTTGGAGGAGAGACTCAGAACCTGACACCATGCTCCTGGCGTGTGTGTGTGTGTGTGTGTGTGTGTGTGTGTGTGTGTGTGTGTGTGTGTGGTTTTGCTGGCCATAAGGGGTCGGGGAGGGAGGAGGGAGTTCTCAGGGTAACCTGGGCCATTGTTGACTTAGGGAACTTTAGGATCCTGCCCTCTTCCTGCCATCTAGAGTCCCTCCATTCTTGGAAGATTACCTCTTCAGAGGTGACCCTTCTCTCACACCAGAGGCAGCATTCTGATCCAGAGCTGGATCTTCTGGTCCTTAGATGAGCCTCTGACCCAACCTCCACACCCCTTTTACTCAGAAAGCAACTCTGTGCCTGGAGAATCCAGAGAGAATTGCTGGGGGATCTTTCCTGAGCCAGAGAGATTCAACAGTCCTTGGACTTGCAGTCCTGTTTACAAAAAAAATGAGTGTTTGGGGGCAGTTTGGGGGGGTGCAGCAAAGCTTTTGACTGCAGATGCTGTTTCGAATCTGCTGTTGCCCATTTCCTTTATCCGCTCAACAAACATTCCTGGCCTGCTGACCATGTGTTCAGGCCCTTTAGGGTGATGAAGAGCTTGCCAGGTGTGGTCACTATGCACAGAAAATGAACCAGATGAACTGGATGACAGGCTCATTGGCAGAGTTAAAGATTGCACACATCGGGAAATGGGGAGAAAGGTGAGGGAAGCAGCCCTCAGTGCCCCAGCTCACAGGATCCCTCTCTCGTCATTGCTTAGTCCCTCCCTGGTGGGTAGGACAATACCCCCTCCTTTTCCCAACTTTGCAAAGGAAATAGTTCTGTTCTCCATTCTATTCTTGTGTCTACCTCCTAGTAACACCTAGAATTTCAAAAATATAAACTTTGATTCTGCTGCAAGAGGAGCCCCTCTGAGTTAGTGCTGCCTTTCCTGCTCCAAGTGTGCTGGTGTTTTCCCTTAGAGCTGTGCTTCCCATTGTGGTCACCTGGCTGTGCTTTTGACCTTGTTCCTCTGGGGCTGGCTAGGCTGCTTGAGGCAGGAGGTTACTGACCAGGGCTCTGCTGCCCCCACCCCACCCCACCAGCTGCCTCAGGAGCTGTGGGGGCCGGGGGAGGGAGGGAATCTCTATCAGTCTGCATGCCTGTAACTCCTTCTCACCCACCTGTGTACTGCAGCCCGCAGGTTGGGAGGCTGTACTTTAGCATCCCGGGCTTCAGCCTGCCCAGGAGTCACCCCTCCCCACCTACTGCTCTCAGCGTCCCAGCTGGGCCATCCTCAGTGAAAAATCTGCTTTGACCAGAGCAGTGTGTCAAGCCAGGGCAGACAGTCAAGTCCCAGAGCCCAGTATTGTGGCCCAGGAAGACTGTTGGCCCCTTTCCCCTCCCTGCCTGGCCCTGGCTGGGAGCCTGGGCAGCCATAATGGCATGTAAGTGCCTGTTTCCCTCCTTCTGCCGAATCACAATAGAGTTACAATCAGAAAGCAATTCAGAGACCCTGACTAGTAGGTAGGATTAAGGATTGGGATAAAGGATGACTTCTCTTCTTCTTTCTTGGGGAGGACTAATTCCCTCTGAATCCTGAGATGGTGCCTCAAGGAAGGCCGTAAGATGATTCTGAGAGAAGCTGAGGTTTTGCTTAGGCAGGAAGCCCTTCAAAAAAGAAGTCCTTGTGTGCATGCTGGTGTGGTGATGGAGAGGCAGTGCAGCCTGCCTAGGCGTTTCTGTCCCCAGAAGGCCATGTAGCCATAAGGTCCACTATTACCTTCTTTGTGTCTAGCAATGCTTGCTGTCAGGAAGTCTCTCCTGAGGTCTGACTTTGTCCCTCATGACGGTAGGCTCAGTTCACTTCCTCACATCAGCCCTCACTGGAACTAGAGATCTGCTAGTCAGCCCCCTTCCTCCATGTAAAAACTCTTTGACAATTGGGACCTTGGCAGGACTGTCTGTTAGGGTAATAATGACAGGAAAATCCTCATACGGTGGACCAGGTCATGTTCTCAGTGCTCTGTGTTTAATTCCATTTCACAGCAACCCTTATCAAGTAGGCATTACTATCATCCCCACTTTACAGGTGAGAAAACTGAGGAACAGAGAGATTAAGTAACTTGTCAAGGGTCACGTAAGTACTGAATGACAGAGAAGGGTTTCACCCTGAGGCATTCTGGCTCTAGGATCCCCTTAACCACTGCCTTCAGCTGACTCTCTCAGGTTCACAATATTCTCCTTAGGACCTATTTTCTAGCTCCTTCTTCAATTCCTTTGTGGGGCTCTGAATCAGTTAGCTTTTACTGTATAACAATCTACCCCTGAAAATCTAGTGGCTTAAATCATAAACATTTATTACATCTCATGATTCTGTATGGTGGGGGGTTGAGTTGTCTCGGCAGTTCTCTTGGTCTGGTCTGGCTTAGCTGATATCCCTGGTCATTGGAGACCCAGCTGGGGATGGGTGGTCTAGGATGGCCTCAATCACATATCTGGTGGCCTGCTCAAGATCTCCTGGGGCAACAAAGAGAGGTGACATGGCTGTTGTCTCACATCATCCAGTGGGCTATCCCAGATCCTTCAAATGGTGGTGGTCACAGGGTTCCCAAGAGCTGCACGACAGGCCAAGCCCTCATACACAAGCTCTGTTGAAGCCTCTGCTTGTGTCACAGTTGTTAATGTCCCAATGGCCAAAGGAAGTTGCATGGCCAAACCCAGATTAAAAGAGTAGATAAACAGATTCTACCTTTCAATAAGAGGAGAAGCAGCAACATCACATTGCGCAGTGGTATAAATACAAAGGGATGAAAAGAGTTGGTGGCCATTTTCACAACCAGCCTCAGGGTCCTAACCATGAACCATGTGGACTGAATTTCATAGTGGGAAATACAAAGAAGGTCTGGACAGGCAGGGCATCCACATAGGCTTTCGCCTGATCAAAAGTCCAAGTTGTTTCTACGGAGGTAGTGAAGCCCATGCAAAGGCAGGGGCTCTAAGTCCCTAAGAGTGGGATGTAATGGCATGATGTCACTGTTTTGGTTGGGGTTGGGGAAGGTAGTGAATGGACAGAGAATGGATTTTCTTCTCTGGTGCACTAACTTCCTCCTATCCCTAGGCCTTCTGCAGCTCCCCCGGGCCAAAGGGGAAGAAGCCACAGACGTGTTCATTCCTAAGATCATGATTGCAGTCTCAGCAGCGCCCTGTGCTGCCCGGGCAGGTCAGACCCTCTCAAAGAAGACCCCTCCTGGAGAGTGTGGGTTAATAAGAGCATGTGTTCCAAAGGCAGGCAGACCTGGGTTCCATCTGCAGCTCTGCCACTTTCTTACAATGTGATCAAACAGAAACCCACCTGTGAACCTCACTTTCTTTTTCTGGCAAATGAGGATTGCTGTGATGATTAAAAATAATGACGTTTATAATGTGCCTAGACCAGGGCCTGGCACATGTGCGTGCCCAGTCTTAGCCATCACTGGGGCTTGGATGAGCTCTCCTGCCCTCATGCTTGGGTGGCAATGGCCAGATGAACAGAGCTGTTACTGGTAAATAACTCTTGGCTCACCCAGGAATACCAGATGGCGTGCCAGCAACTCGGGCCAGAGAAACTCAGGGCAGAAGCTGCAGGGAGAACAGAAGTGGGACTGTAGCCGCCTGAAGGCTTGGCTCTGTGGGCATCACTCACTTGGGGTCGAGGGATGTAGTTGAGCCCCCTTGTCTCAGACATGAGAAAGCTGAGGCGATAGCCCCAGTATTAGCCAGGCAGCAACTGTGGTCACATCACTGGAACCCAGATCACTCTATTTCCTGGTGGATGCTCTTCCCTTCATGCCATGAAACCTTCAAATGCCCCCCCTCTGGCCTCCCTTAAAATACCCAGTTCCCTAGGTCAGTGTCCTACTGGATCCCCATCCTGCTCCCATCCCACGATGCACACCTTCGGCACAGGGAAAGGGAAGAGGAGGTATTCAGACAGTAGATGGGAAGGGAGGCAAGGAGGGAAGGAGCTTGGCAAAAGCTGGCAGCTGCCAAGTAGGATATGGGGCTTGGCAGAGGAGCCTGTGCTCCCCTGCACTAAGCAGAGGTCAACCCTGGCTTTCAGATGCCAAAGAGACAAAAGAATGGACCGTCCCCATCACACCAGCCTCCACCCTTCCCTAGCTTGGAACTGCCTGGAGGGAACGAGGAAACAATTATTTATCAGGGATGAGTTGGTCAGGAAATTGGACATATTCAACAAAGACCAGGAAACATTGTGCCAGCCGGGTCTGATGGGGTGACAGAGCTGCTCAGAGCACAATGGCCTCGCTGGCGCCTATATTTGCTTTCTGAGGAACAGCTGAGGACACACACTGCATATGTGATGAGTGCAGGTGGACAGGCCCCTCTGTGGCCAGCCAGAATCCTGGCCGCCAGCCCCTGGCTGCTAAGCCAGGGAGGAGCAAACTAGGCTGGGCTGTAGCCCGGGTCCCTGGACAGAGAGAGCTTCACCCCTGTGCTGTACCTCTCTTCTCCGGGACAAGAGCACAGAGTCGAGGCTACCCCTATCTAGGCCCTCTCCTCATGGCTCTGGCAGGGACATGGCAAGGCACCACCAAGAGAGGTCTTCCCTAGAGTGGAAAGCTGGCATTTGGATGGGGTTCCCCAGTCACTCACTCACCTCCCCAACTGCCATGGCCCCAGGCCTCCCTCGGTCTCCTGATGAAGAATTAAAACCATGAGGGCTGGTGGGAAGCACTCTGGAAACAGCTTGTTCTGTTCTCTCCCCTCATCCCTGAGGACTTAAGCTCATTCCCATCCTAATAGAGAAGGGGTTGGAGAGAAAGTGTTCCCCCAACCCCAGCTGAGGGTTTACACTGTTTACACTTCAGTCAAGCCTCCCTCCCTGTCTCAGCCTGTATGGTTAACATGGGATTTCTCCCCCTACCCCACCTCTGGCCCAAGTTTTCCCCAGTATCTTCCAGTTTTTTTGTACCTGGCCACTTTCTGGGCTAGGGGAGGGAGCTGGAGAGGTCCTCTTGCACTCTTGGGAACTGTCCGTGCCTGACCACTGCTGTGGGGAAGGGAGGAAGGGGTACCAGCCCTGGCTGGTCTTTAGCTCATATAGTTCCCCACCCCTTGGTGTACCCTGTTTCTCTGTTTGGAGGAATGTGCTAAATACGGCTTTATCAAGCAGCTGAGGATCAGCATCCTTCAGAAGAAAGGATCTTTGGCTTTTTGATATTTACTGGGGGCCCAGATTCCAAGCCCTAGATAGCTGGTCAGGCCCTGAAGCATTTACATGGGGTCTGCTGTGAAGTCAGCTTGGGTAGAGGAGACAGATCCCAACATTGGGTATGGAGGGCTTTGGTCCAAGGTGGGAAAGGGCTGTGTATTAGTCCGTTCTCATGCTGCTAATAAAGACACACTCAAGACAAGAAAAGAGGTTTAATTGACTCACAGTTCTGAATGGCTGGGGAGGCCTCAGGAAACTTACAATCATGGTGGAAGGGGAAGCAAACGCTTTTTTTTTTTTCTTTTTTTCCACATGGCGGCAGGAGAGAGAAGAGTGAGTGCTGAGCAAAGGGGGAAGCCCCTTGTAAAACCATCATATCTAGTGAGAACTTACTCACTATCATGAGAATAGCATGGGGGAGACCACCCCCATGATTCAATTACCTTCCACCAGGTCGCTCTCACAACATATGGGGATTACGGGAACTACAATTCAAGATGAGATTTGGGTGGGGACACGGCCAAACCATATCAGGCTGTGAGACCATTTCACTGTGAACTATTTTTTGCACCTCCAGCCTCTGAGGAAGAGGCTCACTACTAGAGTTCTACCATGTACCTACAGTGTGTCACAGAGCACCTAGCAGGGACACAGAAGTTGCTTCTGGTCATTGCCCACAGCTACTGGTGTCTTGGGTTTACTGCCATCCCCAGCAGGGGGCAGGAAGAGAATATAGACCTTACTGCCCTCGCTGGCCCTAGGAAGACTCCAAGAGCCAAGTTAAAGCGTCTACAGTTTAGTTCACAGGAGCCCCTGGAAGCTTCCAACCCTGGTGACCTTTAGGAAGGAGAGAGACCCTCCCTGATGAGGGTAGGAAGTGGTGGATGGGGCGAGCTTCCTGGGGCAAGGGAAGTAACAGAAGACCCAGAGGGGTGGGAAGGGAGGACTGTTTGCCTCAGAGTGCTTGAGGTGGAATGTTTAAATACTGGGGAATAGCCTCTGTTTACTTCTGTGTTTATAGTTGTCTCTCCATCCTGAAAATAAACCATCCTTGAGTAACTATAGCAAAGAAAGCTGAGGGTTTATGGGGGGTTAGAGGGAGCGAGTGAACATGGGAAAGCACTTCTGGAAGCATGGGCCAGGCTGTCCACCACCGACCGAATCCCTTTGATACACAGAAGCAGTAACTGTGCATGCAACACATTCTCTATTTAAGCAAGTGGACACAGTCCAGCTCTTGGAATTTCAGAACAATTACTCTGCCTAACTGTTATGCAGTCTGGCTGACTCTGTGAGTGTGTGTGCGAGAGTGTGTTTCCCTTCTCCTATATGGATCTGTCATTGGGTGATAAAATAGAACATGATGAGTGTCATTCTAAAGCAATTACAAGCAAGATGCATAATGGCAGAGCTGGAGAACATGGCATATGGCCTCCGGCAGCCTCTGTGTAAAAACTAATCGAGAGATTTTGTTCCCCCACCACCACCCTCAGAACCCAGTTCAGGCTTCATGTTGAGGAAGAGAAGGCAATGAAAACCCTCCACAACCCTGCAGGTGGATGCTGGACACTGTGGGGTGGAGATCAAAGGGCTATAGTGCAGTGTTGTCTGCCAGGACAGATGCCAGACAGAGGGGGCCTGCCAGCTCCAGAGCGGTAGAATAAAGGGGAGCAACAAAAGCATCCCCAGAAATCCAAGGCCGAAGCAGCACAATCCTGGAGAAACTTGGGAAGCTATGGGGAGCACGAAGAGTGGAGGTTAAATGGCGATGTGTTTTATTTCACCAATTTCGATTCTACTTAATTTTCCTGTTTCTAGCCGCTTCCTGCTCCCTAGTTCCCTAGCAGCACCTCTGCTCTGGTCATACATCAGAGAACTAAGTGAAGCTCACAGGGCCTCCATTCTGCTTTGTTTGTCAGTGACCAACTTTTCCTACTCTTCCCAGGGAATGACTCTGCTTCTGAGCACTGCGAATGGACCTGAGGCTCTCTCCTACCTTGGCTGCAGCTCAGGGTCCTGCAGGGTTTGGGGGAGCTTTTCTGGAGCAGATTAGCCATGGAACCCCAGCGGGGACGAGAACAGCCTGGTCAGGTTGGATGCTCTTTACATGAGTTGGATTAGGATCCTTATTATCACACACTCAGGATGAAAAGAAAATACCTCTCTGTCCTACTCCACCCCATGGTGTGTATGTATGCCAGGTGGTTTGGGGACAGCCTGTCTCCAGGCTGCTAGGTCACTGGGCAGGGTCCCTAGGGCTCAGGGTCATTATCCATGTCTCCTGGAAAAGTACTAGTGATTCCTGCTACACCCTGAGTTGCAGGACAGTGGAGAATAGAAAGTCAGCTCTGCCCAGGATCTCCCCAAGTTTCACCTCAACTGGAGAGTGCTTTCCCCCCTCTTTTTACCCCACCAACATGCCCTGGCAGAGTTTAACAAACTTATTTTGTAAAGGGACAGAGAATCGATATTTTGGGTTTTGTGGGTCATATATTCTCAGCTATTCAACACTGCTGTTGTAGCACAAAAGCAGCCATAGACAATAGGTAAATGAGGGGGCATGGCTGTGTTCCAATTTTATTGATAAAAACAAGAGATGGGACAGATCTGGCCCACAGCCATGGTTTGCCATAAAGAGTAGAGGGCAGGAGCCTGACACCAGGTCCAGCCCTCTGCAGATGCCCTCCTTTTGGAGCCCAAGTGCTTTAAGATGAAAACAGAGCCTGGGCTCTTCCATGCTCTCTTCCTGGCATATGTGAACACATATCTCTCTTTTTTTTTTTAAACTTATATCATTGTGGAACTTGGAACAGAAAAGAACCTTAAAGGTCATTTTGTTTCACCTACTCATTTGACAGATGAGGAAAACTAAGGCATAGAGGTTAAGCTGCATTCCCAGAAGCATCCCTTGTTGGTAGCAGAAGCGGGATCATATGAAGCCTGGCAACTTAAGGGAAGACCCTTCCTCTCTGCCACACCGCTTTGTTCCCGGCCCATCACGTTCCTCGGGTGGGGCCGGATGAAACAGAACCAGTTACCAAGAAATCACAGACTGGACTGAGTAGCAGCACTGTGTGTGTGCTTAGTGGCTGTTGGGGCCTCCTTAGTGGGAGTTGGGAAGCACTCCTGGAGAAAGAATCTTGTGGCTTTCTGGGAAGTGACTCTGAAAGGCATCTAGAGGGGAGACAGAGTGTTCTACCTGGTGCTTTTCCACCAGTATAAAAATGTGTTGGTCAGAGGGATCATAATTAATGTGTTTTGTTTGAGATGTTTTCCTCCCCTTATTGTGACCCTGGGTCTTGCAGGCCCCAGGCCCTTCTTCTCGTTCTGTCTTAAACATAGCGCTGAGTACAGCAAAACAAGATTGGTTCCACTTTTGTTAAGGAAGAGAAAGAGGCACGGACAACCCTAGTTGTGAGTTAGTTTCTTCTCCAGAGACCTTTAAACAAGATCTTCACTTGTCTGGGCCTCAGTTTCCCTACTGGTATAATAAGGAGGTGTCCAGGTGCTGTAGGGAGGGATAGGGCTACTGTCCTCATTTGCAGAGAGAGGGAAAGACTCAGGTCCTGAAGCAACCCAGGAGAGACGGTGTTCCAGCTTCTTGAGGTCTGCGCCTGCTTTTCTCTGGGGAAGCCAAGTACTTCTTGAGCCAACCCTGGAAGGAGCTGTGGAAGTGGGGGAGGGCTGGGAAAATGAGCTGAACTCAAGCCTGGTGTTCAGCTGCACCTGCCCTTGAAATTAGGAATGCCGCACATCAGAAAAAGAAAAGTGGGACTCGAGAGCCCAGGCCCGGCTTGGAGAGGCTCCCGGAGGGTGCTGAGCTCACAGCCCAGACCCTCCAATCAATAGGGCATGGCTATTTATAGCATCAGCCTGAGAGAAACTTAATTATGATCAAAAGGAGCTATTTAATACCATGCTTGCCGAAGATGCAACCTCTTGTCAGTGGAAATTAATCAGCTGCTGCCATGGGCTCTTGCCCCCTCGGGCTCCGGAACTGGGGAGGCGACTGGCGGGAGCACTGATGACGTTGATGCCCTCACAAAGTCATCCAACATGCAGTGGTCTCCCCAGGGCTCCAGATGCACAGGGGTCAGGGAGGCAAAGTGAGAGTGAGGGGGATTCACAGTTCAGCTCAAGTGCAGCCTCCCCTCAAAGCGGTCTCCAAGGACTCCAGCTCACAATCAACTCCCTCCTCTCCTAACTCCTCTAGTATCTGCAATCTGTCCTATGCTTGTTAGGACTGGGCATGCCCCTTCCTCACTTTAAGCTTCAGTTTCCTCATCTGTAAATTAAAGGTAATAAAAACACATTCCTCATAGGGTGATTACAAGGATTAAAATGAGTCGGTTATCACATGGTAACCACTTGGAACTGTGCCTGGCATGTGGCAAGCACTCCATAAGTGCTAGTTGCTGTTACTGCCGCTACAACTACTACTTATTAGTTCCCTCTGCCTCCTCAGCCAGATTGTTTGTTTCTCGAAGGCAGAAATGGCGTCCTCATGCTTAAGGTGACCCCACTTCGTGCCTAGCACAGTGCTGGTCATGTAGGGTGTTGAACGCAATGTTGGCTGTTTCATCCATATGATTCAAAAACTAAAAGAATTCATTCTTTCATTGAGTCATTCATAATTTATTCTAAAAAACCTTTATTGGACCCTCATGTGTCAGGCCTTATACCAGACATTGAAGATATGAAAATCATTAAGCACTAATGAACCTTGTGTCAAGCTGTTCACTGCCTAGTGAGGGCCCAGCGAGGGAGACGCACATGTAAACAGATCATTACAATGCAGCGTGACACAAAAACAGAAATGTGGCCCCCCATCCAGCAGAAGCACAGAGGAGGGGATGATTTACCCTCCCAGGGACACCATGAGAGGCTTCTTGAAGCAGATGGTTTTTGTTGTTGCTGTTGTTGTTGTTTGAGACAGGGTCTTGCTCCGTTGCCCAGGCTGGAGTGCAATGATGCAGTCATGGCTCACTGCAGCCCCAACCTCCTGGGCTCTAGCAGTCCTCTCGCCCCAGCCTCCTAAGTAGCAGGGAATACAGGCATGTGCCACCACACCTGGCTAATTTTTTAATTTTTTATTTTCTGGAGACAGGGTCTTGCTATGTTGCCCAGGCTGCTCTTCAACTCCTAGGCTTAAGCGATTCTCGTGCCTTGGCCTCCCAAAGTGGTGAGATTACAGGCCACTGTTCCGGGCAGGGATATAGGGTTGGACTTGAAAGATAACTACAGGAGATGAAGGAAGTAGAGAAATAGAGGCAGAGGAAAGAGTATGTGCAAAGAAAGGCCTGGAGTTGGGAAACTCAAAGGTATTCAAATCATTTGTGAAAATCTTGGCCGGATCCTAAGGACAACAATAAGACAGACAGCTCCATCTAGGTTGACATAAAAGGCAAAACTGAGGGCATTAGCAGTGAGTGAGGAGGAGGACCTATGTCACAAATCATATTGTATATAAGTGCATTGGTTCAAAAACATAGACCAGTTTCCTCCCTAGAGAAACCAAAGGAAATGCCCCGAATCATGGATTTAGGTTAGAGTCCCAGAGGAGAAAGACGGAATTCTGAATGAAGGCTGCTGGAGGAGAAGTCTAGGTCTCCATTTGCAATGGACATTGGAGGTTAAAGAGGTTTTCACTCCTACGTTGACTAGTCCTGATAAGAAATTGTACAGCAGAGTGATGACACCATGGGCCCTAGAGGCAGATGCCAGCCAGAATCCCACTCTGGCAGTTGGGAGAATGGAACAAGCACAACTCTTTGGTATAATCAGAAAGCAACTTCACTTTCAGCTCCCACTGTTGCTGCAAGTTTATTGGGTTGAGGCAATTCTGCACCCCAGATGAAATCTGGGTCAAGTCCCATGACTTTTCAGGTCACTTTTAGATGACACAAATGGTCTCAGTTCTGTATGTTCAGTTTAATAATCATAACTTTAAACTTCACTTAAGAGTTGGGTGTCTCCTATCCCCTGGCTCTGCCTACCACAGATGGAAATGGGGTGGGGTAGCGGGCACAGTTAGCTCCTCGTCCCTTTCCTCTATGTCATTAAGGGTCCCAACAGGAAGCAGATGGCTCACAAAAACTGGACAGTTGAGGGGAGGTTCATAAAAGGACTATTTACAAAGGTGTTGGCATGGTTTGGGAGAGCAGAAAATTCCACAGTCTGCAGGTGCAAGGGGAAGGAGAAGTTACTAGAACTAAGAGAAGGGAGCTCTATGGGCCATCTGAGGGGCCTTCCATCTTTGGGAGCGGGACACAGCAACCCACAGTGACCTGGCAGGGAAGGGCGGAGAGTACACTTCCCCCCACCCCCCATCCTGGCTTGTTAGCCCATGGTGCCTCCCTGTGGAGGGCAGGGAGCCTGCTGATGATGTCCATAGAGGTCGGCTTCCCAGGGTTTGGGGCTAGGAAAGGGTAGAGAGTGATCTGGAGCAGGAGGGAAAACGCCCTCAATGAGCCTCCTCCTTCTCCTAGATTGCTAACCAAAGCGTCCCTGGGTTGGAACTGAGGCAGGCAGGGAGAGGAGAGCAGGGCATGGAAGTTATCACTTGAGTGACAGTGTCATGACCTGCTCCCAAGCTCTCTGGGCCTGGAATATATGTAAAGCTGGCTCCTTCTCCCTTGAGGGACACTTTCAGAGTTCTTTGGAGAACTTTGCCCCACATAATCATGAGGAAGCCTACACAGCTCCTTGGATGCATGTGACGCCCTCTCCCTGAGTGAGCACTCAACTCCCTTCTCAGTTGGGCAGGTTCTCCGCTTGTCTTCTAGGCAGGCCGTTTCCCAGGCGTAGTCCAAACCAGGTTCACAAGAAACACTTTGCCTGGAAATGTGCAAGTAACCTGTGAAGCCATCCAAGCTGCCTGTGACACATCGCCTTCCCTTTAGATCATGCGAGCATGAATCAACACTGGTTTTCTGTGTCTCCCAAATGCAGAGAGCCCATATAAAACTCTCTGAGAGGTTTTCTTAACGCCCCTCACTCTTGGCTTGACCTGAAAGGAGAAGCACTCACAGCACACCAGTAACTCTCTTCAGAGGTCCTCTTCCAATCTCCAACAAGCTTTTTATTTTTCTCTCCAACCTCATTGATGGACCGGGTGGGTGGACAGCTGGGATCCTGTGTGGTGGCCTTGCACCTCACTGGAGAATGTGGTAGCTATTCATGTACAGCCTCATCTGAAACTGAGATTAATGAAGTCCAGCATCTAGTTATGCCAGCTTTGTGACATTTAGTAGGTCGGTTCTCCTCTCTCTGCTCTGGTTCCCTCACTTGTACACTGGGGATAATGGTACCTCATCTGATTTTGTGAGGATTTAGTGAAATTGTTCATATAAAGCATTTAGAATAATGCCCAGAATATAGTAAGTGCTCAATAAAATGTTGTTTATATTATTTTCCTTTTTATCTGATTGAGAATTGGCTTGGGGGAAGGTCTTCTGCAAGAGGAAGAGCTGAGAAGAGGGAACCAGAGACACCCTCCTCCATCCCCTTGTCTCTTTCCCTCCCCTTGCTGGCTTTTCAAGCCTAATGGGAGTGGTTGGGAAGCACTGGGCCTGTGTATGTCAAGAAGGAGGCAAGCATGGGAGTTTTGGGTTCTCTCATATTTAGCAGTAAGCATGACCTGGGGAAGTCCATCCTTCGGCATCTCCCTCTGGGAAGGAGTGAGCTTCCTCCTTGCTCTAGATGTGTGAATGGGAGAAGCCAAGAGGGATGTTCCCTCTTTTTCCAGCTACCTCGGTTGTGAGGGGAGAAGGAAGGCAGGGAAATGGCAGCCAAGCCCCAGAAACTTCTTACCCGTATTGAGCTGCCAGAAGCTGCAAGTGCTGTTGCAAGATGGTGACACATGAGCTGGGACAAAATGAATCACTCTGTCAAAGTTGCCCCAGGCCCCAAAATTCCCCTGCACCAGCTTCAGGGTTTCCTTTTCATTTTCCTAGACCCTACATGGGAGAGTGTGAGGCAGAAGGAGGGTGTGCCTGTGTGGAAGAGGCTTCCAGGTCAGCCCTGCCCTGCAAGGGTTGGGTAGGGAGTGGGGCGAAGACTCTTTTGAAAGCAAGAACTCCCAGACATGCAGCAAGCAGCCACCTCCTAAGAGGCTGCAGGAGTGGCTTTCCCTAGTCCAGGCTGAAAGCAGCTCTTGCCTAATGTGACTCCCGACCCCCTAAGGCTGACTCCCAGAGACTTTTGACAGTAACTGTGTCCTGTTAATGGACCAAACCACATTCCCAGAAGATTCCACCATCCCAGGCTTGGATGCAGATGTGCCCTGGCTGATTGCAGCCATAGCTTGGCAGCATTTTATCAATGACTTCAGTGGGGATGTTTATGCCTCCTGGCTTTCATGCTGTTCCTGGACCCTGAAACATTCTCTTCTCCTACCAAATCCCTGCTGTCTTTCTGTAGGGACTGCTCTTAAATGATTTTTCTTAGACCCTCTGCTGTTGCTTCTCCGTCTTCCCACACTATCACCTTGGATGTTCCTTTGGAACTTCTCCCTAGGTCTCAGTTCAAATTTCACCTCCTCAAATGATCTCTTCCCAGACTACTCTATCTAAAATAGCCAAACTCCAACCCAGCTTCTTCTTAGCGCTTATTCCTTCCTGGCATGATTTTGTATCTTTTTGGTTATTGTCTGTCCCTCCTTACTGTAGAATGTGAACTCCACAAGGGCAGGGAACTGTTTTATTCTCTATTGTATCTTAACATGTTGGCCAGTACTTGGCACATAGAAGGTGCTCAGTAAGTATTTGTTGAATGAATGAATGAGTGCCCTGCTCTTCATCCCTTAGTTGTTCCCATACTTAAGGTGGTCAACGCAGATGCCATCTTTACTCCACCCATCCAACCCCTCTCATACATATATCTACTCTCCTGATTATAAGCAGTTCCCAATTCTAAAGAAATTGGGAACTTTTAGACTGTGTCATCCATAAAAACTGATGAACAGGAGGGGGCAGCCAGAACTGAGGTATGGGCAAGGTGGTGCAGGAGAAAGTGTATGGACCATGGACTCACACTGATCTGATTTGAATCCTGTCTGGGCCACTTACCAGCAGTGATTAGATGTATGCAAATGTTCTGGCATAGTACCTGTACATAGTAGGTGCTCAATAAATGCAGGCTGTTGTTACTATAGGTCTTTTTTTTTTTTTTTTTTTTTTTTTTTTGCTCTTGTTTGCCAGGCTGGAGTGCAATGGCGTGATCTTGGCTCACCGCAACCTCCATCTCTCAGATTCAAGCGGTTCTCCTGCCTCGGCCTCCCAAGTAGCTGGGATTACAGGCATGCACCACCACGCCCAGCTAATTTTGTATTTTTAGTAGAGACAGGGTTTCACCATGTTAGCCAGGCTAGTCTCGAACTCCTGACCTCAGGTGATCCCACCAACTTGGCCTCCCAAAGTGCTGGGATTACAGGCATAAGCCACAATGTGCAGCCCACTATTTCTTTACTAAGCTGCAATGACTGGACAAAACATCTATCACAGGGCATCCTGCCTCCAGGCCAGAAACTTGGGGTCCTCTTTGTCGCTTACTCTCTGGCAAACCCACAGCTCTCTGCCATAAAACCTTGTCACCTCTCCCTTCAAAGGCCTTAAGGAAGGGCTCTTCCTTAGACGGTGCCCTGACCAGGCCCTCCTCCTTTCCTGCCTAGGATTTCTGCCCTCCTGCCCTCCCATTCTCTCTTAAGATTTCCTTCATCTGCCTGCCTTTCAAGGCCCTCTCCATTCAATCCCATTCTTATTTTGCATTCCTGTGCTCCAGCAGGACATGCCTCCATTCAATAATTAATCTATTCAACAATTTTTATAGCACCTGCTGGGCACCAGGCACAGTGCTGCGGGCTGGATCGAGGGGAGAGCACGGTCAGGTGCCGGTCCTCAGGGAGTGAGGGGGATAAAGTCTTGCACTTGATCCAATCCGGGGCAGGGCAAAAGTGCTACCACAAGGACAGGCGGAAGGTGGTGTTGTCAAACAGTGGGTTACCAGCCCATTAGTAGGTCACAAAATTAACTTAGTGGGTCACGACCAGTATTTTCAAAAAAATTAAATAGAGCAGAGTAGAAATATCACAGAATGCATCACACTCATAAGGGGAAATGTTTAAAAAACTTTTGGCCAGGCACAGTGGCTCATGCCTGTAATCCCAGCACTTCGGGAGGCTGAGGCAGGTGGATCACCTGAGGTGAGGAGTTTGAGACCAGCCTGGCCAACGTGGTGAAGCCCCGTCTCTACTGAAAATACAAAAATGAGCCAGGTATGGTGGCATGCACCTGTAATCCCAGCTACTTGGGAGGCTGAGGCAGAAGAACTGCTCGAACCCGGGAGGTGGAGGTTGCAGTGAGCTGAGATCGGGCCACTGCACTCCAGCCTGAGCAACAGAGTGAGGCTCTGTCTCAAAAACAAAACAAAATAAAACAAAAACTTTTGTTTTCATTCTATATGTTGAGTGTGTGTGTGTGTTTATGTGTGTGATGTAAAATATATTTCTTTTTTGAGTCACAGTAAAAATATTTAGAAAACACCCATCCTTGGGAATCAAGAAAAGCTTCTTGGAAGGAATCACATGTTAAACCTGAAATATTAATGAAAGTTCATCAACCGGAAGGGTACAAAGATAGGAGCCTGTTCTAGGCAGAAGGAATCAACTAAAAATATGAGGGTGGGAGGGGGAAGGGGGAGAGAGAGAAATGCAATGAAACAAAAACAGAAAATTCATTTTTTAATTGTCCTACAAATAAAACAAGTATACTCCTGCTTCCTGCCCTTTTGTAGTGTTTGTCTTCTCCCTCTCTACCCCCTCACCTTTTCCTTACCCTTCTAAATCTGACCGTTTACTTTTCCCAGCCCAACTGAGAGGCTCTTGCCTGCAGGGCTCTTCTCTGGCTCTCCTGTTCTCTCTGGCTGTCTTCTGAGTGGCCCCAGTGCCAGCATCCAGCCCTAGGTTGCTCTTTTTCCTGCACCTCCGCGGGGTTTTAGAATTTGAAGTGCATTTTCACCTGCAGTCTCCTTTGAGTGTCCTGATAGCCACATTAGGTCAGCAGGACGTACCGTATTATCTCCACTTTACAAAAGAGAAACCAAGGCACCCGGAGATCCACCAAAGGCCCAGGCTCACTTTGCTGTGAGTGACACAGTCAGAACTATCATCCTACTTTCTATTCCCAGACAAAAGCATTTTATTTCCATTTAGTTGGACTTGCACATGTGATACTCACACCAGCCCTTCAGCCCAGTTGCAAGCCCCTGTGGGACAAAGGCTGCGTGTCATGCTTCTACACCTCCCACAAGCCTAGACACTCAGAGTGAGGCTCAGAAAGGCTTGTTGTGGTTTCCTGCCCATGCTGGAATATGGCATTGGCCCCCAAAGAAAAGATCTTCTTGATAGCCAGCCCTTCTATTGTTTGTGTTCTTCTTTGTTTGGACTTGCCCTCTCTTCTCTGCCTGCTGCTTGCTGCTCCTCCTTCTCTCACCTTCCAGAAGCCCTTCCCTTCTCGCCTATCCCTCCCTCATCTTCCCCACTTCCCTGTCCCTCCCTCTCCTGCTGTGCATGGTTGTCTGCTCACAGCTGTGATAAGAGGATCTTGCCCAGCCCTCCTGGCAGTGAGGAGGGCTAGACTGGGCCAGCTCCCCAGAGGGGAGCAGCAGGTCTGCTTGCAGCAGAGGGAAAAGACCCTGGCCACAGGCTTCCAGCTAATTGGTCCGAGGGTTTTTAAGCCTCTCTGGGGAAGTGACCTGTGCAGATGGGATAGGAACTCTCTCCAACCCAGGGGGAAAAAAGTGGGAGAACAGAAGAAAGAAGAAAGAGAAAGTAGAAGGCAGAACAGCCCTATGCTGTGGGGAAGGGAAGAGATAAATTCTATCCTTAAGTGTGGGCCAGAGTCCTGAGCACCTCCCTGGCACCTCCCAGGGCTGCCGCCTCCCTACGCCACCTCAGGAGGCTGGCTTTCTGCCCTGTGAATCACAGGCTCTGTGGGGAGTGATCTATTTGCTGCTAAGCACTTGTCTGTGGCTGCTTTTCCAGGAGCTGGAGTCATTTACAGATGGGAACAGCACTCATCTCTGGCAGGGGAGCCCATGGCCAGCACCAGCCCCGTGGCTTGAAATAGATCTTTCTGTAGAGGCAGAGCAGAGAGGGAGGCCACGCACAGGATAGGGGCATGGTGGGGCCCATTTGCCCTGTGGGCATGATGGGGCAGCCTCCCCAAAGCACACAGATAGGACTTTCCTTGGCCATCCTTGTACCCCAGGGTACACTAGGAACTCACTAGGTATTCATGGAAGGAATGAGTGGTGGCTGAACAGGGCTCCTCGGAGGTGAGGCCTGTACAACCTGTCCCTCCTCACTTCCCCCTGACTGCTTACCTGACCCTCCTCACATATATACACACATAGTCCCCACTGGAGAAGTGTCATCGTACCCAAGACAAGGGTTAGAAAGCCAAACACAGTAATACAAGCAAATAAACAAAAAACTAATCGAACAACAATTATCATCCCAGCCCAGGATTTCACAGGTCCCTCTGACAATTCTTAAACAGCTGGTCTACCGATATAGGTTATTTTTTAGCCATTATGAGAATACCTGGAGTTCTTCCAAACCTCAGCATCCCTCTTGGAAGCCCCAGACAGATGAAGAAAAGCCCCCACAATGAAAATGCCTTCTTGTTTTAGCTGTTTTGATTGACCATTCACCTGACAGAGGATTGCTTCAAGAACACATGGTCTCATGTGTTGAAAACTGGGGTTTGAGTCCTAGTCTCACCAATTACTAGCTGTGTGATTTAGGGCAAGTAATTTAACCTCTCCAAGTCTGAACTTCTTCCTCTATGAGATGGGAATAACACAAATACAATTTTCACATCACTAAAGTGAAAATTAATTGAGATGTTTGAGAAAGTACATTATACATTTTAAAGTGCTGTGGAAATGTTCTGTTTATGTATTGCCCCATTTATGTAAGCTCCATGAGGGCAAGAACCTTGTTTTACTCACTGTTATATCCCTAGCACCTGGAATGGTGCCTGGCACATGGTAATCATTCACATGTTGAGTAAATTAATAAATGAATGACTGGTTATCCAGAACACAGGAATTGGGCAAAATTACCTAACCTGGAATATAGCCTAATTACCTTCTGTGGAGAAAGGGACTAGTCCTGCCATCAGAAACAATTAATAAAATGGTACCAGTCTATCAATAATTACTTTGAATGTAAATAGATTAAATTCTCTAATCAAATGGCATAGAGTAGCTGAATGGCTTAAAAAAAAACAAGACCCACCTCTATGCAGCCTACAAGAGACTCACTTCACCTTAAAGGATACTCAGACTGGAAGTGAAAGGATGGAAAAAGATATTCCATGCAAATAGGAACCAAAAGAGAGCAAAAAAAGGGACTAATCCTGAGTCTGCCATTGTATCTGCAGAGCCTAATAGAGTTCCTGATCCATGCAGTTCTTTCTTATGCATTTGTTATTGATTGGCAGATTCACTGGTTGAACAGCTATCTCCTTGGCCTTGCCTACCCAGTGGGGCCCCCATATGTGGTGTGGGAACTAAGACCAGCTCTGGCAAGATATGGATAAACCCCCTGCAAACCTGAAGAGGAACACAACCTTCAGACTTCTCACTTTTCAGTATTTAATAATAATCTGCAAGTCTCTGGGGGAGTATTAAAAGGAGAATGTGGTATTCTCAGTCCAATGAGGTTAGAAAATAAGGAAACAGGAATGCACTAAGCCAGGGGGGTCTGGAGACTTGGGAGTGATCCTGGCAGGCCCTGGGGCTGGAGGCTTTGAATGGTCATCAAGAAAGGCCGGCTGCCCTTCCCAGTGCCAAGGAGGGCATGAAGGACTCAGACAACATTGCTCCCATCTTGTCTACTCAACAACTGCCACATGGAGCACTGACTATGCTCTCAGCCCTTTGCTCAGCACATGGTCTACGAGAAACAGTGGCTCAGTGTTTTGTTCCATTTCTGAATGGAATGCCTTTCCCCTTGCCCACGACTTGAACACCAACTCAGACTAGGAATTATGGAGCCTTTCCTGGCCTTCCCCAAACTCTTTCCCCCAACCCTCCCTATGCACACAGGACATTATGAGTCACCTCCTGCTTTGTGTGTCCACTGTACTCTGAGCATGGGCCCACCACAGCCTTGATAACACTTTGTTGCACTTACATATAACAGCTGAGCTGATAATTTATTACCAATAACAGCTACCATTTATCAAGTACCTACTATGTGCCAAGCACTGGGTCGAGTGCTGTACATCATTATGTACACACTTAATACTCACAACACCTAGTGATGTTGGTAGTGTTCTCCCCTTTTCTCAGATGAGGAACTAAAGCTTGTCTGAGGTCACAGGGCTAGTAAGTGACACGGTGGAGCCAGGACCAGAGCCCAGTCCATCTGACGCCAAAGCCCATGCTCCTTGCACCACTCATACAGCATGGAGACAGGCTGCAGGGCCAGTGCACCAAGACCTCAGAGGACCCTAATTGGTGTGGGCATCAGACACCAAAGGAAGGCAAGTTCTTAGTAAACATCACCCTGCAACACTGATGACAGCCCAGGACCCTACTCAAGGTTCTTGTTTGGCAGAAAACCCAGCTGCTGGGGACTTTTGAGCACAGAAGCTGAGGCAAGAGCCCTGGAACTTCAGGGCTCTGAGAAAGTGATGAAGGGGCAAGGCTGAGACCCGGCCAAAGCCTGAATCGATCATTTCCACACAAATGGCTGTCCTGGGCCAGTGAGAGCAGCTGCCAAGCTCCCCCGTGAGCCTCAGTGCATTCATCTGTGGAATGGGCAGTGACAGTGCCTGCTTCGTGGGATTGTTGTGAGGGTTAATGGGGGTAGGCCATAGATGTAAATCTCTCAGTACAGTGTCTGAAACTGGCAGTGCTCCGTTAGTGGGAGATAGCCATAGAAGGGCCCATGGGATTTGCCCTTGACGTTGAAGGCTGCACCATGCATTCCAAACTTCTATACTAATCCAGTGTGAATTTGTCTTCCATGAAACCCCTCCTGTGCATGCCGAGCCACATGAAGTTGCCACCTGGGGTTGTGCTGGTGTACCTCGAACAAGGGCATCAGAGGCAAGTGGTGGCATTCTGCTCAACAAATCATCTGCCCTGCAGGAGGAGGGGTGCCCTGGGGCTGCCTTTACTCCTTCTCGCTGACTTCTGCTCTCCACAGGTGTCCAGTGTGTCCGTGGGTGGGGCTGTGTGGTTCAAGACAGTCCCACCACCTCCCCTCTACCACTTGACCTCCTTCCTTCCTCAAATATCTGTTGAGGACCTACTATGTGTTGGGCACAGCTCTGGCACTGAGGCCCCTGCCCCATCATCATGGGGCTCATGGTTGAGTGACAGAAGCAGGCAGACAATTGGCAGCACAGCACCATGTGTGCCAAGGCTGAGCGGCGGTGAAGACAGGGAGTTCATGCTCACTGCATCGCCTGGTTCAACCTGGGCCTCCGGTAATGGTAATGGCTGAAATGCCCATATTTGTTTTCATTTCCCTCCCCTTGGAGTGTAATCACCCCCAGGGAATATATTCACGTGTTCAAAAAAGAACATTTACTGAGTTCCTTGTATGTGCTAGGCACTGCGGGAGACACACAAAGACCAGTGAGCCAACATCAGGGCAATAGAGGGTGACAGGGAGATGACACGTGAACAGATCCATTACAGGGCAGCATGCACATGCCCCCACACAGCCTGCTGGGAGGCCCCAGGGTCCAGGCAGCATGCCCAGGAGGGGCAGCTGGGACTCACCCTGTGCCCAGGGCATGGCTGGCCGGGCTTCACCTCGCAAAGGTCTACTGGGGGAAATGACAGAGGGAGTCTTGGGCCAGACGGAGCCTCCAGAGGGAGTCTCCTTGGGAAGGGCCTCCTTGGGGGTCCTGCTAAGCTGCTGTCCCACTGTTGCAATCAAGGGCACCATTTGGCTTTGTAATTGTATCTTAACCTTTCGTTTATCGGAGTGGAATGACAATGGCAGGTGTGTAAGCCAGCAGCACAGCCATTGCCAGCTCTGAGCGGGCTTCTTGTGGCCTGCGCCCCACTCTTTCCTCTCCCCTCAGCCGGGCCTCCCTATGGGTCTCCACAAGGGACAGAGGGACAGAGGGGCCTGGGCTTCCCTCTACCTCCCCTGCAATCCACCCCTTCTCACCCCCTTAGAGAGGCAGCCACTTGATTGGATTTTTAATGTAGTTTTCCCCTCCTCTTTTATATTTACATAATAATAAGTCTAATAAATAGTTGTCAAGAAGATGGATGAGGGCGCTGTCTTTATGCTTTCCTGACAGATTTAGTCCTTTATAAAACTTGCCAAAGCAGAGGCTTTTCTGCAGCTGATAAAAGGTAATCAGTGTGCGGCCCCGGCTGGGTTTAGCTTGGAGTAATGGGAAAGAAAACGAAACTTGAAGCAGTTTCTGGATTTGGGTCCTGGCCATGCCACTCCTGGGCCGAGTCAACTTCCTCAGCATCAGTTTCTTCCTCTGTAAAATGGGGTGAATAATGCCTGTCCTGCCTGCTTCATGGGGCAGAAGGACTGTGAGAAAGCACCTTGTAAAGGCAGATGCATCATCTGAGTGCAGTGAACACATCTGGATGGCCTCCTGTTCTCACCAGCCTCTTCCCATCTAGGCTCGGGACTGTCCAGGTGATGCACAAGAGGCATGACCCAGCAACACGCTGTGCAAATAGAACCCTTCTTCTAGGAGAAAGGGCAACGGCTAGCCCAGCCCCTGAGGAAACATCAGGAGACTTAGGTTCTAGCCTTAGGTCTGCTTCTGCCTTACTGTGTGACTTTGGACAAGTCACTCGCCCTCTCTGGACCACAGCCTCCTCCCCTGTAAGATGAGAGTATTCCATGAGCCAGTGTCTTAAGTTTCCTCCAGCTTGAACTGCCTCTAGTCCAGTGGGCAGGGGAGAGTGAAACAGTGCTCTGAGGAGATGCTGGGGCTGCAGGCTGGGTGAGGCTGGGCATGGTGCGCTCCATGGAGAAGGAGCTGAGTGGAAACAGGTGGGGGCCAGGGCCCCTCTGCCCTATTTGCAGCTGCTCTTCTTGGCCAGGATTCAGCCAGGGTCCTCTGGCTGCATCTGAACTCATACTGGGGTGTAGCTTTTATTACTTCCTTCTCCATTAGAATGCCACCCCGCCCCGTCCATCCAGCCTGAGATGCAGCCTCCCCACACTGAACACTCACTTCACTCCTGGGTGTCCCCTTCTCCCGGACAGTTTGCCCTTTCCTGCTCGCAGCTCACCTCTGCTAGAAGTTGTCCCCATGAGTGCCTCCTCCTGTCTTCTCCGCATTCCCTCCAGCACAGCATTCATGGGTTTTAGCTTCGGTTCTTCATCCAGGAGAGAGGCCAGGTGTATGGTGCTTAAGAACATTTCCACTTTTGTGTCAGAAAGAAGGCCGGGAAGTCCAAGTTCTGCACTTCCTAGCTGACCTTGAGAAAGCCATTTAAATGGAGCCAGAGCCTCATTTCCTCCTCTGGAAAATGGAAATGCTATAGTTCCTTCCTGACTTAAAATGGAAGCTCCACCCCCTTTCCTGCTTTATTTTCTCCCTAACACATCTCACCCTGTGTCTTGGTTTGGGTTCCCCTGAAAACAGAGCCAGGACCAAGACTTGGGGCGGCAATCCCAGGTGGCAGGCATGAGACAGGAAGGTGGAGAAGCCAGCGATGGGTGTAGTGAGTTGGTTATCCGGAGGGCAGGAGGGGCTTGGCCCACAGGCCTCAGAGACCTGTAGGAACTGTGGGGACAGTGCCTGGAACATTTGACTTTTGTCCCCACTGGCTGTTCCCTTGGCTCAGCAAAGCAGAGCAACCTTGAGGTGCCTGCCTGGCATGGACTCGGGCATCCCACCACCCCTGCACTCAGTGACATGGGCAGGAACTATGGCACAGCGCCCCAGTCAGCCACCCCATTTGATTCTCTACTAGATGTTTTTCCTATTTGTTTTACCATCTGTCTTGCTCCCCCGCCACACAAAAGTGCAAGCCCCACAGGGACGGGGGATTGTGGCTATTCACTACTGTGCCTAGAACTGTGCCTGGTATATTGCAGATACTCCATAAGTATGTGTTTGAATGAATAGATGAGCAGATTAAAAGGAATAATGCACATACAATTTTTAGTACAGGACCTGGCTCGTAGTACATGCCCAATGAACATGTGCTATTTCCATTATTGAATTATGTGGACGTGGCTTGTGCCCACCAGGGTTCAGGTGGGCAAAAGGGCAGAGGTATTTTTCTCTTATACTCCAAGTCCCTGGAGCAGGATAAGCTGATAGATTGCAGGAGCCTGTGAAAAGCAGCAGCCCCGTGCAAGGCAAGGTGATCGGATGATTATTGGCAGCAGCTCAAGGCTCTGATTCCCTGACCCCCAATCCACATGGCCTCTGATGGGCTGACTGATGGGGCCTCTTGCGCCCCGCCCTAGGGAACACTTGTCCTTGCTAATTGTATGTCAAAGAAAAGCTGTTTCCTATGTCAAAGGCAGTTTCTGTTCTTCTGTCAGAAATTCAAAGACCATATTTCAGTTGCAAGCGGGGAGACAGTATGCCTAGAGGTTCCCCTTCCCAGGGTCAGGGCTGCGGGGTCCCCCTCGTTGGCTCCCTGCTTGGGACTGTAGGAGCAGCCCTGCCTCTGGCTGCCTGTCATCTGCTGGGGATTACCATGCCATTTGTTCTAATTCTTGTTGACATTTCATTTCACACATTATTAAATGAACCTCTCCAGAAGGGATGGGAGAGAAGTTTGCTTTAGTGAGAGAGGAAAAGTAATGTGTACTCGAGGGTAAAACAAGGCCCTGATTTATTTCTGTGATAAAAACCCCAGTAGATATGGAGCTAAGCCCCCCAGCTCTGGGGAGCTGGACGGAGGGTTTGGGCTCTCCCAGATTATATATCCCTGAAGACCTGTTCAGCCCTGCTGCTTGCAGAGAGACTGGGGCAGGTGGGGAGGTAGGAGGGGGCCTGCAAGGGGGTCCCACCAGCAGAAGGCACCAGATTACCTCCTCACAAAGAGACACAGAGCCGACACCCTTCCACAATGTTGGCTTTTCTGGGTGCCTAGCAGTGAGAAGTAGAAAATGTGTCTGGTTTTTTTTTTCTGTGAAGTTGGTTACCAGCTCTGCAGAGGCCCTGCTCTGATTTTTAACCCTGACATAGCAGCAGCTGCCACTCATCTGAGGTAAGTTTGTCAGAGCAGGACAGTCTTCCTTTCTTCTTCCCCTCCTGCCCCGCTGCTTTCCTTTGAGAAGTATTTATTGAACATCTACTTTGTGCCAGGCTCTGTTTTGGGAGCAAAGAACAGCAGTAAACAAGGCAAACACAGTCCCTGCTCTCATGATACTTACACAAAGGAGAGAACCATGAAGGATTCAGTTACCACAAGTGTTCAAAACTTTGGTTGTACATTGGAAACACCAGGGTGTGTATGTGGGGTGGAAGGTGGAGGGGGAGAGATTAAAAAATGTGAATGCCTGGGTCTCCACACCAGAGGCTCTGATGTCATCGGTGAGGGGTGCAGTGGACCGTTGGCACTTTTTACTTCTCCCCAGATGATTATCATGTGCAGCAAGTTGGAGAACGATTGCATGACAATGTGGTAAATGGTATGAAAGAGGATTCAAAACTGCGTTGAGACAATAAATCACCTTGTGGGAGGCTACAGTAAGCAAAGCAGCATGGTACTGGTACCAAAGCAGATACATAGACCAATGGAACAGAGCAGAGGCCTCAGAGAGAATGCCACACATCTACAACTATCTGATCTTTGACAAACCTGACAAAAACAAGCAATGGGGAAAGAATTCCCTCTTTAATAAATGGTGTTGGGAAAACAGGCTAGCCATATGCAGAAAACTGAAACCGGACCCCTTCCTTACACCTTATACAAAAATTAACTCAAGATGGATTAAAGACTTGAACGTAAGACCTAAAAGCATAAAAACCCGAGAAGAAAACCTAGGCAATACCATTCAGGACATAGGCATGGGCAAGGACTCCATGACCAAAACACCAAAAACAATGGCAACAAAAGCCAGAATTGACAAATGGGATCTAATTAAACTAAAGAGCTTCCGCACAGCAAAAAAAAAACTATCATCAGAAAGAATAGGCAACCTACAGAATGGGAGAAAATTTTGCAATCTGTCCGTCTGACAAAGGGCTAATATCCAGAATCTACAAGGAACTTACAAAAAAAAAAAAAAAAAAAAAAACCATCAAAAAGTAGGCGAAGGATATAAAGAGACACTTCTCAAAAGAAGATATTTATTCGGCCAACAAACATATGAAAGAAAGTTCATCATCACTGGGCATTAGAGAAATGCAAACCAAAACCACAATGAGATACCATCTCATGCCAGTTAGAATGGCGATCATTAAAAAGTCAGGAAACAACAGATGCTGGAGAGGATGTGGAGAAATAGGAATGCTTTTACACTGTTGGTGGGAGTGTAAATTAAATTAGTTCAACCATTGTGGAAGACAGTGTGGCGATTCCTCAAGGATCTAGAACCAGAAATACCATTTGACCCAGCAATCCCATTACTGGGTATATACCCAAAGGATTAGAAATCATTTTACTATCAAAACACATGCACACGTATGTTTATTGTGACACTATTCACAATAGCAAACACTTGGCACCAACCCAAATGCCCATCAATGATAGACTGGATAAAGAAAATGTGGCACATATACACCATGGAATACTATGCAGCCATAAAAAAGGATGAGTTCATGTCCTTTGCAGGGACATGGATGAAGCTGGAAACCATCATTCTCAGCAAACACGGGAACAGAAAACCAAACACAGAATGTTCTCACTCATAAGTGGGAGTTGAACAATGAGAACATATGGGCACAGGAAGGGGAACATCACACACCCGGGCCTGTTGGGGGGTGGGGAACTACAGAAGGGCTAGCATTAGGAGAAATACCTAATATAGATGACAGGTTGATGGGTGCAGCAAACCACCATGACATGTGTATACCTATGTAACAGACCTGCACGTTCTGCACGTGTATCCCAAAACTTAAAGTATACTAAAAAAAATTAAAAATAAATAAATCACCTTGTGGGGCCTGAGGGTTTGGAGGATGCCTTGAGGAAGTCGTGTTTGGCCTGAGATCCAGGACAGAGCTTCTCAAATGTTAATGCGTCTACCACAGACCTTCTGAGGATCTTGCTAAGTGCAGATTCAGATTCAGACGGTCTGAGTGAGGCCTGTGATTCTTCTAATAAGTTTCCTGGTGATGCCAGTTCTGCTGGTCTGGGAACCACACATTGAGCAGCCAGAATCTAAAGAATGATTAGGAATGACCTAGGCAGTTGGGGTATAAGTACAGCATTGGAGCTGCAGGGGTTCCCTGTTTAGCCCTTCCTTCCTTTGTGTGAGGTCTTAGCTTGGCTCCCTCCTCTGCTCAGGACCCAGTGATGCCTCCTTTCACTTTGAGTAAAAGCCAGAGTCCTTGCTGTGGCTGGCACATCCCTGCTCCCTCTCTGGGATTATTGACATTACTCTCTCTCTTGCTCTGTGCAGTCCTGGCGGCCTCCCTGCTGTTCTTCTCTTTAGCCAAGCACGTTCCTGCCTCAGGGCCTTTGCAGTTGCTGCTTCCTCTCCCTGGACCCTCTTCCTCAGATAACCTTACTTCTTTCAAGTTTCCATTCAATGTCCACTGATGGAAGAGGCATTCCTTTCACACCCTAGATAAAATTTGCATCCCCACTGCCGCTGTCTCTATCCCCTTCCCCCGTGTTGTTCTTCATAGCAGTTATCACCATCTGACATAGTTTTTCTTATTGGTGATCTAGCTCCCCAGCTCTCCAAGAAAGCAGGGACTTCACTGCTTTATTTCCTATTACATTCTGACTCTAGCCTGGCACATAGAAGGTGCTTAGTAAACATTTGTTAAATAAATGACTAAGGGTAGGTTTCATGTTCATACATGAACTACAATAGTGTCTGGCAGGAAATGGACACTCAATGCAGGTTGAATATGAGAATGAATGGGCAAATGAACAAACCAACATACTCTAGACTCAGCTCAGACCTCGGCCAGAGGCAGGTCACTTCCCCTCCCTGGTCCTGGATGTCACTGTCTGTAAAATGGAAGGCTGGGTTTGATGATTTCCAGGGTTTCTTCCATCACTAACAGTCAATGATTCTGTTTTTATGAGGGCTTAAGTCAGTGAGGATACCTGTTTGGCTGCAGTGAAATAGCCTTCTGGGGAGAAGTGAGCTGAAATGTCGAGAAGTCAGGTTGAGGTTAAACTAGAGGTGGCTTTGAAGGCTGGGCTTCAGACTTCACCTTCCTTCCAAAGGCAACAAGGGGTCACTGAAGGTTGAGTGGGAGAGTGGCATGATCAATGTGGTAACTTTAGAAAAGCTAACTGAGCAGAACAGACTGGGTGGAGGAGCAGGGCGATTATGCCTCTGGCCAGCTCTCCATCTTGGCTCCCCAGCCCAGAATGTGTGTTCAGGCCTACCCAGGGAATGGATGGAGAGGCTGGTAGACCCATTTCTAGGCCATGAATTCCAGCTAAGGGCCTGTCCCCTTTTCCTTGGCCATTCCTGGGAATGGAGACTGAGTGGCCAGGAAGTTCCTGGACTTTATGCCCTGGCCTCGTCCCTCTCTGATGGCTACACTGTTTTATGCCTGCCTGTCTTACACCTCACTGTAATAGACTTGTTACAATGAGCCAGAAGCGTTCTGAAAGGCATGAGCCCCAGTGTGGAGCAGTCCCCTGGCCTGTCGGGGGCATCTGCTTGAATCTCATTTCTACAGCAGACATTCTTTTCGTCCTCTGCTACAACCAGCAGGCTCTGTGGGCCAGGCCTCCACCCACCTTCCCCCAGGGAGTCTGATGACTCGGGGCATGGCTGGTGGAATGGAAAAGCGCCTGGGGCTGGTCAGTCTACAGCAGGATCAGCATGAATCCTAATGCTGCCTGTGGAGGGGTTGCCTGGGGTGGCCAGAGAGGTCACTGTGTCTGTTTCCAGGAAGAGAATGCTTGGAACCTCTGGGAACTCAGACTCCAGCTCACCAAGTCCATGATGGACTCATGCTTTCCCTCTCCTACCCTCCCCCAAAACCTGCTCCTCTCCCTTGTTCCTTATCTCAGGAAATGGCCCATTGCCTCTCTAGGATGTCAGCCCAGCTTGGGACTTACCCAGACAACTCCCTCTCCCCACACCCAGATCCATCAATGTCTGCCTACTGTTCGTACCTTTTAAATGTTTATGCATTCTCTCCTGAGACCCTTATCATTGATCAGGCAAAATTATTCCACTAGCCTTGCAACTGGCCTCCCAGTCTCTAGTCTCACCCCCATCCAACCATCTCATGATGAGTTGCAAAGATCATTCATTAGCCATTTCATTCAACAAACATTGAGTGGCTCATATGTACCAGAAATGTGCTAGGCACTGGAGATGCAGTGAACAGAAAAGCCCAGTGTCTAGATGGAGAGACAGTGCCCCCAAATCACTTGGATAATGATAAAATTCCAATTGGATTTAGAAGCACTGTGGTGGAAAGGAAGGAGGCCTGAGAGTGCTTCACAGAGGGAGCAGGGACGTTTCCCTGAGTAGTTAGGATAGGACTTTCAGTGGCCTCTCACCCACACAGTGAAGCCAAGATCTTGGCAGGGTGGCCAGGGCCTTCTCTTCTTTTCTGACTGCTGCTTCCCACACCAGCCTCAACTCTTGCCTGTCCCGCCGCATGCCTTGATGATACCAAGCAACCCTGTCCACCCTCCATTTCCTGGTGCCCAGCACCCTTTGCTCTTACTGTTCCCTCTACCTAGAATGCCATTTTCGCCTTCCTCTCTGGTCACTGTGCCTTTATCCTTTAAGACTCAGACCCTCTTGCAGGAAGCCCACCTGGTCCTCTGTTTCTGCACTGTGATCAAACCTACTTTGTCATATTTTTAATCTGTTCTAGGGTCTGCTTGCTCCACTAGGCCCTTATTCCTCCCTGGGGAGCCCTCTGCTCACCAATGCTGGCACGTTGCAGGGACTTGGTAAATATTATTAAGCTAAAAATGTCTGAGCTGGGACCAGCCTCACCAGTGGTAGATTGCAAGCTCCCCACGGACACAGCCAGTCTTCAAACTTGGGGTCTCTCCATCTCTTTACTGAAATACAAGCAGTATTATTGAAATACATACAGGGGCAGTCTGTGCATGCAATGTGACTGTGTGTAATCAGCAAATTCATGGAAACTACAAAAAGCACAATTTATCAGGATATTTCCATGTTTTCTGCATGAATTATACAGAGCAGGTTTGTGCTATGAGTTTTGCTATTTTTATAAACCAGTCTTGCAGAGTTTATTTTCCCTCAGCACATTTGTTGGGATGATTACATAGGGGGCATGTGTGTATGTGTGTATAATTGAAAAGTGGATTGGGGGTGTTCTGTGCTCCCTATGAGTTGGAATGAGGTCGGGATTCCAGGAGGATGCTCTTGAACTCTCTGGATCTGCAGTCAGGGCTATAGGACCCTTGGCCCCTCGGCCCCTCTTCCACAAACATGAACAGGGTAAGTTTGCCCCTCAATTTGCAGGAGAGACAGGTCTGTTCTGGTGCCAAAATTAGAGGAGCTAATGCGGGGAAGGACTTAGTACAGTTCCTGGCACACTTGAGTGTTCAGCAAAAGATAGAGGCTGTCACCATCTCCATCATTATCATTATTGTTGCCATTTTAATTATTTAATATTTCATTATTAATCATTGCCAAGTGTATCACCAAAATACTAAAGGTTTGCATCTCCCAGGGGAAAAAGGACATGTTTTTCCTCTCTGGGCAATTATAATCAAATAAGGAAATTAAAAGGATTTTATTTATGTAGCTCTCTCTCCATGTAAATGAGTAAAAACAGGCAAGTCAATTATCTGGGAGTAAGGGAAGCAGGTGGTTGCACAAATAATCCACAAGCCAAGAGAGTGGGCTCTAAAATCAATTCAGAAAGCTCCCTGCCATCAAGCCAGGGAGCATGACGTAGGTTGGGCTGGACCAGTTTGAAAGGGTTTGGTTGATGAGGTATACAAAAGACTTTTTTATAAGGTTATTAAATATATAAAAGGTTCCCAATGGCAGTGACTCTATGAATGATATTTCAATAAAGTTCGTCCTTGGGAATTTGAGAATCTAATGAAAACCATAAGACTTGTGTTTATGGACATACCCCATGTTCAAGTATGCCATATAGATAGATGGATTTGGCTTTAAGTCTGGTGACCTCCAGTGATTACTCAGTTTAGAGTCAAGAAGCAAAGGTGACATCCATCAGTCAACTGATCTAGATAAATAAATCAGAAGAATAGCTAATAGTTGTTGAGTGCCAACCACATGCCAGGCATTAATGTAAGTGCTCTATCTGTATTAACTTGTTTAATAATCACAGCAGTCTCACATGACTTAGATACTATTAGTATCTCCATTTTATGGGTGAGGAAACTGAGGTATAAGCAGTTTATAGCACTTGCCCAAATTCACCGAACTGCTAGATGACCAAACCAGGATACAGACCCAGACTCCAGAAGCTGTGCATGCAACTGCCCCATTATTTGCTTCACTGCCTGCACTGTCCACACCCAGATTCAGAGTACGCACACACATGCACAAACATACCAAACATGCATGCACACACTCACATGCCTACTTGGTGGCAGATTTACACTCCTTTTTCTAAGAATGATAATGGCTTTTCCAGAACATACACGAGTCTGGCGGGGCGCTGGTCTGGGATTAATTTACAAATTCCCCGTGGATTAATTTAGACAACCGCTTTCACCTGGGCCTTCTATGTCTGGGGCTGAGGTGCTTGCTGTGGCCAGCATCTCCTAGCTCTGGTTTCTCTGATCCTATTGGTCATCAGCTGCCCTGATTCCTTAGCAAGCAAGAGTTTTTGAGAGATGTGAAAACTGCTTGGGCTGAGCCCCACGTCTGATGAGTCTGTGCCTTTGACTCAGATGTCTTGTCATGAGGCCAGAGATGGAATGGGCTGGGGGCTGGGGTGTCTGGAGTGTCTGGAGGATGGGAGGGAGTCTGCTCTCTTGGGCAGGCCTTTCAGCTGAAGCCTCCACCCCAACCCTGCCTCCCACCTCCCACTTTTACAGGTGAGGAGACAGCAACCTGGCGACTTGGAGTGACCTACCCAGAACCACACGGGGAGAAGCTCGGCTGCCACAAACTGACCTGCTGAGCCCCCGCACCACCTTCCCCAGGGCCTTTGGGAGGGAGAGAGTAAGCACTTAGCTAGTGGGATGGGTCCAGGAGTTGTCATTTTTTCTCCTTCAATTTGCTTCTGTCAACAGATGCTTGATCTGTGCCTCCTGCCTATAGCACGGTATCTAGGTTGGGGAAGGGTTGGGATTGTTTTTAAAGTCTTGGGCAGTGTAGACAGATCAAGTACTTTAATCCAGATTACTGAAGTGCTTTTGTGCCATGACTGATAAACAAGTGCAAATTGATTAAGTACAGACAGTGTAGGGAAATGTGGAGGAGATGTCTAGTGAAAGTCACTAGAATTCTGTGGGTTTAATTATGGAAAGCTTCCTGGAGGAGATTTAAGATGAGGATCAGGAAAACCCATCAGCTTTGAAAGGTGGAGCTTGGCCTCCCTGCCTGCTTTCCCACATGCATGCCACTCTTGATTTGGTCCTGCTTCTTGGATGCCTCTCCAGCTCCATTTAGAGCCCCTTTAGAGGCCCCTCCCCAGAGCAGCCTCCCCTGACATCTTAAGAGATGCTGCAATAATTTCGTGAATGCTCTTCTGCCAGGATTCAGACTGAGGCTCCTAACAGGACACTCAATGTGGAATGGTAGGGGTAAGTTTTTCTCTGGACTCTGCCCCTGACCTCCTTTATAAGCTAACACTCACAAAGTACTTACTAAGTGACTGGGGCTGTGCTAAGCAGTTTCTGTGCTTCATATGCCTCGCACAGTGACTGGTGAGTTGTTGGTACTTGTATTAATCCAACCTCAGGCTGCCATGAAGAAATACCAGAGACTGGGTAATTTATAAAGAAAAGAGGCTTAATTGACTCACAGTTCCACATGACTGGGGAGGCCTCAGGAAACTTACAGTCATGGCAGAAGGCACCTCTTGACAGGGTGGCAGGAAAGAGAATGAGTGCCAATAGGGGAAATGCCAGATGCTTACAAAACCATCAGATCTCATGAGAACTCACTATCACGAGAGCAGCATGGGGGAAACCGCCCCCATAATCTGATTACTTCCACCTGGTCCCACCCTTGACACATGGGGATTATGGGGATTACAATTTAAGATGAGATTTTGGGTGGAGGCACAGCCAAACCATGTCAGTACTCTATAAATGTTTGCTGATGAATGAAAGTCAAGCAGCTAATAGATGGCTGGGTCTGGACTGGAACCCAGTGCTCCGAGACCCCAGAGCAATGCATACCACCATATCAGATCACACTCTGTTCTTTTTAAATCTCCAGGCCACCTGTTGGCAAACTTTTAGCCTAAAATGCAATTTCTAGTGGGGACTTCCTGCAGGGCCAGCTTTTGGGTAGATGAGCAGAATCAGTAGCACGGAGTTGTTGCAAAACAAGAAACCAACATGCTATAGTATGTGTGAACTTTGAGGACAGTGCTGGGTGAAATAAACAAGTCACAAAAAGACAAACTGTATGATTCCATTTATATGAGGTATCTAGAGTAGTCAGATTCTTAGAGTCAGAAAGTAGAATGGTGGCTGCCAGGAGCTGAGTGCAGAGGAATAGGGAGTTAATGTTTAATGGGTACAGAGTTTCAGTGGAGGAAGATGAAAAAGTTCTGAAGATGGATAGTGGTGATGGCTGCACTGCAGTGTGAATGCACTTAATGCCACTGCATTGTAAGCTTAAAAAATGGTAAAAACAAACCAACAAAACCCAAGAGACCCAGCCCTTAGCACAAGTGAAGAGGGTGGAGCTGGTTAAGAGCTGGCCCTTGTGGGAGGCAGGATAAAGCCCCCAGTGGTGCCCAAACTCTCATCCCCTGCTCCCGTGGATATGTTACCTTTTCTGACATAGGGTAATTAAGGCAGCAGGTGGTATTAAGGTTGCTAGTCAGCTGACCTTAAGAAAGGGAGAGTTTCCTGGGTTATCCAGGTGGGCCCAGTGTAATCACAAGGGTCTTTAAGGTGGAAGAGGCAGGCAAGAGGAGAGGTCAGAGTGGTGCAATCTGAGAAGGACTCGGCCTGCTGCGGCTGGCTTTGAAGATGGAGGAGAGGGGCCACAAGCCAAGGGCTAACCCAGGGAGGCCCATTGCAGACCTGTTATCTCCAGAACTGTATACGTTGGTGGTGCTGAAGACACTACGTTTGCATTTGTAAGAGCTGCAATGGGAAACTAATACAGTCTCGGAGCAGGGGCATTTGCCACCATGGTGAGACCGCCACTGGAAAGTTCCATGTCAGTCTGGCCCATTCCTAATCTTAAGGGATGTCCTAGTGGGAAAAGGGAGCTATTATCTCATGGCACAGAAGATGAGTCTCTGCAACTGCCCAAAACATCAAACCCTAAAATAATGATAATCATGCTAGCAAGCACTTACGCAGCACTATGCCGATGCTGCCCTAAGCCTTCGTTTTGTGCTGACTTACAAGCTCCCCATAATGGCTATGTGAAGTAGTTACCGTCTTACTCCATTTTACAGATGAGGAAATGGAAACCCAGAGAGGTTAAGCAACTTATTCAAAATCACACGCAGCCTGTAAATGATATGCTAGGATTTGAACCCAGGCTCTAGAATCTTTGCTTTCAGCGACTACACTAGGAAAGCTATGGGCTCTCCTTTCTGTGGGACCTTTTCCTTGAGGAAGACAGAGTCTGCTCTCAGGGGGAACTCTACAGGTTTTTTAGGGGGTGGGTGGGAGACTCCTTCCACATCCTGTTGGTTTCATTTGTTTATTTTGGGTGTATGAAGGCCATGTGAAACGTTACTGAGCTTTTCAGAATCAAAACAGTACAAGAAGGTATTATCAGAAGTGTCCCACCCTCCTCATCTCTTCTCCCAGTTCCCATTCCTCCTTCCTTCTCACCTCTTTCCCACCTACCTCTTGTAGATAGCCAGTCTCTTAAGTTTCTGGTTTATCTTTCCTCCATTCTTTTGCACAGATGAGCAAGATGCCTGTGTGCTTTCTTACATCCCTCTCCTTCTCATACGAGGCAGAGTATACTGTAGACACTCTTCTGTGCTTTCCTTTGTAACCTAACTTGTTCAGCAGACAATGTGCTGGATGTGCTGTGGATCAGCTTCCTTCATCACAAAGACAGGGGTGTCGTGGGATGGGGCTGGATAAAGAACCCACCTCTCCCCAGCACACAGTTTGGTTTAAAACAGAATGACCTTGTAGCATCGCAACCTTTTTCACCTGCAGAACTGAGCTACCTGGGTGTGTGCCCTCCAGTGGCCTCCCTTCCTGGCATTTCCAGCATGTCACGGTTAAGTCTCACTGTATCTTTGCCATCCTTATAATGAAGATAGAAACCAGAATCCCCATGTTGCTGGAGGAGAAACTGAGACTCAGAGGGGCTTTTAAGTCATTTACTCAATTACATGATGATTCAGCACAGGGTTAAGCCAAGATGCCTTTTTTTTTTTCTACACTTGGGTGCAGCCAGTGGTGCTTTATGGAGATGGTTACTGAGAAGGGGGTTGGGGGTGGCACCTAGCCAAGAATCAAGGACCAGAGGCAGGCAAGTGCCCTGGGGCCAGGTGGACAGGAACCAGAAGCCCCTTACCCAGGTCCAGGGGCTGGCTGGCTTCTTGGTCTACTGCTCAGACACTGATTCAGTTATCCATCCAACCAGCATTCATTGAGGAACACCTTGTGCCTTCCTGCAGAGAGAACCTGAATGAATGCTTTCCCAGCCACGGATGAAGACGCCAGTTCTGGTGTCACATTAAACGGCGAAGGCCCTCTGCCTTTGGGTGTGCTGGAGTTCAGCACTCTGTGCAGTATATGAGACCCCCTTTTGGGGTTCCCTCCAGCCCCAGGATTTATCAACTACTAACACAGGGATGCCCTCCTGTTCCTTGTCACCTCAGTTTTCAAGCCAATTTTCTGTGACTTTGAACACAACTTACTGCTTAGAAAAAAAAAAAACAAAAACCGAAAACAGTGAATTGCATCAAATCACCTCGCTTTGTCCCGCATTCCAGCAGCCCTTCTAAATCTGCCTACCTAATTAGCTTCTTCTCCTAACCCAAAATATGATTAAATCTGTATTAAAAATATCTGTGCAGAGTAGGATCAGACACACCTGAGCATTTTCTAAATTTAGCAAAGGACAATGGGCCCTGGGTTACTTTAATTGGGTGCAGGATTGCTGCAGGAATACATTTTAATTTGGATTTCCAGAGCGTTTCTCTGTCTCCTGCCTTTAAATTGCGTAGCAAAGGAAGGGGGAGCATGATGGGGCCCGTTCATAACTGCCATCCCTCCCAACTTATCTTGGAGCTGAATGAACAATGTGCGTCTGCTGGGGGAGGGGACAGGCAGCCAAAGGGTGTTCCTGTCCACTCAGCTCTGCAGCTCCAGGAGCACTGCTTTGACAGGTAGAAAGGCACAAGCAGGATGGGAGAGGCAGTCGTGGGATCCCTGCAGCGTCCTCTTCACACACTTTTTTCTGGGAGCCCCCAGTAGTTCACTCCACTTTCTGGTACTATGGGAGAAGGTGCTTACTCAGAGGTGAGAAGCAACTGGGTAGTTGGGACAAGAACTTAAAAAAGGAACAGTTTCGATTAGGAGGTGCATCTCCGGGTTTTCTGTCAGTTCCTTTGCTGAAAGATGAAACAGTGCCACTCGATAGTGCCACTGATGATAATGATGTCCCCCCAGGAGATGCCAAGGCAGGCTTCTTACAGAAGGCTTGAATGACTTCCCTGATTGTACCTACCACCCTCCATGGCTGGGGAAGCGGGAGGCTGGGAGTCCCAGCATCTGGAAACCACTTGGGTAAAGTCAGCCAGTGGTGCTCAATAGAGAATAGTTTACTGAGCAGTGGGGGTTGTGGGGGGCAGAATGCAGCAGAGAACCGAGGTGGTGACCTGGTGCCCAGGTACCAGAGGTGGGACAAGGCAGGCAAGGTCTGGGCGTGGGCTGGTTGGTGTGAGAATACCTGATTTCTCCTTAGGGTTCTCAGTTCCCTCTTGGAATTATTACACCAGGTGCTTGCAACTGATTTCCAATTTGCGAAGCAAAACAAATTTGCATTAATCAGAAAAATCCCCAGGAAAAACTGTTCAGGTTTTAATGCAGCTGCCAGAGCCGTTTGGATTCCAAGTTTGCAGGAGGCTCTATTAACCTTGATGCCATCACAGGCTTGTTATCTCATCTGTGAAACAGTCATGTCTGCAGAGCAGATATTTCCTCCCTGATCCCAGGCTGTGTGGCCTTTTCATCCCGAACACTGGAAGGCAGGGGCAGGAGGTGGGATTCTGTCACATCCCACAGTGACACTGCTCCCAGGAAGGGCTGTGTAGGGAGTGCGTGAGATCTATGTGGCAAGGTCCTGGGACCAGGACCCTGAGGTCTCCTGTGAGCTAGACTGCCTCCCTTTCTGAAAACTCAGGAGTTGCCTTCACAGCAGCTTCTTCGTTCCTGGCTGCCCCTGCCACTGTTCACTCAGTTTTGGGGCTCCCTGCTTGTGTGTTGTGCCCAGAGAGTGAAAGTTCATCTTAACCTCAACATATGCAAATGCAGTCGGGGGTGAATTTGTCTCCACACCAATTGCGTGATGCCGTCTGAAGCCACTTAGGAGTGGGCTCCACAGCCAGGCCCCACCCCTGGTCTTTGCTTGAGCTTCATTCCCGCTGCTTTCCACTGAGGTGGAACAGCAGGCATGGGCCATGATCTGCGTTTTTTGTGGGAAGGTAAGAAGGGACTTGGAGATCTTTAAAAGCAGGTATCCCATCAGCTGAGACTCCGAGAAGCTGAGCTTCCCGGGGAGTAGGTGAGCTTCACTCCAGGGCCCGTTCACTTTCTAGTGCACCATGACCTCTATGCCACTCATTCATTTAACAAGTATTTGTCGAGCTCCTATGCGACAGACACTGTTCTAATCATTTGGTGATACAGCAGTGAGCAAAGTAGAATAAAATTCCTACCCTCATGGAACTTATATTCTAATGGGAGTTAATAACCTAGAGATACGTTAGCTAAAAAAAAAAATTAAAAAGTCAGTGGTGGTAAGTGCGCTATGGAGAAAACTAGAGCAGGGCTAGAGCATGGAGAGTGGCAGGGGCCTGGTAGGTCCAGGCAGTGGGTAGGGGAGGCCCTGGGAGAGGTGAGCAGTGACCTCAAAATGCTGAGGGAGTGAGCCACTCCTGTGTCTGGGAAGAGGAACGTCCCAGACATGGGGAGCAGACAGGCCGGCAGGAGCAGGCCTGGGATGCCTGAGGAGTGCTGTGGAGAGGGAAGAGGAGTGAGCCCTGGCTTGGCCTCACCCTCCTGCTGTCATGTTTACAACACCACTGTGATTTCTGGCCCACTTTTCTGATGAGTGCTTGTCCCCTAGGGCAGGGCTGTTCTTTGCATCTCTGGTGCCTAGCACAGTGCCCAGCATGGAGTGAGGACTCAGTGAATGCTTGTTGGATGAATGGAAAAGGAAGGAGGAAAGAGGGAGGAAGAGAAGGCAAAGAGAAGAAAGAGAGAAATGCATATAAGCATTGTCACTCACATTTCATCCTGGAAAGTCCACCCCAGGGTTCTCTCCCTCTGCACACGTGGGAAGTAGTGACTTGCCCTTTCACCTGTAATGCAGTCAGCTACACAGGAGGACATGGGCTGTCAATCACATTCTCCATCCTGTTCTCTAACTCAGTGGCTTATAGCCAAAAAGAGGGAGGCATGCCCATTCAGGAAGGGGTCTCCAAAAGTGGATGAGAAAATGATGTGCCCTCCTCCACCTATGGGTGTGAACACTGAGGCCTAGATACCAGGCCTTGGAGTGAGAACAGAGTCTGCAGGCTTCTGTGGTAAGAGGGAGCCCTGCTCCTCACAGCCTCCTCAGCCTGTGGGCACCCCATAGCCCCCACTGGGGGGCAGCCCCATCTCGTTGGTCCTAAATCTGTTGGCTCTAAATCTGTGCTCTGACATTCCCAGCTGTGTGACTCAGGGCCCATATTTAATGTCTCTGGGCCTCAGAGTCCTTAGCTAGCAAATGGGGAGATAATGGTGGTTCCTACCTCACAGAAGTATTGTGAGGATTCAGTGGAAAAATAGACATAAAGCACTTAGCAGCATAATCAGCCCCTAGTAAGTACTCAGTTAATGCTAGCAGTTGCCTTTTGAGGGAAGATAAATGAAGGAGTGAAAGGAGATGCATGTTTAGAAAAAAAAGAAAAAAGGACAGAAGGGGAAGAGACCAGGCATCTTCCAAAGGGAGCACTTCCTAAAGCAGGTCAGCTTTCAAGAATTAGAGCAAACTGCTGTTCTTGACCAGGCTGACGATCTAGCAGTGAGGTGCGCGCAGCTGCCTGCGTCAGCCCCGAGCGATGAACAAGAATTCAGAGATGCTGCCTCTGTCCCCAGTACAGCTGCCTCCTAAAGTGCTGAAGGGGAAGCCAGGCATTGAGAGAAGCAGGGCTTTATCCCGGTCTGTCCTCACCTGGCCCTGCAGGCCTGGGCAAGCCACTTCCCCACTCTAGCCTCAGTGTTCTACCGTGAGAACAAGGGGAATGGACTGGATGGCCTCCAAGCCCCTCCCTGCCACCACCAGGGCTCACCTTGCACCCTTCTACGGGACAGGCACCTGTGAGGTGATGGAGGTCAGGCTCAGGACTCAGACATACCTGGATTTGAACCCCAGGCCTGCCAGTTCCCATCTGGGTGACCTTGGATGCATTACTTAACCACTGTGCCTCACCTCATCTTTAATAAGAGGTTGGCTATGGAGTTCAAATGATATCATGTATAGAAATGCTGAAGTGTCCAGTACATAATCGCTCAAGGAATTGCAGCTATTACTACTGCTGCTGCTACTCCCACAGTTGTTCTTATGTACCATCACAGTGCAGTGTGGCCTACCCTAATGTCCCCCAACTCAGTTTAAGGAGATCTTATGCCATGGGAACTAATGTCCCCCAACTCAGTTGAAGGAGCTCTTATGCCACGGGAACCACAAACTGTGGAGTGAATCACACACAAACCATTTAGTATTGAAGTTAAGTAAAATTCACTGCAAAGTTACCCTGATAACATCCTTAATGGTATGCATAATTGTTTCTGAACTGCACAATAATTAGGAATAAATGGTAAGCTAGGCATATAAATGGAAATGATTAGTATGTATAATAATTGGGCAAATAAGGCATTTTTGTGATCAGTGGGGAGGGGGAGGATACTAAGGCTGGGAAAGAGGATGGTGTCGGGGGAAGGATGCCTAGCCCCTGTGCACAGTCCCTGGAAGCCCATCCTTTAATCTCATGTTGGGGGGTTGGTCTTTTTTCGAGTTACATCAGAGCCAGACCCATTAACCACCACACCCCAGCTTTCAATAGGAGGGCCTGATAAACCACATGGGCAGGCACTCTTCTCTTGTCACAAACACTGGACTTGTGACAAGAGAAGAAAGTACATAACTAACTGCCCATGAGAGCTTCAGTGTGCTGAGTACATTATTCCATCTTTACCTCCTTGAAGGCAGGTGTTCTTGTTCCATTTTACAGATGAAGAAACCGAGCCCCAGAGAGATTAAGTGACCTTTCCAAAATCACACAGTTAGAACCCAGGTCTCCTTGTGTCTGACTCCAGAACCTGCTCTGTTAACCACTAAAACTGCTATTTTAAAAGGACACTGTGATGCTTCCAAAGTTAAATGAGGAATTCAAGTGAGAATGATGCAGTAGGTAAGAACTTGGGCTCTAAAATCATATTCGTAGGGTTCAAATCCTAGCCCAGCCACTTGCTAGCTTGGGTGACCTTGAGCAAGTCCCATAACCCCTTAGTGCTCATATGTACAGCAGAAACAGTCTTGTGAAAATGAAATGAGTTAACCCACGTACAGCAAATGCTCTTGTTCAATACATCTCATAGTACCTGGCACAACATGGACACACATTCTGGGGTTGCTGAATGCCAGGGCAGCCTGCGCCAGCAACAAGGGCCATGGGCAGCCTAGGTGTGGGGAGTGAGGCCAGCCAGCTTCTTCTTTGTCCTCCCTGGTACCCTGGCAGTCAGCTGACCACAGAGGTCAAAGGGGCATTTGAGGTGAGGTCTGAAGCATCACCCAAACTTTTAGTGCTAGTCCCTGGATAGGTCGGGTTGCCCACAAGGTGGAGATGAGAGCAGCAAAGGCCTTCATTTGAAGACTCCTGGGCTGGCTCCACAGATCCCTGTCTCAGAAGTGTTCACTTACAGAGTGGATACACATGCAGGGTCTGGCTTCCCTCCCAGGTAGGAGACAGCAATCAGAAAGGAGGATGCTCTTGTCCCTCTCAGGGTCATAGCCAGAAGCAATATGTTTTCCTCTCCAGGGAAATTAAAGAGTCAGATGCAAGGCAGCCAGTGTCTGGAGGGAAGACAAGCCAGTCTGTTATGTCTTAAGTGTCCTGAAATAGCCCTGAGCTACGGCAGCCCTGACCTCTGCTCCTCCTAAACTAAGACCATCCAAGGGCACCCTTGCCCTGGCCCTTCAGGCTGACAAAGTCCTGGTAGGGAGGCATTTTCTAAGTATGAGGGACCTTTGGCCATTGTGCTGGGATGGCTCTGCCCTGCTGTTCCATTGGACAACCCCTGAGCCCAAGCTTGCAGCCTGTGGCTTGGTCTCCTACACATGTTAACAAATAAAAACTTCACTGACTAAGGTGTGAGCTAGAAATGCTTTTGGATGACCTGTGCAGGCCTGATGAAGCTCCATCTCTGCTTCTCTCAACAGTGTTCTATAGGGTGTAATGTTCTCCAGAATCTCCTGTGGTCCCTGAGCATCATATTTATTGCTCAGAGACCACTTTATAGCTGTATTACAGCATTTAGTGCACATTATCATAATTATTTGTTCGTGTGTCCATAATTTCCCCTTCCAGGCTAGAAACTCTTCAGAGAGAGGCTGCTCATGTTGTTCACCTTTGCTTCTGAGGTCTCACACTCAGTGCCTGGCACGCAGGTGCTTGATGAATGTGGAGTGGATATGAATGAATAGTTGGAGGGCAGTAGAGTGCAATGCACAACTCTCTGTGGCCTGTGCTGCCATGAGCCATCTGCTTGTGACTGCGAGTCCTAGTTAGGGTTGTGCTGGTGGTCCTGGCCCGTGGGCACATTGGAGGAACAACTCCTGAATTCCTGCATGATTGAAGTCCTAAGCCATGTCATTTGTCCAGTGGTCAGACACTCCCATGCCCTCTGCCCAGCCCCCTCTGCATGGTGGTGCTTGAAGCAGCATTTCTGCCCACCCCACTGCCTTCAGGAGGAGGAGTAAGGTAAGGAGGAGTCATTTACCTACCAGTGTGGTGGCCCTAAGTCAACTGACCATTAGCACCCTGTGCACGAAGCCCCTGCGCTGCACCTCTGCTGAGGAGCTTAGAGCTTCAGACGAGGTAGCAGGGCCCTGTTGGTTTTTTCATTGAGACAGAAATATGTGCAGCTTCCTTAGCTGGCAGTACAGAAATAAATTTCCAAGATGTTGACCCAGGTGTTATAACACCGGAGATTAAAATCCTGGAGACAAAAGTGAAAAGGTCACACACACTCCCTCTCACCAGCCCAGCTGCCCAGGTTGGATGCTTCTATAAACTTTCAGGTTAGGCACAACTACCTGTCAGGGTCCTGAGCCTGGAAGCTTCAGTGGGATAGATTCCCTGAGCTTGTTGGAGAACCAGAGGAAGTCACTTTGGGAAGATGGGGCACAGGAAGAAGGGTATAGGGCAATCTTGGGGCACATCTCAGCTTTTCAGCCTCAGCCCTGCATTGAGGAATCAGATAGTAATGACTGTGCTGGCAAGGGAAGCAGGCAGGAAACCACCTCTGGTCGTGTCTGATGCTGTGCTAGGCCATCAGGTACCTAGGATGCAACCCATATCTATTCTGATGAGCCGTGTCCTCTCCACTGTCCCACACTGGTTCTCAAGACTAGGTCTGGGCAGAAGTCCAGAGGGTCTGGGAGAATGTGCCCCAAGCTGTAAGAGGCCTTAGAGGCCATATATTCCAACCCCTTCATTTTGCTGGTTGGGAAACTGAGATTGAGAGGTCAGGCAATTTGCACATGGTCACACAGCTAATGAGGACAGGGTGGAACCAGGCCTCCTCACTGGTGTTCCAGTAGTCATTCAAAGCCTGCAGGGATGATCAGATCTGAATGTGTGTGCCTGGTTTACCCCCAGACATTAGCCTTAAGGCAGGGCCATTATCAAAACAGAAGAGACAGTCAATATTTATTGAATACTATACATTGCCATCTCATTGAATTCTTACAACTACCATATAAAACAGAGACTTATTCTCCTACAGATGAGGCAACTCTAGCTCAGAAAGGTCAAGTAACTTGCCTGAAATCACACAGCTGCTAATTGCTAGATGCAGAACTCAAATCCAAATCTCACTGCATAGCCAAAGTGGATCTAGCAAGGTTCCACCATGCTTCCTATATGCCAGGTACTGTTCAGAGCCCTTACATGTATTAACTGAATTAATCTTCCTAACAACCTATGATATAAATGCTGTTAATATTATCCCCACTTAAAAGAGAGGAAACAGGCACAGAGAGGATAAGCAAACTTTCCTGAAGTCACACAGCTAGTATGGAGCAAGATTTGAACCTAGACTTTCTGACTCAGAAGAGCTCACTCTTAAATGCTGTACTGTACTCCGTAAACATTTGTTGAATGAATGAATAAAAGTACAGGAATAACTGCTGGTGCATCTTCCACAGTGCTCTTAGCACCTGGTGGTCTGGTGTGTGGGAAGAACCCCTCCTGTCCTGACCGCAGCTGTATCACCCTTCCTCAAACACAAATTGAAAACCACTTAGCTGTGCTGGAATGGGCTAAAATCTCAGTTTTACCTTGAGTCCAAGGCAGAGCCTCAAGGCAGTTCCTCTTAATGTCTCCCTTCCTTTTCTCCTGCCAATGCCGCCCTGCTCATGAATTAAAGATGCTGCCTGTGGCCATGGGTTCATAATGGCATCGCCTCTCTTGTGTTCGTCTTGGACAAGTTAGGGCTGCCTGGAAGCATTCTTAGGCTTCAAGGCAACAAATAGTTGGAGACAGAAATGTCTGCAGAGTGAGTTTTTTAGCTGCCTTGAGAAGAGAACACCGTGGCTGTTGCAGTAGCGTTAAAATTTTTTAAATCATTGCTTACCCATAAGCATTTTCTTGTTATCCCTACCACTGGGATAGCTAATATTTAGGCATCCACATTATCTCCCCAGGAGCTCAGACCCCTGGTTTATCCTGTTGATCTTCCTAACAGTTTTAGAAAAGGCAAGGCCAGGGTACCCCTTTCAGCTTTTTTTTCATGCAATGAAAAAAATTAACCATGAAAATACGTAGTGATTCCTCCTAACAAAGGCCTGGGAGAAATCAGGTGGTTGGTGACACTGCAAAGATAAAACATTACTTGGAACAGTTGGCAGACTTGTACTGCATCCCCAGTCCTCCCTTGTGCCTGGCATCCAGTTGAGTTCAGCCTGTGGGAGACCTAAAGGTGGGAAGAGAGAGGCATGAGGTATTTTCTCCCCACTTTCTCATGATTGGCGCTGCTGCTGGGCAGCCCCTCATCCCTACTCCCTCCCCTGCCCTTTCAGGCCTGAGGTAGACACAGCTTCCTGCCATTGCTAGTCCCTGGGTGCCTCAGCATCTCTTGCTGGTCCCCATAATCCTGCCTCTACCTCTGTAAATGGTCCTTCCAAAAGACTCTTGTATTCTCTGAGATGGGGTCTGTTAACCGCCTGGCCTTGACCCAAGCTCCATTGAAGAATAAGCTGCTTGAGGGAGCTGCTCTGGCTTCATGGAAGAGATTCGAGGGCCCTTATGCTGTACGGCTGTAAAAGCAAATTCCAGCTACACATTTTTCAGCTGTAGCCTTGCACAAGTTACTCAACTCCTAGGAGCTGCTTTCCTCAATTGGTTTACAGAGTTAAGAAGACAATAAGAATCTCTACATCATAGGGCACTATAGAGATTGAATGAGAAATAAATGAGACAACTTGTGAGGCTCACTTAGCAGAGTGGCTGGCTAAGTGTAGGAGTTCAACCATGTTAGTTTTCCTTACTCTTTCCAGCCACAGACCTGTCTTCTTCCCCCTGGAATTCCCACTGCTGGGTATGCTGCCCACCACAAAGCCTGGCACATTGCACACAACCATACACAGGGTTTAGAGAATGAAGAAAGGCAGATAAAGAGGATACTTTGCAAAGACTCCCTGCTGGGGCCAGGGGAGGGATTGAGTCAAAGTAAGAGGTACCGTGGACAGTGGCCTATCCCCAGAAGAGGAGTCCTGGAGTGAGAAGGTCAAGGCAGCCCCATCTTGGTTACACAAAGGAAGAGGTTGGTTGCTTGGGAGTGTTGGGGCACACACAGAGCTACCGGTGGCTTGACTGGCAGTGGACCTTCAGCGTGAGTGGGGACCCGCAGAGCATGTGGAGTGGATGAGGAGGGAAGTAGGAGGAGCCTGGAGTGGCTTCAGCCCAGCAGAGTGCACCAGCCCTGGGCTGGACCCCCACAGGGGCTGCAGCTGCCCCTTCGCTCACATTTGGCCTGGGGTTTTCAGCAGCAAGAGACTGTTTCAGAAACGGGAGGGAAGAGGAGGAAGCACCCAGCACTGGGAGGCTTGAGTGCTGCCAAGCAAGCTGGTACTGGAATTATTTGCAGTCCATATGCCAATTTGCTTTGTCATTGCCTGGCTATTTTTAGAAGCCACTGGCGTATCTAGGAAACCAGAATCTGTTGACTGTGTTTCTTCAGTGTGGGGAGTGTGATTATTTCCCAGAGATGCTGAAGGAATGTGTGAGGTCGGGCTGTAGGAAGACGACCTCTCCTCCCCCAGGTCAGGACTCACGTGCAGATGGCGCCCATGCAGCTGCATGCCCTGCCCTCCCCAAGGGTTTGCTTCTGCCCAGTTGATTGTGAGTGCAGGGTCTGCATGACCTTCCCCAGATGGAACATTGGCAGGAACTGGAGGCCTCCATTTTGTCTACCAGCTGGAGGGGCCAGGTGGGGTTCTCTCCCACTCCCTTACGTTCCCTAGGGCATCAGGTGGTCATTGGTCCAGTGGCCTGGGGGCAAAGCTGTCCTTCATTCCCTGTTCCTAAGGAGGAGTAAGAAGTAGAGACGAGAGGGAGATGTTATAGCAGCAACCTGAGCTCCTAATGAGAACCTTGAAACATTCCCCATCTCCCTCCATCCAGGCTGGCCCCTTCAAGGGCAGTGTCATTCATTCACATGCTGCTTAGAGCCTGGAGAAATGAGTGGCACCTGTTTCAAATCGGTTTGAATCCTAACAGTCCCAAGATGCCATCTCAGGAGGGACTGGGTTCCAGCTTTAGGTGAGGTTATCCTGTGGTAAGAGTGTTGCTGAGGGGACTCCAGCACGGGTTTGACTGAAAGAACTTTGTTGTGAGATTTTTGTATTTGTTCATGTGTAAATTTGCCCAGCCTGCTTCGGGGACATCATTCAATCTGAATTGGGGACCACTTTGGTAAGGGACAAATTGAGGTACTTAGAATAAAATCCCAGAGCCTTCCAGACCTTATCCGATGAGACCCTGCCTCCTCTCCTAACCCATCTCATACCATGCCCCCTTGCCCTCAGGGCTTTATCTCCTCTGGCCTTCTTTACAGTCCTTGAATTTGCCTCAGGACTGTGGCACCAGCTGTTTCTTCTGCTTCCTCCACATCATCATAGGGCTTGCTCTTATCATTCAGGTCCCAGGCAAAGGTCACACCCTTGGAGAGGCCTTCCCTGAACCCCATACCTAGAGTTGCCACCCACCTCAGCTGTGTGCCCACCATCAGCCTCCCTTTGGTCCCATTACCCTCTCTTACTTCATTCATAGCACCTATCGTTACCTATATTTATCTTGTTCATTTACTTGTACACTTGTTTACTGTCTGTCTCCCCAATCTAGAATGCCAGTATATTGAGGGCAAGGATTCTCCCTTGTTTACTGCTCCATTCCCTGCATCTAGAACAGTGCTTGGCACATAGTAGGTACTCAAGACATTTTTGCTGAATGAATTAATGAATGAAGGCACCCCGGGGGTGAAATGATGCCCTGAGCTCAGGCTCTGGGGCTAGCACAGCTCAGCACCAGGTCCTCTCATGTGATTTTGTCATCTTTCTTCTGCCATCACTTGGACAGCTCCCCTCTTCACCCTTCCTCAGCTGCCTCCCCTCTACAGGGGCTTCTACACACAGTCATTTAAGATGTAAAAATCATCTTAACATTCATTAGGTGGCAAAATCTTGAGGGTATAACCCATGCACAGAAAAATAATCTCATGACTCAAAAGCCTGCTTCATCATCCCTAGTTGTACTTCCTGGCTCATCATTCCCTGCCTCCAGCCTGGAAAAGTACTTCCCATACTTCCTTTGGGCAACAAAGGAAATTAAGCTGTTTTTGTTTTTTATTTGGGCTCCATTCAGCCCCTCAGTTTCATATTAAAACTGCTTTCTATCACCACTCTTTTCTGGTCTTACTAGCAACTCCCCTCTCCCCTTCCCCAAATCCTCTGTGCCCCCAAAGCACCATGGACTTACCACCATCCCAGCACTCACTATAGCTATGGAGGGTCTCTATGTGCCTGTTGCTCCCCACAAGGCTATGAGCTGGTTAGTGGTGGGACTGTGTCTTTTCATCTCTGTCTCTCTAGCATGTAGCACGGTACTGAAAAGTCCTTAAGAGATGCTAGAGAAGCCTGCTTCTCTCCCCAAGCCCTATGCCTATCAATTAATTTACTACATGCTTTGTAAACTCTATTTTTCAAGTTTCCAGGTCTCTTCCGAGCTCTGCTCCTACACTCACCCAAAAGACAGTTTGCTCAGGTCTTCCTTTTTAGATCTCATTGTCTTTTCACACAACTGCTAGCATTGACGTCAGTGTTTGTACATTGTTTTACAGTTTACAAAGTGGTTTTCTTGTGCACACTTATTTCATTAAATCTAAGCCACTTGCATCTTCCCTGGGCTCCAGTCAGATTCGAGTTTCTAAGTAAACATTTACTGAGCACTTATTATGTGCCACAATTGGATTTGGGTATTTTAAGTTTTAGTCTTCTAGGAGCCTCATTGTGTAAACCTCGGCCAAATATGCAGGGTAGGACAACCTCACAAAAGCAAAGAGGCAAATCCTCAGGATCCTGGATCCCCAGTGCCTCGTAGACTACCATTGTTTATCAAGGTGCACTTGTGTTCTGGACCATCCTTCTCATAAATGTGCCTATTCAATTCCGTCTGCAGAAGCAGGGAAGCACCCTGTTTTGAGACCTGTCCTGTGGAAAGGAAGAATGGTGTAGTGGAAGGTGCAGTGGTCTGGGATGGAGACCTCAGGACTACTCCTGGTATTGCACAGGTCTATGGCTCTTTACCTCAGTTCGCCCATCCTTAGGATGAAGATAATTCTACCTGCCCTGTCCCTTCCCACGGTCATTAAAGGATTATATGAGATTTGGAGTCCTAATGGCCTTTGATGGAGAAGTACCAATGTAAGGGCTCATTTTTCCCCGTCTTCCAATGGCCCTCCCCGATTCCTACATGGGCATGAGCGTCTGGTGCTTCGGAGGCAAGTAGGCATTTTTCTCACAACCACCTCCATCAATGGATAGATCCCCATTATATAATCTCAGTTCCGTTCTGTAATCATTTGAATTAACAATAATAGTGAGCATTTACTGAGCACTTTTGAGGTTCCAGGGACTATTCTAAGCACTCCACATACTTGCAGTGCAGTCCTTGTAATTCAGTCATTACGCCTTCCCTAGGAAGTGGGGTACTTTTACACGGATGAGCATGGAGCCTGCAGTTTTACTTATTTCCAGTTTGCATCCTTTTTAATTTTTTTCTTGCCTTATTGTACCAGCTAGGATTTTCAATACAATGTTGAATGAAATGGTAAATAGAAATGATCAAAGCAGGCATTCTTGCCTTGTTATCAGTCCAAGGGAGAAAATAAATATCGAGTCTTCACTGTTAAGTATGATGTTAGCTGTAGGATTTTTTCCAGTCATAAATAGGTATCACATTTTGTTAAAAGCTTTTTATACATCTTTTGAGATGATCATATGGGCGTTCTTTTTTAGTCTATTGTATGATCAATTACACTGAAGAATTTATATAGAATTAGTATTATTTCTTCCCTAAATGTTTAGTAGAATTTATCAGTGAAGCCATCTGTACCTGAAATTTTATTTGTGGAAAGATTTAACTAGAAATACAATTTATTTAATAGATATAGGGCTATTCCAGTTATCTATTTCTTCTTGAGTGAGTGTTGGTAGTTTGGTAGCTGGTGTCTTTCAAATAATTTCTCCAATTTGTCTAAATTTTCACACTTACTGGCATGAAGTTGTTTATAATATTCTCTTATTATCTTTTTGATGTGTGTGAAAGCTGTAGTGATGTTCCATCTTTCATGTCTTGTATTGGTGATCTTGTCTTTTCTCTTGATTAGTCTGGCATTTTTTTAATTTTATTCATCTTTTTTAGAAAAGAGCTTTTGGTTTTATTGGATTTCTCTTTGCCTTTCTGTTCATTGACTTCTGCTCATTATTCTTTCCCTTCTGCATACTTTAGATTTAGTTTTCTTCTTTTCCTGGTTTCTTAAGGTAGAAGTAGAAGCTTAGATCATTGATTTGAGACTTGTTTATTTTCCAGTATAAACATTTAATGCTATAAATTTATTTCTAAGCACTTTTAGCTACTACATACCATTGACTTTGGTATATTGTCATTTTTTTCAGTTCAAAATATTTTCTAATTTCCCTTGTGATTTTTAAATTTGACTTATGGGTTTTTAAGAAGTGCCTTATTTAATCTTCTAATATTTGAGGATTTTCCAGGTATCTTTTTATTTTTTATCTCTAGTTTAATTCTAGTATGGTCAAATTAAAGGCTATATGATTTCATTCTATCACAATATATTAAGACTTTATAGTCTAGAATACGGTCTTATCTTAGCCAGTGATTTATATGCACCTGAAGACAATGTGGATTGTGCTGTTGTTGGTTCGAGTGTTCTAGTAATGTCAGTTAGATCGAGGAGGTTGATGGGATTGTTCAAGTCTTTTACACCCCTCCTGATTTTTAGCCTACTTTTTCTATCAATTACAGAGACAAGAATGCTTAAATTTTCAACTATAGGTGTGGTTTTGTCTATTTCTCCTTTCTTTATATCAACTTTTGCTTCATGTATTTTGAGGTCTATCAACAAATACATATACATTTAGGGTTTTGTTTTTTTTTTTAATTTATCCCTTTATCATTATAAAATCCCTGTTAGTCCTGGTAATATTCCTTGTTCTAAAGGCTACTTTGTCTGATATAGTCACTCCAGTTTTTTTTTTTGTTTTTTTTTTTTTGAGACAGAGTCTCACTTTGTCACCCAGGCTGGAGTGCAGTGGCGTGATCTCGGCTCACTGCAAGCTCCGCCTCCTGGGTTCACGCCATTCTCCTGCCTCAGCCTCCCGAGTAGCTGGGACTACAGGCGCCCACCACCACGCCCAGCTGATTTTTTGTATTTCTTAGTAGAGACGGGGTTTCACCATGTTAGCCAGGATGGGCTCGATCTCCTGACCTCGTGATCCTCCCACCTCGGCCTCCCAAAGTGCTGGGATTACAGGCATGAGCCACTGCACCCGGCCTCCAGTTTTGTTTTGATCAGTCTTTTCTTGGTATATCTTTTTTTGTTCTTTTCCTTTTAACATACTTGTGTCTTCATATTTAAAGTGTGTTTCTTGCCGATAGCACATAGTTAGGTCTTGCTTTTTAAAAAAAAAATCCAATGTGATTATCTCTGCTTTTTAATTGAAGTTTTTAGATTAGGTATACTTAATGTAATTATTGATATGATTGAGTTTAAGTCTACTATCTTGCTGTTTATTTTCAGATTGTCTCATATGTAATTTGTTTATGTTTTCCTCTCTGCCTTACTTTGTATTAACTGAATATTTTTATGATCTCACTTTATCTCCGCTGCTGGCTTATTATCCATATGTATTTTTTTTTAGTGGTTGCTCTATGATTTAAAATATACATTTTAGCATATCAAAATCTGCCTTCTAATAATATACCACTTCATGTATACTATAAAAAACTTATATATTCAATTTTGTACCTCTTGTCCTTTGTGATATAATTGTCATATATTTTACCTCTATATTTTATAAATCCAACAATACAGTGAAAATTTTTGTTCTAAACAGTTAACACTTTTAAAGAGACTTCAAAAATGAGTACAAAATTTATTTCAATTTACCCACATATCTACTATTCCCAGTGTTTTTTATTCCTTTGTGTAGATCCAGATTTATATCTAGTATCATTTTCCTTTTTCCTGGAGAACTTCCTTTAAAATTTCTTACAGGCAAATCTGCTAGTGATGACTTATCTCAGCTTTGATCTGAAAAAGTATTTATTCTGCTTTCATCTCTGATTGATATTTTTGCTTGATGTAGAATTCTGGGTTGGCAGGTTTTTTTCCTTTTCAGTACTTAAGGCCATTGTTGTCTTCTGGTTTGCATAATTTATGACAAGAGTCTGCCACTTTGTCTTTCCTCTGTGTGTAATGTCCTTTTTCCACTGGCTGCTTTTAAGATTTTATCACTTGTTTTCAGCAATTTGGTTATAATGTGCCTTGGTATGGTTTGTGTTGACTGGGAATTCAATGCATTTCTTGGATCAGTGAGTTTATAGGTTGCACCAAATTCTGAAGGCTTTTGACCATCTCTTTAAAATATTTCTTCTGTGTTTCTCTTCTTTTTGGGGACCCCAGTTACATATATGTTAGATGACTTGTTACTTTCCTACAGGTCACCGATGCTATGGGTTTTTTTTTTTTTTAATCTTTTTTCCTTCTTTGCTTTATTTTGAATATTTTCTATTTCTGTTCTTCAAATTCACTGATCCTTTTGATGTATCTGTTAATCTCATTTATTATATTTTTATTTCAGTTATTGTATTTTGTCTTTTATTTAAGTTTTATTGGGGTCACTTTTCTATCTTCCTTTTTTAATCCTTACCATGTTCATGTTTTCCTGTAAATTCATGAGCATATAGTATATTGGCTATAGTAGTTTTACCATTCTTGTATGCTAATTCCATTATCTCTGGCATTTCTGAGTCATTTTCTAATGATTGATTTTCTCCTGCTTATTAGTTATCTTTTTTCTTTTTTGCATAACTTGTGGGGTTTGTTTTTGTTTCTTGTTTTTTGTTTTGAGACAGGGTCTTGCTCTGTTGCCCAGGGTAGAGTGCAGTGGCACTATCATGGTTTGCTGCAGCCTTGACCTCCCAGGCTTAAATAGTCCTCTCACTTCAGCCTCCTGAGTCGCTCGGATCAGAGGTACACACCACTACACCCAGCTTATTTTAGAGATGAGGTCCCCCTATGTTGCCCAGGTTGGTCTCCAACTCCTGGGCTCAAGTGATCCTCCCATTTCAGCCAAAGTGCTGGGATTACAAGCATGAGTCAATACACACAGCCCTATTTTATTAGATGCCAGACATAGTTAATTTTACTACCTTAGCCACTGATTTCTTTTCTTTTTGTATTCCTTTAAAGGGTGTTGGACTTTGTTCTGGTATAGAGTTAAGTTAATTGGAATCAGTTTGATTATTTTAGGGCTTGCTTTAAGATCTCTTAGGGTAAGTCTGGCACTGCCTTTTGTTTAGGGCTAATTTAGCCTCACTGTGAATGTGATGCCTTTCTGAGGACCCTACCTGTTGCTTTGTATACAATCGTGCATCACTAAACAATGGGGATACAGTCTGAGAAATGGATTGTTGGGCAATTTAGTTGAACAGACATGATAGAGTGTACTTACACTAACCTAGATGGTATAACCTACTACATACCTAGGCTATATGGTATAGCCTATTGCCTCTAGGCTACAAACCTGTACAGCATATTACTGTATAGAATACTGTAGGCAATTGTAACACAATGGTAATTGTTTGTGTATCTAAACATAGAAAAGGTACAGTAAAAATACAGTATAAAAATAAAAAATGGTATACCAGTATTAGGGCACTTATCAGGTATGATGCTTGCAGAACTGGAAGTTGCTCTGGGTGAGGCTGTGTGAGGGGTGAGTGAATATGAAGGCCTGAGACATTACTGTACACTAGTATGGACTTTATAAACATTGTACACTTAGGCTATACTACAAAATTGTTTCTTCTTCAATAATAAATTAAACTTAGCTGACTGTAACTTTTTTACTTTAGAAACTTTTTAATTTTTGTAACTTTTTGACTCTTCCAGTAATAGCTTAAAACACAAATACGTTGTACCGTTATAAAAAATATTTATTTACATCCGTACTCTATATAAGTTTTTCTATTTTAAAAAAGGGGGTTTTGGGGTTTTTTTACTGTTTAAACTTTTTTAAAAACTAAGACACAAACACACACATTAGCCTAGGCCTGCATCAGGTTAGGATTACCAATATTACTGTTTTCCACCTCTACATCTTGTCCCACTGGAAGGTCATCTGGGGCAATAACATGCATGGAGCCATCCTCCTCCATGATAACAATGCCTTCTTCATGAATACCTTCTGAAGGACCTCCTTGAGGCTGTTTTACAGTTAACTTTCTTTTTTTTCTACATAGGAGGACACTGTAAAATAACAGTAACTGGTAAATACATAAACCAGTAACATGGTCACTTATTATCAAGTATTATGTGCTGTACATAATTATATGTGCTATGCTTTCATAGGACTGGCAGCACAGTGGGTTTGTTTATACCAGCATCACCACAAACATGTGAGTAATGCATTGCACTACAGTGTTAAGATGACTATGATGTCACTATGTCACTAGGTGATAGGAATTTTTCATCTCTTTTATAATCTTATGAGACCACCATCATATACGCCATCTGGCATTGGCCAAAACATTGCTATGCAGCACACAACTGTATCATGAAACCTGTTCATTCTCACCTGGGAACATGAACTCTTCCCAGTTCTGGAAATCATTTGGCTTAGTGCTTTGCGATGGTTCTTTCTCCAGCCTTATGGAGTTTCATTCCTTGTATGTGAAAATCAGTATTTTGGCAAAGCTCTTTAAGTGGATCCCCTTTCAGATAGCCAAAGCTGTTTCTGGCATTGTGCCTGCACACTCTAGCTGCCTCAGTCGTCTTGAACTCCAAGAATTCTGGGCTCTGTTTTGGCTCCCCTTCCCTGTGCTGCAGCCTGGAAATCCGATGCAGGCAGTAGGGTAGAGAAATTGTAGGGGTCTCTCATTTGATTCACCTCTCTCAAGGATCATAGTCCTGTATCGCCTTTTGTCCAATGTTTGAAAATATTTGTTTCATATATTTTGTATGACTTTCTAGTTGTTTAAGACAGAAAGGTAAATCCAGTTCTTTTTATCATGGCTGAAAGCAGAGGTGGCAATATGTACTTGCATTATCCTTATTTTAGAGGAAACTGGGGCACAGAGAGATTAAGCAGCGTGCCCAATATGACATTATTCTTGAGTGGTGTAGTCCAAATTTGAGCCCTGGTCAACAGTCTTCACTAAGTCTGTGTTGTTCACTGCTATATAACTATATACAGCAGCTGGTACATGGATTTGGTACTCAATAAACGTTGTTGAATGAATGAATGACCAATTTGAAGGTACTCAGCTTTTGTTATACTACACCCTTGTTGTGTTTAGGTTTATATAAGTGCACCTGAATGGTCCATTCTGATTAGCAAGTCCTAGGGTCTCCAGGCCCCAACAAATACTTTTTTACCTACTCCTCCGTGTACCTTGCAGACACCCCTGTGTGTAAGCAGCAGCTGCTGCCTTCTAATACCAAATCTGCTGTCTGGCTCCCACACTGAAACATATCATTTTAATCATGTACTTTCAAGCCAGGAAGTAAATTTGCATTACAAAAGTCAAATTCCTTTCCCTGGTGGTAGCCATGCAAAAGACTTGGCCACTTTTTCACTCTTGTCCAGGGAAGAAATTCTAGAAGTAGGAACCCATCTTAGTCAGAGTCAGGGCCACATAAAAAGAGCAAAAAGGTCATCTGGCATAGACCACCTCCCTGCTTCCTAATGTACATTCTTTGGGATGCTGATGGCAAGGGGGCCAGAATTATCTCTTAGCGGTCCCCTCATCCAGAACCATAGGTCTATTCACGATGATGCCAGAGCAATTGATTAAAAATTGTATGCCCATTTCCACATCTGCATAATTTTGCATATTTATTTAATGGACAAATAAACTCATTTGGATTCTCTCATTCCCTTTCTTTCTGTTCTGCTTTTGATGTATCATATAGGTCTGGCTCGGCCTGGGTAAATGACCAGTTCTGGTCTTCGTTCTACAGGAGAAATGGGTTCTTGTTAGGAGACCTCTAGAAGCTGTCCTGGTCCAATCTCCCAGAATTCACTCCTTTGTACCACAACCCAGGCAGTGTGGCCTGGGCAATGTCCTGGTTAGCTGAGGTCTGTGCCTGGCTAGGGTGTGCGGAGAAAGTGAAGGGGGTGGAGGTTGGTGTTGCTTCTCGGGAAGATTTCAGGTGGACAGGTTGTTGGCCGCCCTGCAGATGAGTATCTCCCCAGGGACTAAGCTGCTGTCACTGTGGGTAATTGGATTCCTGCTCCCCAGCAGAACAGGCACCAGTAAACTTTAGGATTAATTACTCCAGGTGACCTCAGCTGCCCACTCTGGCTGGTTGTCCTCCCCACTCTTGATCAGAAAGCCCCAGGGGCTCAATGTCGGGCACTGGATATTGGGACAGGAGTGTGAACTGGAGACTTCTTGATATGAGCCTTGAAAGACTGTTCACATACATTTGCAAAGGCACTTGAGAATGATGTTGTGCTTCACCTTTAAGGAAAGGCCATTCCGTGCCCTTGGGTGGGGTTATGGAGCTCTTCTGTGGATGGCAGTGCGAAGTCAACAGCCATTCCAAAGAGAATGCCAAGCTGTCAACCTTCTCTCCACTGGGTCCTCTGAGGGGGAGGCAATGGCTTGCTCCCACCTAGCGCGAGAAAGAGAAAGAGAGAGAGAGAGTTTGGGAGTTTCTTATGGCAAAAGGCTATAGCTGTGGCTCCCAGGCCACTGAAAATTTATTCCTGCTGCATTTGCTCGCCAAAACGTGAAACCTAAGGTAGGGAGATAGGGAGACACTGCAGTGGCATCATCCTTGGTGGCACTGAGTGTGTGTGATCAGTTGGAATAGTAATGGCTAATATCTCTGAAGTTCTTACCATGAGGTGGGCACGTGGGCATGCATTAGCTCATTCAATCCTCACAATGGCCCTACAAGGGATGTGGTATTATAATCCCCATCTCATAAAGGTGAAAAAAGGGCTGAGAGATGTTAATCGGAGAGAGACCACACAGCTGTTAACTGGCAGATCTTCAAAGCATAATGTGTTTGTTACCAGGCTTCACTGGTTCTTGTCCTTGGAGGTCTTGACAACAGGACTTTTCCTTTTCTGTTTCTGGAATGGGGGGAAGGAAGAAGCAATGACCATGGTGACACTAGGTTCTATAATCTTTGGCCCTTCTCGGCACCGAAAAGAACTAACTCCCATATATCCTTCATATGTATCACGTAACAATTACCACCTTGAAGGGCCTTTTGCTTTCTGTGTTACCGTTTGCTGTTTGGTTCTCCCATCTCATGCTGATCAATAACCTGTCACTCAGCAAAGAGACATTCACATGGACAAAATGTCCCTCTGACTCTCGATCCCTTGGCCGAGATTAGGCAGGGTACTATCATTGTGCCCCCTCAATAGGGTCCTCACACACTCATCTTTATTCCGCTCAGCTCTGGCAGTTGGCAGAGAGCAGTGTGTCATGATGAGACGTTCCTGGAAAGCCTGATTGGCCACTCATTTGTTTCCACTGCCACCTCCCCACCCCCCAGATGGCAATGGATATTGCCATGACAACATAATGGGATGCAATCACACCTATTGTGGGGCAGGAATGTTGACTGCATGAAAGAGTGTGTGTGGGGCCAGGGAGAAGATGAGAGAAACATAGACCCTCTTGTGCCCAGGAAGAAAGGAAGTTAATTCAGAATTGAGGAGTCTGCCTTCTGAATTTTAAGTTCCCACCTGATGCCTATAGAAACTGTTTATTACTTGCCAGCTCACATTATTCTCCTACTGTCACAGTCTTTAAAAAAAAAAAAAAAAGGCATGAGACCAGAGTTTTGGACTCATTTTGAAACAGAACTTAGCCACCGAGATGGGAAGTTCCTTGCTGCTTTAGTTTTATTTATTCCTTTCTTGTCTGCCCCCCTCCTTCTCCCTTTCACACACGTCTCCCCAATAGCAAGACCTCCACAAAGTTGGGGAAGGGAATGGGTGACCTTTCTATGATAGGAGAAGAGTTCTGATTTCTTCATTTTTGAGACAAAAAAAGTGTTGAATTAAGTCAAGGAAATACTCAAGAGAAGCAAATTCATCATCAAATTGGAACATCACTGGAACACGGGAGAGAAGTTGGGTGGAGGGAGGGGGTCTGGGCAGGAGGTGGGAAAGAGCATCTCTGAGCAGGGGTGACAGACTGGGGACTCCAGTCCAAAGACCTAACTCTGAATTTTAGTCCTGCTACAACCCTTAGTGTTGTTACGAATAAGAATTCTAAAGTCAGAGCCCTAGGTTTTGTTCCTGGCCCTGCCACCTACTAGCTTACAAGTGTAAACTTGGGCAAGTTACCTAACATTTATTTGCCTCAGTCTGGGCTGGAGGAGGACTAAATGAGTTTGTTCAGAACATTCCAAAAGGGTTTGCTGTTATTTTTACTGTGCAACTGAAGCAAGTTATTTTGCCTCTCTGAGCTTTGATTTACTCACTAGTAAATGGGAATTATATTTGCCTCACAAGCAAGCATTTGTGAGGATTAAATAAGCTAATGCATGGAAAAGTGCCCAGCTGCTTTCCAGACATATGATAGGTGCTAAATAAATGTCAGTCAAATCTTGATCTATCCAAGGGGAGAAAGGAGGAGAGTGACTCTTAAAACCCTCAGAGTGTTTTCAGGGAAACCAAGGGAAGAGGAACAACGCAAGTAAAGCTGTTATGTCGGCATTGGGAGCTGCAGGCTCCTCTGCAGTGGGGAATAGTCCTTAGTCCCTAGGAGGCACTCTACAAATATTAATTGAGTAAATGAATGAATGAATTTCAAGTAGAAAGACAATGAACTACTAAGACAGGCAGTGTGTTCTGGAGACACTGCAGAGAGGCAGAATCCAGTGAGTATTAGAATGGTTAAAAAGCTGGTAGAAGAGCTGGCATTTGAGCTTGTCTTCATCAGGGCTCTGCTTCCTAGCACAGAGTCTCCAGACAGCTTTCCTTTCCAGTCCACTGGTCTGTTCTAAGCCCTATTAGGTGCTATGCTCACAGCATGTGTGCACATAGGAGGAATACAAAGGACAAATATTAATCAGCTATCTATTGCTATATAACAAAATTCCCCCAAAACTTAGCTACCTAAAAATGACAAACATTCATCATCTTACAGTTTCTGTGGGTTAAGAATCCAGACATGGCTTAGTTGGGTGCCTCTGGCTTAAGAACCCTCACGTGATTGTAGTCAGGATGTCAGCCAGAGCTGCAGTCACTTAAAGGCTTGACTCACATGGTTGTGGGTTGGTCTCCATTCCTCACCATGTGGCCTACCTCTTGTCATGACAGCTGACAGCCGATACAAGGGCAGTTGATCTGAGAGACAGAGGCCACCAAGATGAACGCCATGTCATTTCTGCCATAATAGGTAGAAGCAAGTCAACAAGTCCAGCCCACACACAAGGGCAACACACAAGATGTGAATACCAATAGGATATGGTCTGAGAGTCTTCCCCTTTGTTATTTTGTACACACATAAAGAAAACATTGCCTTTTAACTCTTCTGCATCTGAAGACAACATCTGGGACTCCCTGAGCACACCCCAGCAACAAGTCTGTTCTCTCATGGAGATCAGTTCATCAATCTCTATTGCACACTTGTGCCCCATGAAGTGTGGCAGGTGCTGTGACAGCTGGCTGAACACGAGGGAACAGGAGCCCAGGATTGGGGGACAGTAGGGGGGAAATGAGGACAGAGATGTCATCCCACTGAGCAAATTCTGGACCAATCCTGAAGGACAGGAAATGTTAGCCAGAAGAGGGGAGTGGGTGTTTTAATCTGCAGGGACAGTGAATGCAAGACTTTAGAGGGAAGAAAGGTGTGGTGTGTGGGGATGAGAAAGGCTTCAGAGATGTTGGAGTATGGAAGTCAGGAGAGCATGGGAAGCTTGGGAAGCAGTGGGCAGCTGTTTCCCTAGTTTTCTTTGGATCCATCTTGATGGCTGTGGTCAGACTGGATTAAGGAGTGGACGCTTTGTGCACAGAGAGATCTGGAATAAGGAAAGAATGAATGATCAGCACAACCTGATCCCCCAACCCCAAAAGTTGGGATCGAGGGGATATCTCTGAGCCCAGGGTAGAGAGGAAAAGCAAGGTGAAAGAAGCAGTGTCCTGAGAGAGAACCAGGTCCAGCCTAGGGCAAAATTTAAAAATCAAGTTGCTTATTTGGCTTGATAAGACAGGAAAAGAGTTACATTTTGTTTTATTTAGAAAAATAAATAGTGATTCTAGGTGTCACATATCACAAGTAAATGACAACTGCCAAATAACTGATGCTGACACGAAATGGCAGGAGGTCAGAAAGGATGGAAGCTCCTCTTCTGGAATGGTCTGGACAGTGGGGAACTTTACATGGACAGTGGGTCCTTACAACATGGGCTGGATGTTGCCAGGTAAGACGCTGTGCTGTTTCCCAGGCAGAGGAGGTGGTGCAGATGTTCGGGCGTGTTCATAGTCACAAATGCTGACCCCAGAGACTGAGGGTCTCTGCACACCACATGCACTTTAAAGCATCAGGCTCTATGTGTCTATCTCTACCTTCTTTCACAGCCTGATAGCTCTTTCTCCAAACTAATGAGTCTAGGAAAGGAAAATTAGTATACTCTTCCCACCCTACACCACCCTTGAGAATGGGACTCCAGTGGCTACTCTGGGGCTCACAGCCCCCAGGACACAGAGCTTAGAAGTAGAGAGAGCTTTGAAATGAAAGTCAAAACATTGGGTTCTCCTAGTTCTCCACCCAGGTAGTTACGAGACTGCTGACAGCTCATCCAACTCACTCCCTCTCACAGAGATGCAGGGTCCTCATCTGTAAAATACAGGGGCCAATGCTGCAGGCACATGGTCCAGTGTTCCAGCTGCACATTAGAATCTCCCATGGAGCTTTCTAAGGTCAGGCGTCCCCAGGCCCCAGCATGAAGGATTCTACTTGAAAGGGCCTGGGTGGGGCCCAGGCATTACTGTTCCTTTAAACTGCCCAGGTGATTCTGATGCCCTGCTGGGGCTGAGACTCACTGGACCATGTGCTCACCAAGGCTCCTGAAGGAAGCATTGATGGTTTTATACGCGACTCCCAGAAGGGCTGCACGCCATAGTCACCTGAAGACTGATCAACACCAGCCTCCACCTCTGGAAGCAGAATCTCCAGGTCAGAGCGAGACCCACAAATCTGCATTTAAGATTGTCCCCCAGGGAGTTCTGTTGCTGCAGACGCATGGTCCAGTGTTTGGTAAACACCAGATGTCCTTACCCGGTACCAGAGCTGGAAAACTTGAGTGCATCCACTTTGCCCCTTACCAGGGATCCTTGTGAAAGCACCGAGCCTCTCTACTCTCATATTCAGTTAGAATTCTAGCAGTTCCTCACAGGGCTGTGGTGATCAGCTGAGTGCTGGTACAGCAATATTGTTTTTATTATTTCCCTGCTGCCTGGGTGTTCTGGGTGCGTGTCTCCCATCAGTGTCTCCTGTTCTGTTGCCTCCTTGGGTACAGCACACAGTGCTGTGTGGTCACAGATGCTTAATCAAAGGGTGTGCATGGAGATAATGAAGACCTGGGCCTGCTCTGGAGTGTGCCTCAGAAATCCACTCAAAGAACAAGACCACGCAGTTTCTAAATCAGTCATTTGGGCTGGTTTAGCATGAAAGGCTCTGATGAGCCGGGACTGATTCATCCATTCTCAGTGTTCTGGGGAGGTACGGGGAAGAGCTCTCTGAGAATGCCATGGACTTCCGGCGTGAATAACACAGGCTGTCTCCCCCTCCATCACTGACAGGGCTGCCCCCTCTGCAGGTGGCCTGGAGTGGCCAAGGCAGAGGGACGTGATCCCTGCTTGGCCAGCTGGGAGCCCCCGAGGGTGGTGGCCCAAGTGCATCCTGAGTCTACCTCCACAGAGTCAAGCCCCTGTCCCCTCCCCGCTCCACTGTGTGAGGTCGCCATGGTGACTTCCTGTCCCCAGTATGTCAGGGCTCTATCAGAGCCAATCGGCGGCAGGTGCAGATAAGGGTCTCTAAGCAGGGGCGGCTGTCACGCAGCTTGCCGTCGCCACCAAGCGTAGCATCGATTCTCGCCTGTGCCCGTGCCCACAGAGGATGAGGGAGGCTGGGGGAGGAGGGAGCCCTTTCTATATTTAGCTCCTGCACTGGGTACATCCCAGTGGACAGCTTTGAAAGAGGCTGACTTCCAGCTCAGCATGGGAAGGCTTAACATTCCTCAATTAGGCACACTCACGTGGGGCTGTGTTTTGCCCATAGAGAGGGTTAAAAGAACACAGGCAAAAAGTAAAGCAAGAGGGAAGAGAACAGCAAAGCTAAGCTGATTTATAGCAGCTAGGAAAGCTGCCCCTAAAGGGTTCCTCCAGCCACCCACCAACCCCCAACCCCACCCATAGGCCTTGGGGACAGTGGAGGGAGGTTGGCCCAGTGGGTGCTGGGAAGGGTGACAGGATCATCAAAATAGGGGGTCCTCTGGGTTGTTTAGCAGTCAGCTTAGTCCCTTAGACCAGAGGCAGAGCCCAGGGCAACTGAGCCTTTGCCCCGGGTCCTAGAGTAATGTCCCTTTGGCGGGACTCCACCATCTGGGAGGGGTGCAGTGGGAACTCTCAGGTTGCTGGAAATTGAGGTTAATGGACAAAAAAAAAAAAAACAAAAAACCAACCTCCAAAAAGACATGAAAGGGATTCAGCACACCAGGGGAGCCAGAAGGCCAACAAATTGTTTATTTGCCTGAATTCACCAGGTAATTGCTTGTCCTTCCGCTCACTTCTGCTACCCAAGCTGTGGCCCATCCAGTGGCCTGGACTGAGCTCCCTCAGTCTGGACATTGTAAGATAAGAAAGACCAGGAAAAAGGATCAAGGTTCTGGCCTCCCAAGGCTCCTAAGCTCCCAGAACACAGGCATGAAAGAGAGACCTAAGGACAGACATGGAGAGACTCATGCAAATCAGCATCCTATGAACTGGCTGAGAGGCAGGGAGGAGCAGCCCATGGGTCTGGGGGACTGTGACTGAAGGCAGATGACCACCTGACTCTGGCCTCAGGCCCCCTCCCAGCCAGTCAGTGTGGGGAGTATGCAGCCAGCCTGGCATTCTTTCAGAGATGTCACCAATGCCAGGTGAGGGCTTCAGTGCAAGATAATTCTCATTGTTCAAATTGTGCTCAAATATGGCAGTAGATGCAAGTCACCCTGCTGCTTAATGAGCAGATTCAGAGATCAGAAATCAATGGCTTCTCCCCTGAAAGCTTCACTCTGCAGCATCACTCTGAGCCTGAGCAGAGAAGAGGCTTTCGGAGGCTTGGCCACAGTTGGCCCAGGACATACTGAGTGGGTGCTGTCTCCAGGTGGCTAGGCTGGATGCTAGCAGGGACATTTGGAAAATCTTCCCTCCCCCACTACATCCGTGTTGAATGTCACATGACCTTCCTCCGCCTCCCACCTGCTCAGCCTTTCCTGCTCTAACTTTAGCCTGGAGATAGTAAGTAGGCACCAAGGAAGGCTGGAGAAAGCAGCGAGGTACTGAAGCTGGTACTTTCCTTCTGCTCCCTCTGGTCTGATGGTCACCAGACTCTCAGGGAACAGTGAGCCAGGCTGAGTATATGTCCCAGACTGGAGTCAGAGAGAAAGAGTTCCACCTCTTTCTCTGGACAGCCCGGTTCTGCCCCAAAGCATATTGGATGAAAGAATCCCTTCTGGCCTTCAGAATCTGTTTTTGAGCTCCTACAGCCTATATGTATGTGTGTAAACACTTACACATGTATGTTGACTGTATATCCACATGTCTGTATATATGTAAATACGGATCTTTAAAAATATATATTGAGCACCTACTATGAGCAAAGCACTCTGCTACTCTCACAAGTGTTCAGAATGGGCAGGGGGATATATGAAGGTACTAATCATATTATTTACTGAGTACCTAGTATATTCCAGGCACAGTATTAGGTACTTGACACCAAGTGCATCACATTTATGCCTCACAACAACCTCAAGGTAGATATTGCTATCCCTATTTTGCAGATGAGAAAACAAAGGATCAGAAAGGTTAAATTTGCCCAGGGGCACAACACTGGAAAGTAGCTGGCAAAGTTCAGATTGGAATCCAAAGGATCTCCTGGCCCCAGACCTGTGGACCACTAGTTTTTAACACTAACGAGCAGTGGGCACATGAGACAGGTGCATTCACAAACCCCTCCCATTACAAAGAAGTGAGGAAGCAGGGCTAGTAGAATCAAGTTGGCTCCACATAGGAGTGTGGTGTTAGACACTGTGTCCTACCCAGGACCTGTGAGCATGGTGTTGGGGGCCTCTCTTAGCCACACTCCCTGTGTCCCTCATCCGCACTCACCTTTGTCCCAGGGTGCCTTTCCTTCCACCAAATTGCTGTCTGTTGCTCCAGGCTCATTCAGTTGCCACTGGATGTAGGTGTGTTGTTAAGTCACGTCCTCCTCACCTGCTCCGTTACCCCTTTAATCCCTGCACACTGGATTCTCTGACTTGCAGTACAAAGTGTCCCACGTATTAGCTCCCCAGAGGCCTGGACCCACTTTGGGATTGGCTGCCCCCTCACTGGTCATTTGAGCCCCGTTCCTATCTCGGACCCACTGGCCAGGTGCTGGGAGCAAGGATACACCTCTCTTCATTCACCTGCTGCACCTGAGTGAGGCCGGAGGGGGCTCTGGGAGATTCTGAATCCTCAAGCATTTTTGTGCTTTAGTAAGTAAACCGCTGAGCACGTGGGATCTTACTCAGCTTTGTTGCTGCCTAATGGAGTAGTTTGGGGTCCTCAACTTCTCCTGGCCTCAGTCTCAGCTGCAAAATGAGGCTCCACTTTTCATTCAGATGATTTCTAAGTTCCCCTCTGGTCAGAGCTGATGCTCCAAGATTCCTGGGAACCTTGGGGTGGGGACCGTGGTGAGAGATTATGCTTTCAGGGTGGGGTCAAAATGAGGTGCCTGTGGACAACCTGGTTCTCCAGCCTCCAGGCAGGAGAGGTCAGGCTGGGGCTTTGGGACCCACATCTCTCAGAAAAAAAGAAAGCATTCTTCCTAAGCCTCTTCATCAAAAGTACTGGGAATGAGCCTCCCCACCGCCTACAGAGGTGGCGCTCTGGGCTCTGCTTCAGCATTTATTGTCCTGACCCATTTTCATGAGGTCTCATTCTTTAGTCTGGGAGCAGCTCATTGAATTCATCATATATCTCCGGGTCCCCAGTGCCTAGCTAGGGGCCTGCCACTGCACAGCCAGTGCACTATGAATATTTGTTGAAGAAACAAATGAAAGTTTTGCCCCGGCCCTTAGAATGCAGGCTGAGTCTCTGGCTCCAGCTGGAAAGCTTTTATGCTAATAAGTGTTGATCTTGCCTCTCCAAGTAGAAAGTAACTCCTTTAGGAAGGTAGCCTGACTTAATTCTTTTGTAGCTTGCATGGGATCTCACCAATTCTGGGCACATAAGATGGGCTCAATATAAACTTGTTAAATTAAATGGAATGCAATATAACACATCACCCTTTGGACTCCAGGGGCAGCTGCTAGATTCTTTGGGGCATGTCACTATTTATCCTTAATTACCTGCTTTTATATTAGCTCTGGGAACCAATCTGACTGAATGATAAGATTTTGCTCCTGGATAATAGCTAACAATAATAACTACCTTATACTCAATTCATAATATGTGACATTGCTGTGATAAATTCTTTACTTCCCTCAACTCAATCCCAATAACAATCCTTCTGTATTCATTTATTCATTCAACCAGTTTTTGTTTGTTTGTTTCTTTTGTTTTTTTAGATGGAGTTTCACTCTTGTCGCCCAGGCTGGAGTGCAATGGTGTGATCTCGGCTCACTGCAACCTCTGCCTCCCAGGTTCAAGCGATTCTCCTGCCTCAGCCTCCCAAGTAGCTGGGATTACAGGCGCATGCCACCACACCCGGCTAATTTTTGTATTTTTAGTAGAGACGGGGTTTCACCATGTTGGCCAGGCTGGTCTCGAATTCCTGACCTCAGGTGATCCGCCCACCTCGGCCTCCCAAAATGCTGGATTACAGGCATGAGCCACTGCGCCTGGCCTCAATCAGTATTTTTTTTTTTTAGCATTCACTGTTTACCAGGCACTGGGCATATGGCAGTATACAAGATAAACACAGTTTTATTTTCCTCATTTTACAGATGAGGAAATAGACTCCAGGAATCTCAGTAATTTGCGGTAGTCACAAAGCTCCTAAGTGGCAACACTGCATTCATCTAATTGTTTTCACAGTGTCAGGGAAGTGCTGCCCCTCTGCAAACTCAAGTTAGTGGCTAGTTTGCAGGGTGGAGGCTGCTGTTTGGTTCCTTTAGAATCTAAACCAGTGCCTTATGCAAATGAATGTTTGGCAGGTAAGCACACTTGTCACTAGTACCTGAAATGCTGTCTCCTGGAGGTTTGGAAGGCAGGTCCGGGGAAATGCTTCTGCACCGTAGTCTCAGATACAGCATCACTGGGGCTTTCCAGAGGGAGGTAAAGAGTCTTGAAGTGGGAAGGGTCAGAGGGAGAGAAGGGTCTCTCCCTCCGGGCAGGGGTCTCTTGGGAGAGATGTGGAGAAGGCAAGGGTGAGGTGCCCAGCAGCCCTGCATATCCATATGTCTGTATATATGTAATGGCTAAGATAGTCCCCCAGCACCATGCTTACAGGTCCCAGGCAAGACACAGTATCTAACACTGCACTCCTGTGTGGCGCCAAGTTGATTCTACTACCCCTGCCTCCTCACTGCTTTGTAATGCCCCGATCAGTGCCCGTGATCATTCCCTGCTCTGGGTCATGTTGCAGAGAGTCCTGGGAGGCATTGCATGGATGTGTGGTTCCCCCGAGGACTCATAAGGAGCATGTACAGGAATCTGCTTGTGAGTATCACACTCCTCCTTCTTAGTTGCTGGGGCTCACCCACACCTAAGTGCCACACACACATATACCCAGGTGGCCAAACAGCTCACCTAGGAGTGTCCAGCTCTGTTCCCTGCCTTCCTTTGCAACTGCCCTATGCTGACACACACCCACACACTCACATGTGTACCTGAGTGCTCACACACAATCTATAAGGAAATTAAAAACAACTTCCCAGGTCTGACTTTTAAGGGGTGGTCTAGAGTACAACTAATGAAATCCAGTCTCCTCACTGTGGCAGACCCCCTGTAACTGGTGGAGGGAGTGCGAAATCACAGAAATTGCCATTGGGTTTTGATCTTAGGAGGCCTTTCTGCAGACATATCACTTCCATCACCTACAGCAAGAGGCAGAAGGCCAGGGCCACCTTGCCTCCCTGACCCCGGTCCCTGCCTCAGGCCAAGAAGCAGAACATAAAGCCATTTTCAAATTGATGCTCATTGAGCAGAAGGAAAAGAAGCAAAGATGGAAGGGAGAGGGACTGGTGTTTGCAGAGGGCTTCCCATGAACTAGACCTGGGTGCTTTACCTTCATTGTTTTATTGAATCCTCATGAGAAGCCCCTGGGGGATCAGTGTTACTATCAGGGCTCTGTGGAGTCACCTGCTGGAACAGTGATAAGCTAGGTATTGAGCCAGAAAGCAGGGAGGAGACAGAACAGAGGTTTGATAGTGACCCTTGTAGTCACTGTGGGGCTGCACTGTGAGCAGATCTTCAGCAAGAAGCACTGTGGAGTAAGGATGGAACCCAGATCTCTAGCTTTGGGAGATTTAGAGAGTACTCCTGCCACAGCTAGTAGGAGGATGGGATAGGATTATGCCACCCTGTTCCTGGCACTAGTGGGACAGCCACTATAATTGATGATGGGAAAAAGAACAGTAAGATGGTGCTGAGCCCCAGCAATGCTTGGTACCTAAATAGGAGAGGAAATGGGGTTGCCATGTTAGGCTGGTCTGTGGTCCTGCAGCTGAGGGCCAGAGGCAGCTGTGGTCATAGGACTGTGTCCTCTACCCCCAACTCTGCCCCCTGCCCTCTTAGCCTCAGTGGAAGCTGTCTGGACCCCACACTCTGTGGTCTCTGCTGTTTCCCCTCTTTCTGTCTCCGTTTCGCCCTTTCCCTTGGACTCAGCTTCAGGAGGGCAAGGCCTGTGCTTTGTGTACAGTTGAAGCACACACTCAGTAAATAACAGTAAACACATGACTTTACTGCCCATGGGGCTGCTATATTTGAGTTTTCATTTCACTTATTGCTTACTGAAAGTCTCCTTGTGCCAGACCCCAGGGACCAAGGGGCAAATGAACAGTTCTGGCCCTCAGGAAGCTTGTAGTCTCCCCAGGGAGATGGCCACGTGCACCACCAATTGTAACCTGGTGCAGTCAATGTCAAGCGATGATCAGAATGATAAGGTCTTTTTGAGTACTGCACATGTGCCAGGCATGTGGAGGTACAGGTGCTGAGCCACGGGGGAGCAGATGGAGGAGGTAACCCTGGTGGGCAGATTCAAGAAGACCTTCTCAAAGCAGGTGATGGGCATTTTAAAATTCACTTTTGTTTCCCACCCAGAGGTAGAATCATGGTAAAGAAAGGCTAAGGTAAGAGCTAAAATGAATAGAGTCCTTCACTCTCTAAGCATTCCAGGTGGATTGATCTATTTAATCCTCAACCCCCTGAAGAATACTGTTGTGGTCCCTGTTTTACAGTTGAGGAAACCAAGCCAGAGGACAAGGACCATGCGTAGGGTCATAGGTAAAATGTTAAGCTGAGATGCAAACCTAAGCAGTCCAGTTTTGTGGGGTGCTCTTGTAGGAATTGCCCAAGGACCAATGAGGCTGGAGAGGGAGAGAGACCGTGTTTATGGAAGGAAGGTGGTACTTGGAGGTAAGAAACCGCTGGTGTCCCAAAGTATTTGGTGGCCTAAGGCATATTTGGAAATAAAAAGTATTTTCTCCTTTATGCCTGGCCTGTGTTTGTCTATTCTTCAGGTTCTAAATAAAATACGAAGTGAATTTCTGTCTTAAGAGCTGATTGTGGGGACTCACTCCTGCCCTCTCCCCATGTGACATATGTACACATAAACCTGCAAGCCAGCTTCTGCACCTGCACCCAAGCTCCCCTCAGCCACACGTGGATGATCTAGCTTCTTTCTGTACCCCAGACTTACAAGTGAGCCCATGTGCCTTCAACGCCTCAGTCCACTGCCCTCAGACCTGCATGCCCTGCCCTACCTGGCCCCACATAGGCAGAAACCCACATACCCAGCTAGACACACTCCGCTCCTGTGCCCCACGCACGTTCACAGGGCGCCACACACCGAGCTGTCCAGCACGCACAGATGAGGCCTGTGTGCCTGACTGCCCCACACAGGCAAAAGCACCTCCGGAGGCGGCAAGGAGGAAGCCACAAAACCAGATGCAATGTCTGAAAGGACATCTGGGACTGAGGTCCAGGTGCCCTGCCAAGGGCTGAGTCCATATTTTTCTGGGGTGAGCAGATTGCAAAGAGGGCAAACCATAGAGGGTGGGGAAGATTCCCTTCTCTAGGCTGTGAGGACCACCAGGGTGCAGAGAGGCAGGCCGCCCTGGGACTGTTGGACTGTCACAGCAACCCCAGGAAATCCTACAAACACTAAACGTGGATGAGGACTTAGGAAAGTCCTGCAGTTCATGGGCAGGGCCAGCGCTGTAGGAAGGCGGGGGCTGGTGTCCGTTCCCCAACTTGCCCCATGTGGGCTGAGCACCTGCTCCTCGCCTGCCCCGTGTGCTAAGCCCTGGGAATACAACAGCGGACAAGACAGACCCCAGCCTGCCTTAAGGAGTTTGCAGTTTGCAGGAGTGGGGCAGTGATGGTGGTCATAATAATAGTGACTAAGCCCCTCCTATGTGCCAGAACTCTATCACTTACACATGTGGTATGTGTGTAACCCCTGTAACAACCCATAGGGAAGGTACTTATGATGGTGGAACTGAGGCACAGAGAGGTTAAGTAACTTGTCTAAGGTTCCACAGCTCATAAGTGAAGGAGCCAGTATTTGGACCCAGGCAGTCTGAGAGCCCATGCTGTTAACTAGGACTTGATGATGATGCCCATAAAGGGGATGCCACCTTCCAGCTTGGCCTGACACTGTAGAGTTTGTACAGCATTTTAAACACACCTCCTTTTGCTCATTTGAACCTATTGCTGTCCGCTGAGTGGATCTCAACATTCCCATTTTACAGATGAGGAAGATACAGGTAGACATTTCAAATAATGAGCTCTCTACTAGACAGCTGACAGGTAGCCTCCAGCCCAGTTCTGTTGGGTCCAGATGGCACTGCGTAGTTTCTGTCAGCACCATGTCCACTTGCCTCCTCTCTCTGGGCTTCAGGGTCCCCACTTGTAAAACAGGAAGAACCACACCTGCTCCCTCCTGATTTCCAGAGAACATGTCATGTGGTATTAATCAAATGGTATTAAAAATAAAATAGTAATGACAGCGAGCTGAGATCTTCTGGGTGAAGAGCCAGGAATAGGGGGTCAGTCCCCTCCTGTGTTCTCACCACCTCCAACTCAGAAGAGAAGCAGGTGCTCAACCACCACGTCATGCCGTCCGTGGACAGACTCAAAGCCAATAGGCCCGGGTTCCGGGTTTGCTCTGACGCGTATTCACCGTGTTCTCGGGGAGGTCCCTCCGCTTCCGAGCCTCTGCTTCCCTCAGCACCGTGGGGCTGGTCACACCTGCCTCCCGGGGCTGTTATGAAGAGAAGTGAATGAACGCGCGTGGAGCATGTTGCCCGCAGTCAGCTCTCGCATCCTGGCAGTCATTTAAAATTATCCTCATTATTTTTATCTTAGTCCTGGAAGTGCTCATGCCTGAGGGGATGGCAGAACTGCTTCCTGAACTTCTTCCTCCTGGCAGTGAATCAAGCTTTCTTCGAAGAAATCCTTTTCCACACTTGATGTGGCCCCAGATACAGGACTCGTCATACTCTTACCCCCAGGAGTTTGCAGGAGGCTAGGACACACCAGCCGGCTGGCCCCGGGAAGAGCTGGCAGCGTTTCCGCTGAAGCTTCCTGCCCACCCACTGGGCCCGAGGCCTGTTCCGCATCCAGCCCCCTGGCCCCCTCCACTCCCCACGGCAGGCGCGCTAGCGCATTCTGAGCATATGGAGAAGGGGTTACTCCGCAGCCCCCTGACTCATCCTGCTGCTGAATAAGCCTGGAAGGTGACTGATCTAGGGAACATGCCAGTTTGCTATCAGGGCCTGATCACTGGGATGCAGCTCCCCGGGGACGAGAAAATGAAAAATATGACTAAACTGTCCTCCCACACGGGCTGTCATTAAAACAGTGCTCGCTATGTCACAGATATTTTTGCTTCGTCTCCAAATAATTTGTTCTTCCAACTTTAAAAAATTTCTTTAATTTAATTTTTATTACCCCTTCCCCCACCTCCCCATTTGGTGTGCACTTTGCTCTGTGAGGCCAAGGCCATGTAAAATGCATGACGTTTTTGCCCAAAGGCCTCCCCCTGACCCTCAGATTTGGTAAAAGCAGAGAAACCCCCAGGCAGTCTGGTCTACAGCCTGGTCCCACAGCTGAGGTAGAATCATCCTTCCCTCCTCCCTCTCCGTCCTCACCCTGCCTCCTCCCCCTCCTTGCTCTTGGTCTCCCTCCTTCCCCCTCCTTCCTTCTCCTTCTCCCTCCCCACTTCTCCCTCCTCCCCTTCCTCTTCCTTCCCCTCCTTTTCCTCTCACCCTGTCCTCCCTTCTTTTTCCTCCCTCATGCTTCCTCTCCCTCTCCACATCTCCCTCTCATCCCTCATTTCCTCCTCCCCTTCCCTCCCCCTGAGTCCTCTCCCTTCCCTCTTTTCCCCTCTTTCTTCTCCTGCCTCTACTTTCTTCCTCCTCTTCTCCCTTCTCCTCTTTCCTCTTCCTGCTCTTCCTCTTCCTCCTCCTCCTCCTTCTGCTGCTGCTCTGACTTCAGCTGAGGAGGAATCTCTTTGGGTATGTGTTTAGGAGAAAGAAATCTGTAGAAAGGTCAGGCAGGCACAGGGCAGAGGCCTTCCTTGCAGGCACAGTCCCCGTAGCCAGAGCATCTCCCCTTCTCTACACACTTGGGACCAGATGGCTGCTGGCCTGATGACCCTGCCATTTGCAGCCTCCGCCAGTCCCAGCTAGGAGCTTCCCACATTGCCGTGGTGCAGCGCAGCCTGCTAGTCATCACGCCTGCCATCCTTCATTCCCGGGAAGAGAGTCAAACTATTTACTAAGTGCCAAGTACTGTGCTAGGATCTGGGGTAGAGCCAAAAATAAGACCAAGTTCCTGCTCTTACATGCTGGTGATAGTGGGGGGATAAAAAACACATAAATGTACAGATGACTAAGATGACTTCAAGCAAAGTGCTATGAAGGAGATGGAACAGGGTAGGGTGGGAGAGAAAGACAACTTTAAACCAGGGTTATGAGGAAAGGCCTCTCTGAGAAAGTGACTGAGGGCCTGATGCTAAGAAGTTAGCTCCACAAAGGCCCAGGAAAAGAGCATTCTAGGGGGAGAGGAACATAGAACACAGCCAAAGCCTCATAATGGGAATGAGCCTGGCGTGTTTGAGAGAAGGAGGGAGGCCGTGAGGCTGGAGCAGAGTGAACAAGTGGGGTAAGGCAGAGGCACGTGGAGTTGAGAAGAGCCCTCAACCACACCACAGCGCCCTCGTTCATAGGCTGGGGAAGATTTAGCCTGTATTTTAGGTGCAGTGGAAAGCCACTAGAGACTGTGAGGCAGTTGGCTGATTTGATCTTGTTCATGCTTTAAAAGCTCACTCTGGCTGATGTGTGGAGGTTGGATTGTGGGGAGCAGAGGGGACCGGAGAGCCCCAGGAGAAGGCCAAGTGCAGTGTCTGAGTGATGGGGGCATGGACCTTCTTCTCTTCTGTCCTCCCCTCTCCCTCAAACTGCAGGGAACTCAAACCTACTGTGTCCAGATGAAGCTCTTGGTTCTTATCTCCCCAAATCTGACCTTATCCCCATGTCAGTGTCAATACCATTAACCCAGTTGCCTGGGTCAAAGACCAATGCTGGCTTTACCTTCAAGGCCATCTCAAACCTGACCCCTTCTCACCATGACTCCTGTCACTTGGGCCCTGGGTTGTTCACCTCTGATAGGTCAAGGAGTCACTTGGCTTCCTAAGAGAAGGGCTGGCCCCCAGGGAGCACCTAACAGAGGGTGAAGCACCGCATAGGGGCAGGTAAGTAGTGTTGAGTTTTCTAGCCTTGCCTGTACTATAGAAATGACCTCATTTACATGTGAATTCCTTAAAGAGTTAAGGAATTTTCAAAAATATTCCCCACCTTCTCCAGCCACACTTCCACAGCCTGTGCCTGGCACTCAATAGTCCCGAGTCTCCTACCAAGGCCATCATTCTTCCAAGACTTCCTCCATATTCTGCACTCCCTGAACACCTCCTGAGGGCCTTCTCCCTGCCCCCACCCTGGTTCCCAGCAAACTCCTAGTCATCCTTCAGGCCCCAGTTCAAATGTCACCTTCTCCGTCAAGTGTCCCAGACCCCACATTCCCTCTCTCAGCTGTCTGCCCAGCCAGAGTTCACAACTTCCCACTTAGTACTCTGTACTTGCCGGGCTGCCATAGCCTTCATCAGCTACATCACTGTTTATTGTAATTGTTTGTTTACCTGTCTATCTCCCACTTCTGGACTGTGAGCCTTCAGAGGGTGGGGATGGTCTTCTGTCACCATCTTCCTGTCCTCAGCCAGCTCAGCCCAGAGCATCTGCTCAATAAGCATCTGTTGACACAGAGCCTTCTCTTCAGGTCATCGCTTAAGCAAAAAGCCAAGTTGTCTAATCACGTTTGCAAGTCCAAGGTGAGCAAAACTCACCTTCTCCAGGAAGTCTTCTTATATCTTAGAGGATACTTTGGTGTGTCGTCTCAGCCCTTGGGCTCCCTGTTTGAATTCTATACCTCCCGGGAATGTGGTTTTCAGAAAGTCTTCCTTCCTACTTCTCTTTTGTTCATTAATTGGTTCAGTAGATAGTTATCATTCAGTCTCAGCTTAAATGTCAGAGACATGAATTAATTAATCAATCAATTAACTGTCAGAGACCTTTTCTGATTACCAGTCTAGGGGAGCCCCACTCCATCCGATCACATTACCCATTGTTATTCTCTGCGTGGCACTATATTATCTTTCATGTATGTGTTCATTTATTTATTGCATAACCTTCCCTCATAGAATGTACTATAGTTCCAGGAAACATAGCCTGGTCTGTCTTGTTCACAGCTGCCTCCCTTTTGCCCAGAAAACAGCCTGGCACTCAAGTTGTAGGCACTCAAGAATTATTTTGTAAGCAAATGACTCTTGAGCTCTTATTACACATGAATTGTTGCTATGGGCACCAGAGCCCCTTCCCTGAGAAGGAAAACCACTTGCCTGAGGTCTCAAGACTCACACATTGGAGAGCTGGCTCACTGCATTGTCCAGGGCAATGCCCAATAAATGATACAACATGAGATGTTAGGGTTGGAGCAGAGAGAGAGAAAGAGAGAGTCTAGGGGGCTGAGTGACCAGGCAGGCTTCATGCACAAGCACTGAGGCGAGCTTTGGATGCTCCCTTTCCCCGCCAGGCCTCAGCCTGTGTTGCTCTGCCACCTGAAACACCTGCCTCATCCGTCGTCGTCAGTTCTGGTTTTGTTCTTCAGGTTCCAGCTGCCCCTTCTCTAGGAAGCTTTTCCCTGTCCCTTATTCCCAAGTCTGCAAGACCCTGAACAGCCCTCTCTTGTAAGACTGACGACACAGTTTTGGAATTGCTTTTTATTTTTTGCTCTCCTCCAACACACACACACACACACACAGACACACACACAGACACACACGCACACCACACACACACAGGCTAAATAAGGGCAAGGATGGTGTCTGATTCATCTTCAAGTCTCCAGGATCTAATACAGTTCCTGGAACATAGTAGATGGTCAGAAAGTATGTGTAGAATAAATGAAGAAGAGGACTTTTCTTCCCCGAATGGCAAGAAACTAAGTACAGATACCAATTTATTCATTTACTCAGCAAATATTTATTGAGATCTGGAGATACAACTGTCAACAAGGCAGACAAAAATTTCTGCATTTAGTGAATCTACATACTAGTTGTGGGACAGACAACACAAGACATGATTAAGTTTGCTGGTAACCCATGTGATGGAGAACGGTAAAGCAGAGAGGGAGATGGGGACAGCTGAGAACAGTGTTTAACAAGTTAATAAGTGCCGGTCTCCCTGAGAGGGTGTTGGTGGGGATGCCCTTCGGGAGCTGAGGGAGGGCACATACCGTCTGTGCATTTGTGCCGTAGGTACTGTGCCTCTTGCATGACACCACTCCAGCAAGCCTTCTGCATCCTTGAAGTCTCCTCTCTGATGGACCATTCAGGCTGGCACTCAGACATTCTGTTATTTATTCCTTCTTAAAATACCTTCCTTTTTACCCTACTTCCCTGCAAACAGACTCTCACCATTTTTTTCCTTCTCTTTGCAGCAAAACCACCTCAAAAGAATGGTCTGATTCATCTCTTGCCCATTCTCTTCCTTTTTTCTTTGTAACCTGATAAGCATTTATTGTGCTGCCCATGTGCCCAACCCTTTACAAACACCAAGTGATTTTATCCTTCTAACAACCCTATGAAGTAGGTGGCCTCAGATTTAGGAAATAGGGCAAAGAAAGGTTAAACAACTTGCCTACAGTCACATGGCTAGTAAGTGGAGAGCTGGTTTCTGACCCCTGGCAGGCTGGTGCCCAGACCTGTGGTCTCAGTCACTCTGCCATGCAGCCTGTCAGTGCCACGCCCCCTCAAACCCACCCCACTCAGGGTTTCACCTGCACCACTCTCCCGAAACACTTCTTGTCCAGATCACTGTGACCTCCATGTTGCTAAATCCCATGGTCACTTCTCACCTCTCATCTTACCTGATGACTCTCAGGTAAGAGATGGTTGAGCCAGTTGGTTATTCTCTTCTCCATAAAACCACACTCTGATTTTTTCTCCAGGCTTCTAGGACACCACACTCTCCAGGTCTACCCACCTTGCTGTTCACTATTTATCAGTCTCTTGCTGGCTTCTCTTCTCCTTCCTGGGCAGGAGAGCCCAGGATTGGGTTCTTGGTCCTTTTCTCCATTTACACTCACTCCCTGGCCATCTCTTCTAGTCTCCCACCTTTAAAAACTCTGCATGCTAAGACTCTGGTATTTATATTTCCATTGCTGATCTCTTTCCCCAACTGCAGAGTTACATACCCATCTGAGTTCTTTGCCTCTACACTTAGGTGTCTAATAAACATCTCAAACTCAATGGGCTCAATACTGAACTTCTGATTTTCTCTTGCCAGCTGCCTGGCCCAAAGCTGCTCCACCCATATATCTTCATTGATGGAGAACTCCATCCTTCCAGGTGCTGAAGCCAAAAGCCTTAGAGTCAGCTTTGACGCCTCTGTTAATCTCACGCCCATATCCAACCTCTCAAGACATCTTGCTGGCTCTTCCCTGAGAGCACACTCAGAAACTGACCCCTCTCACCATCTCCATCTTCAGCTTACTGTAATGTCCTCCTAGCTGGTCTTCACTTGCATTCCTGACTCCTTATCTACTCATCCCAACTGCCAACATGACCCTTTGCAAACTTAAGGCAGAGCATATTTTCCTCTGCCCAGGACCCTACAATTCCTCCCCATTTCATCCAGAGGCAAAGCTGAATTCTTCAGTGTCCTTCAGAGTCTTCCATGTTCTGGTTTCCATGGCCACTCTGGAGTCATTGAATGCGACTCTTGCTCCTAGTCCCTCCCGACCAGCCATTCTGTTTGTTGTCCCTCAATGTTCCAGGAATGCTTCCACCTCAGGACATTTTCATTGGCTGTTCCCACTGCCTGAAATTCACACATCTCAGAGATCCTCAGGGCTGTCCCCCTCAGATGTCACCCCTGAAGGAAGCTACCCTGACTTCCCCAGGCCTCCTGCTCCCCGTCTTCTGCTCTGTTGTTTTCCTCCATAAGATTTCTTACCTTCCAGCTTATTGTTCCCCTACCCCATTTTGTCTGTGTTATCTTATGTAAAATGCAGATTCCCTACATTTTTCCTCTGCTCCTTTTGTTTATGTGAAAACTGTGTGCTTCTCAATATCCTGCCCCTTCACCTTTACATTTGGAGCCCTCAAAATCACAGAGACAGGCATAGACCTGTCTCCTGGGTGCATCCTTAACTTTGGCAAAAAATTCTCCTAAAATGATTTAAAAAAAAAAGATTTCTTACCTTCCCACAGATGGTGTGGTTTACCTATTTAAGTGAATCTTCCTTTACTAGAACCTTCCTTTACTAGAAGCTCAACTTCCTGATCTCTACAGGAACAGATATCTTTGTTTTGTGCAGTGATATTCTAAGCATCTAGGACAGAGCCAGTGCTCCATAAATGCCTATTGAGTGATTATCTGGGTGAAGGCATTGCAGGCAGTGGGACTAGCAGGTGCCAGGGTCCCATCTTGGTCTCCTCCCTGCTTTAGCAGGGCCAGGGGCCGTCACTCAGTCCATGGGGCAGACCCATTGGCAAGGCTGCGGTGTCTGTCCCCTGAATTTTTGGGGCAGGCCTCTGTTCACTTATGGTGGTTATGTCTGTGGTTTGTGGCTGGTCCGGGGAAGAGCAGCAGGTTGCTGAAAACAATACAGTGAACCCCAGCCCTGCAGCCACATCGCCTCCATTTACCCAAACGAACTCATTACATCAAGATAAACACAAAACCCTGATCTAAAGAAGTCCCAGTGATGAACCAACCCCTGCCCCTCCTCCTGCTGCCCTCGCACACACAACCAGAGAAAAGTCCCTCATTAGCAAAGCTGCTCCCGGTGAGTGCCAAGAGGATAAGCTCCAAAGGGACTTCAGACAGCAGGAGGGGCTTCCTTCCTCTCCTCTGCAGCCTCTCCTCACCAAAGCCCAGGGTTCTTTCTTCTCTTCCCTTTCTTAATGCATGCTTGCCTCTCTGTGCTGCTCCTTCTCCATTGTTCCTTCTCTCGGTAGCCCCTGCAGAGGTTTCTGTCTGTCTTTGGGTTTCTCTGTACCTGGGTCTTCATGTCACTGTCTTTGTTTTCTTTATTTCTTTTTTTTTTTTTTTTTTGAGATGGAGTGTCACTCTGTCATCCAGGCTGGAGTGCAGTGGTGTGATCTTGGCTCACTGCAACCTCTGCCTCCTGGGTTCAAGCGATTCTCCTTCCTCAGCCTCCCGAGTAGCTGGGATTACAGGCGCCCACCACCGTGCCCTGCTAATTTTTGTGTTTTTAGTAGAGACTGGGTTTCTCCATGTTGGCCAGGCTGGGAACGCCTGACCTCAGGTGATCCACCCGCCTTGGCCTCCCAAAGTGCTGGGATCACAGGCGTGAGCCACCATACCCGGCCTCACTGTCTTTGTTCTCTTCTGCCACCCTCTGTGTGTCATCTGCCTCTGTCTCTCTGTAATCTTTGCCCTCATCCTCCTTTGCAGCTCTTTTTGACAGCCTCTTGCCATCTTCCTTTCCCTCCCATTTCTCTCCCTCTCTTGTAATTACCACAATCCCCACCACCTCCAGCTTCTTCTCTTGGCCTCTGGCCCTTGGAGGGCAATGCTCTGCTGCCCCTGCCAGGCATCCACTGCGTAAGTCCCATCCCTCTTCCCTCCCACCCCACAGTTAGGGCTCCAGCTGGTCTGAGCAGAGCCTGCCTCCAATCCCTGCCCTCCCAGCTCCTCTGCCCTCTCTGGACCTTGCTCTGCCCATCACTCTGGTACACCCAGCCAGGGGTACCTTGTGCTAGGTCCACTGTGTTGGCTTGTGGGCTGGCTCACAGCCTTTGCCAGGACCTGGGACTTTTCTCCTTTTCCAGGGCTGTCCCTGTAGTTGGGTCTAAGGTGTAAGATTATTGTTCAAGATATCATGTTAATTTTCTGAGTCTCCTGTGTACATGGGTTCCCTGGGAGAGCCCTCTCCAAATGACAAGTCCTTCTCCCAGGTCCTTCCCACTGAGCATGAATTTCCCATTCCTGGATGCTTTGAAGTGATTCCCTCTCATATTTAAGTGCCGCAGGTCTTTCTCTTTTCCAGCCAGCACATCAGATAACTTGATAAAGCTATATGCTGGCCCCTTGGTTTATCTGCTCTGATTCAGCCTGCTTTAAATGTGGCTTACCTGCTGGCTCTTCCTTTCTCCACTCGGTAAATGTTTACCCCTGCTACTGTGTGATAGAGGAACCAGGCAGTGACCGGGGGTCATTTGCCTTTTGGAGCTTGTTTAGTTTGGAAATATTGTTAAGTCCTTGAGGCAGCTGAGCTGGCCCAGCTGGGCCCCAGAGGAGGTTGAGAAGCCTTAGATATTTTTTCTCTCCTCTCTCACCTTCCCCTCTTTGTCCTTCTCTGGTATGACCACCACCAAATTGTTCTCTTACTTTTGTGGTTCTCCCCCTTCTGTCTCTGGAGAAACTTCTCCCCATCCCTCTCCACCCGCACCCTGCCAGAGTTGTATTTTCTCACAAGGTATGATTACTTAAATGAGATATGTCTTCAAAGGGGCTTTGTGAGTCAGGAAGCATAATACCCAATGACTTGTAAGTGCTGCCACAAGCCTCCGTGGACAGAACAGACAACTCTTCAGCACTGGGGCAGCGTTTCTCCTCGGCACTCACCTCTTTGACTTCTTTACAGACCACCACCTCCACCAAAAACTCCACTTTAGCCCCTAGATAGCTGTGAGCAGGAGCCTGCTTGCCTCTCTCTCTCCGTATGCCTCACTCCTTTCCCTGGCAGAGTCACACACACAGGGCTTATTTTCTTAGAGGACTACAGTGTGGTAAGCATGAAACAGGCTTCTCCCACCTGCTCCAAGAATTTCCTCAGAGCATGGTGACCAGGCAGTGTTTACCCCTCTGTTAATACTGGCCACAATACAGTGCTCACTGCCTTCAGGAAGGAGGCTTAGTGGTCAAGCATATATGTGTTGGGGTCACACAAATCCACCGTCTACTGGCCATGTCACCTCAGGCATGTTTGCTTAACCTCTGTAAGCCTCCTTTCTCCTTTTGGTTAAAATGACAATGAAGTAAGTGCCTTGGCCAGGATGTTGTGAAAAGTCAGGGAAATAATGCAGAGAAAGTGCTTATCACAGGGCCTGATGCTTTGTAAGTGCTCAGTAAGTGTTGCTATTTTATTATTATCTCACAAAGCAGCCTTTGCATGGTTCTAAACTGAAATTGGCCTCCCAATAAATTGAAGAGGGCCTGGTTCTGCAGTCTAGAGCTATACAAAAAGCCCCTAACCCTCCTCGCACAGGACAAGCCTTCAAATGTTTGAAGACAGGTTTCATATCCTTCTAAATCTTTTCCAATTTAAATGTCCCAAGTTTCATCACCTCTTCCCCATATTTTTCATGGTTTCCAGGCCTTTGCCATCTAGGTCACTGTTCTTTGTACACACTTGTCAATGCCTTTCCAAAAATATAGCAGACAGAAATGAAGGTAAGGCTGAATTTGGTCTGACCTGCCCAGAGTACAATGGGCCATTTCCCTTGATCCAGATACCATAAACAGTCCAGGCTTTCATTGTGTATGTTGGTGGGTCTGCTTGTTGTTTGACTTAATGGCCTGTGACCATCTAAAACCTCCTACCTGATTTTCACATGAACCTCTCAAGCCTGATATTATACTCATCATTGCCAAATTAACTTTTTAAACTAATACAGGATTTATTTGCATCTGTTCAATTGCATTGCATTTGATTTCAGCCACACTATAGGTTGAGTTCTGTTTTTAATTACATTACTTGAGTAGATAACACACTATCATGTCTAGCGATCGAAACATGCAGCTGGGTACGGTGGCTCACGCCTGTAATCCCAGCACTTTAGGAGGCCGAGGCAGGTGGATCACGAGGTCAGGAGTTCGAGACCAGCCTGGCCAACATGGTGAAACCCCATCTCTACTAAAAATATAAAAATTAGCTGGGCATGGTGGCAGGCGCCTGTAATCCCAGCTACTCAGGAGGCTGAGGCAGGAGAATCGCTTGAAACCAGAAGGCGGAGGTTGCAGTGAGCCAAAATCACGCCACTCTACTCCAGCCTGGGTGACAAGAGTGAAACTCTGTCTAAAAAAAAAAAAAATCACAAAATGTAACAGGGTAAATGGAAACGTTCCCGTACCACACTTGTTTCTCATCTGCCCAGTTGGCCTTCCCTCCACATAAGTAATGACAATGTTGTTCTTAGTTTCTCATGCACCCTTCTGGGGCTCCCTTATGCAGCTCTAAGCAAGTATCAAAATTCATTTTTATATTTGACTCACTTTTTACACAAATGGGAATGTGTAGTGCACACTGCCCTGAAGCTTGTTGTTTTCACTAACAAAGTCTGGAATCCTTGTGAATCCTTAGTATTTCATCTGACATAGTTTCATGTCTACCAGTCTTATGACATTTGTACCTATGATAAGCATGCCATCATTGTCTTTATTCGAGTTGTTGATAAGAGTTCTGTTAGTAGAGGCTGGAGGTTTGTGAACGTGGACGTGCCCAGGCTGATGCCCGTCATAAATCAGCATGCGGGTACACAGTGTCCTGCTGGTTACTGGGACAACTAACTAGGCTCATTCTCAGCCCACCTTCCTCCTCCTTAGTCACAAAGATAATGTCAAATCCAAATCTATCAAATATCTCACTACAGAACTAGGTGTAGAGAAGCTTCCTGATTTATCAGACTAGAACAATGGTTCTCAACTAGGGAAGATTTTTACCATAGGGGACATTCGGCCATGTCTGGAGACATTTTTGGTTGTCACATTTGACTGAGTGGTGAGATGCTACTGGCATCTAGTGGGTAGAGGCCAGGGTGCTGCTGAACATTTCACAATGCACAGGACCGCCCCCATCGCCATACTCACCCCCAACAAAGAATTATCAGGCCCAATGTCAATAGTGCCAAGATAGAGAAACCCTGCTTTAGAACCTTACCAAAAAATTTTTTTAAGTTAAAAGATGAATTTGGTGTCACCTAGTCTTAATGAATCCATGCTGGTTCTAAAAACTACCACTTTTCAACAGTTACATTAACATGCAATTCTTTTTTGGCAAGGGAAAATCCTCTGATTGAATGAAAACATCTTCTGATTGAATTAAAACTCTCCAGTCTCATGGGGAGAGTCCCCAGATTTGGGGGACTGCTCCTCTCATGGGAATCAGTTTGTCCAGGGGTGCCCTGCTCCAAGGAGATCTCTCAGCGTGGTCTCCTCTCTAGTGCTTTCTCTCCTGTTTCCTAGAATTGCTCACATCCCTGGCGATGACTTCGGGTCTGGCTCCTCTCCCTCCATTGTCCCCCACCCCAGTCAGGAATGGCACAGAACCCACAGAAAGTTAGGAAGTCCTGGGGAAATGTCAGTAACAAGGGAACAGGCACAGCAGGGCAGCTCTCCTTCCCTCTTTCAATGTGGCCATTTCCCACTTAGGCAGGTATCAGTGTCCCTAGTGTAACAGCTGAAAAACCTTGACAAATGGAGGGAGAAACACTCCCACCTATACCTGTGTAGAAGACTGAGTCCAAGAGAATTGAGTTGAAACTTTAAAGAAGGAGTTGTTGGTGTTCACAGAGCTCAGAGCCCCAGGATCCCCAAGGAGACTATAGTGGCCGACCAGTCCTCCTAGCCAAAAATGGCCCATCTCCATATTCTCTACTCTACCCAAGATGCTACTAGGGTCTTATTCATTCCGGAACAAATAAATCATGGACCCACCTGTTGAAGAGCCTACAAGAGGCAGCCTGTGTAATGGGAAAAGCATGAACTTGAGACAGATCTGCATCGGAATCCCACGGAGATGGTGAGGCAGCATTAAGCAGAACATACCTAATGCCTCAAAGAATCAGTTTCTCATCTTTAAGAATGGAGAAAGCAATACCCACCTCATAGTTGGGGGAAAAATTCAGCATCTGCAATGCCTTGCACATGTAGTAAGTCAATATTGTGGCTATTATTGAGTACTCTCATATCCTAGCACCAATATCAGACGTGCAGAATCTGATAAGCACTGAATAAAGGCTCAAACAAAGGACTGTGGATGCATAAAGGGAGAGTCATTGACATGGTTGAAAGTGTTTTGAAGAATGCTGAATTTGGGGCCATCAGGAGACCTGGCCTTGAATCCCTCCTCCGTCACTCAGTGTAGTGTCTGTGTAAACACAGATACTTAGCTTTGTTTCTCTAAGCCTCTGTTTTCTTATCTATAAAATGGAGATAATAGGACCTATCTAAATGGCAGTGAATATTAAATGCTTATCGAGTCCATGGTTGAATTCCAACCAGGGAGGCTTCTTTAAATAGGCGGCATTTGAGCTGAGCCCTGAAGAATGAGGAGGATGTTCATAAGGGCAAAAACGAAAGAGAAGACGGGTGAGATAAGAGCTGAGCAAAGCAGGGAATGATGAATGTTTGTGTAATTCTCCAGGAAGTTAAGAATGTAAGCTTGTGTATCAGACAGATCTTGCTTAAGTTATCTAAGCCTCCATTTCTTCATTTGTAGAAAGTAACCTACAAGGTGGATATGAGTATTCAGTGAAGTCACGGATGAAAGCATTGGCTCAGTGCCTGGCACGTGGCAAGTGCTTAGAGGACAATCGCTGTTATGCCCACGGGAGTTGGGGCTGGAAGGTTCAGATGGACCAGTTGTCAACGGCCTTGTCTGCCAGGCCAAGGAGGTGGCCAGTTGTTTGGGCAATGGGAAGCCATTATTACTATCTTTTGAGAGACATGACTTGATCCAAACTGTTTTAGGCTAACTCTTGGCAACAGTGGAGGGAAGGCTCTCGAGGAAGGTGCCTGGAAGTAGGAAGACAAGTTGGCCCAGAAAATGGGGCCACAGTTTAGTTTTTACCATTTATTTGCTCTGGACTCCAAGCAAGCCACAGAGATTCAGCAAGGCCCCAGGCTCACAGCTGGGCTGGGCCGAGGTCCTGGGGTGGAAAGGAAGAGTTCCAGCCCCTCCCTGCTGGACTCTCTTCCACCACCCTCACCCAGCCTCTCTATGACAGCTGCGGCTCCCACCCCCAGTCCCTGTTTGGAGCAGTGATTAATACAGGTTTAAAATAATCTTTGTCTTCTCCCTTTGTCCGCCCCCAGCACAGCCGCTGCTCTCCTCCCATCCCCCACACCCTCGCCCCCTGCACTGAGCCGGCCACACCTCAGAAGCCAGCCTCAGTGCACCTCAGGGCCTGGGCCCCAGCCTTCACTCACACCCTGAGACTCCGTTGCACACTGTCACCTTCACACACACCCCCAAAGCAGGACTAGACCACAGAACTTCCCCTCTAGGCCACTTCTTGGCCTTGGAATCTGCACAGTGTTCTCTTCCTCAGAGGTTCTGGGCTTGGGGCAGGGAAGACCAGCAGCAGGTCATCTTTCTCTAACACCGATGTCAAGAAGTGCCACTGGGCCCTGCTGGGCATCCAAACCGGACGCCAGAGGCCCTGCCCCACTCGAGCATATTTGTAGTCGGTACTTCTAGACTATGAGGAGTGCCCCATGCCTCGATTTCCCCATTGGACCTCTGGCTTCTTTTTCTTCCCAAAGAAAAATATTTTCACCTTCTCATTGATCCTCCTAAGTTGGGGCATGGGAAAACACCTCATTAAACAGACAGAGAAAACCAGAGCTCAGAGAGGGAAGGGTCAGAGCTAGAAACTGGGTACAGGCACTCACTCCAACAGCCAGCAGCCAGTCTGTCCCGGAGAGGCCACCCACCTGCCTCCCTCTACAGCTGCTGGGTCTCCATTCCTATTTCTTCAGTTCACCAGGGTCCCATGGTGTTCCGTTCCCAGGAATAAACCTGATCATTAACAGGGGCCCCCTCAGAACCATGTGACTCTGAGCCAAGCACGGTGCTCTTGTCTGGCTCCAGCCCTGTAGACCTATTCTCAGGGAAGGACATATGGGAATGGATAAGGCAAAACAGCAGATAATGGACCAAAATGGGTATCACTGAAATGTACAGTTGTGGGGTACTATAGTTTAAAGGGATGCAAAGACATCTAGTCTGCCTTATTTTACAGAGAGGGGAACTGAGGCCCAGAGAGGGGAAGGGAGTGCTCAGAGCCACACAGCTGCAGAATGAACTGACTTCCATGCCCCTGCCCTTTGCCCTGCCCCAGGGGCTGCCCCGGACTCCCATGATGTCATGAGAGGTGGCTGCTGAGTGACTTCTCCCTCCTAGAGACATTGGAGGTGACATAGCACAAAGAGGATTCATTTTTCCACACGCAGTAGCCAGAAGCAACAGGGGTTAGGAAAGAAACAAATGTGTCTGGTGACAGGGGAAGCCCGCTCAGAGTTAAACCTGAGAGGCCAGATGAGAGAGCAAAGCCCTGTGCGGGCAGCTGTTGGGACTTGTGCCCACCCGGCCTTGGGCAGGTGCACACTTGGCTGCCAAGCTCAAGTGTGCATCTGAAAGCACAAAAGGCACTTTTTCTTTGCTCTGTCTGGTGGGAGAGAGCCGAGGAGCTCACGCCTGTGCTCAGACAGAGCTGACAAATGTCGAGTTAATCCCGAATTGCTTGCTTGGGATTAAAAAAAGATGGAGGTGGGGAAATGCATCTCTCTGGGTAGGAACGGGAGACAGGAGTGTGTTTGATGGCCTGGATGGAGTCAAGCCAAATATGTAATGTCCTCAACAGAGACCTGGAGGGGGGCCGCCCCTTTCTCTAAACAGTGACATGCAAGGCTTCCAGGCTGGGAGACAGAGCCAGCAGCTGAGATGGGAGAGCTGCTTCCAGCTGCGTCTCAGAGGAAAGGCAGGAAACAGAGGAGGTCGTGTTGGGAAGTGTGACAGAGGATGTGGGAGCCAAGGGCCAAGGCAGACCGAGGCTAGCAAGTGGAGGGGGCTGGGACGGACCGAGAGCTTCCTTTATTAAAAAAAACGGTTCATTCTTTACATTTGGAATAAAAACCTGTTGTAATTACCTAGCAGTGGGAAAGCAATTTCCAAGCAGCTTTATTATTCTGCTCCCCAACCAAATGTGCAACGAAACATTCACCAGGGAATAGCAGGAGCGAAGGCACACTGCAGTAACTATGATATTTAAATGTTTCCACGGTAGAAATTTCAATAAGGTTTAAATGAGCCATAAGTTGATTTCTCTCTGGATTATTTTTTCCTCCTTCTCCTTTATTACTTAAGACATTGTGCTCCTAAACCGTATTTATATGGTACTACCAAAGAAGTCCCAGTAGGAAACCTCAAACTTTATTTGTTGCCATTTGGAGTGCCTCTCTCCCAGTCCATGTCCTGGAGGAGATGGGCACCTTCCATCCACCTGAGACATCAGCTAAGTTAGCCTGAGGCCACAGGGGTCTCACCTCACATCCCAAAGGTGCTGCGGGTAGATTCCACCCTGGCTGGCTAAACTCTCCATGGCGCCCCACCCTGTTCTCAGTTGTACCTCCTCCAGCAGCAGTTGTCAGTTTATAACCCAGTGAGAGTAGACAGGGCTTTGTAAGATAATTTCTAAGTCCTTGAGGACCAAGACCATGTCTCAGGAATCCACTGCTGTTCCTGGCAATGGGTCAGGTCTGAAATCAGAACGTTTAGGATCTCCCTATATTATTATTAGATATATAATTCTTAGAATACCAGGCAGGTTCTAGCGTTAGTGGGAAATACAAAGAAGGGTAAACTATTCCACTAACTTAAAAACATCTGCTAATGGCTAAAGTGTATATAGCGCTACTATAGGTTAACCATTCACTACATATACATGTATAATTTCATTCAATCCTCACAGCAACCCTAGGAGGGTAGTTACCACTATAATCATCCCATTTTTTCAAATGAGGAAATGAAGGTACAAGGAGCTTAAGTAACTCTCCCAAGCTCTCATAGGTAGTAAGTGTTAGAGCTGGGATTGAACCCAGACACCATCACTGAGCACCCCACCGCCACCACACTACCGCACCAGCCTGTCCTGGATGCACCTACTCAAGTCTGCATTACAGAAACATTGACTTTCCTTGGAATTCAAGGATTTGAAATTTTCTGGATGAGCCAACACTGGAATAGATAAGTGAGACACTCATAGTGGTACCCTCCTTGGAAACCTTGAGGAACTGCAGAGACTACATGTCACGAGGGAAGCTCCTCCTTCTTGGAGGCAGAAAACTGGCAAAGACAGCCCCCTTGAATTCAGCCATTGTTTTTCCCCAGACTCTCTTGCATCTAGACACTCCAGTAAGCTGCTCTCTGCTCTTTTCAGCCCCATAGCACATGCAGAGCTTGGAAAGAATGAAGAGCTCTGAGCATGGACTTTAATTTCAAGCTTTGAAAAACAGGCCATATCTAGAAATATTTGGCCAGAGAAGTGCCTTCATGCTGAGTTTCCTGGTCAAGGCTGTATTTCAGGGGCCATTTGAGTCGTCCCTGGAAGCTGAGAGGCAAGAATGTAAACACTTTGACTCAGAACCACCGGTTACATGCAAAAACCCAACCTACCAACCTCCAAGCCAGGTCCCTACCAATAAATATTTATGGTACTTGTATTAGTCAGGGTTCTGCAGGGAAACAGAACCAATAGGATGTAGAGAGAGAGAAAGAGAGTTATTATTCAGAGTTGGCTCGCATGATGATGGAGGCGGAGTAGTCCCAAGATCTGCAGTGGCAAGCTGGAGACCCAGGAGAGTTGGTGTGTAGTTCCAGTACAGAAGCCAGCAGGCTCAAGACCTAAGGAGAGCTGATGTTTCTGTTAGAGTCCGAAGGCAAGAAAAGACCAATATCCCAGCTCAAAGCAGTCAGGCAGGAAGAATTTTCTCTTCTTTGCAGGAGGGTCAGTGTTTTTTGTCCTATTCAGGCCTTTAACAGAATGGATGAGGCCTGCCCACATTAGGGAGGGCCATCTGCTTTACTCAGTCTGCTGAATCGAATGTTGATCTCATCAGGAAACCCCCCTCACAGACACACCCAGAGTCATGCTTGAACAAATACCTGGGCACCCTGTGGCCTTGACCTAGCCAAGTCAACACATAAAATTAATCATCACAGTGCCCTTGCCTGGTACAGCTAACTCTGCATTCTCTACCCCTTACCCCTCAACTGCTGTTCCAGGGGGCAGGAGTATAGGGAGAGTGCTTACAGCATCCTCTTAGCTCCACTAATGAGGTCGCCCTTTCCCTTGGCCTCCCACATCTGTCGGCTTCAGCAGCCAGCTGTGTGGGTTAAAGCACCAACACTTGACAACGAGGGTGCCTCTCTTCACTCCTTACCCCTTCTTTTCCTCCCCAGACCTCACCCCACCAGGGGGAATGGAGCAGAGGAGCCAGGGGTGGGGAGAAGGGGCCACAAATGGGCCCTGTGTCATCTGTTGCCTTGGGCGGGCGCCACAGCAGGTGCCCTGGACAGGAGGAGGCTGGGGTGGAAGCAGAGTCCCCATGTCTCCCCTGTACTCAGCAGCTGAGCTCGTGCTGACTAGAAGCCCGTGTCTTATTAGGCATAATCAGGCCATATTGTGGCTGGCAGGAGGGAAGCGCATTTCACACTCTGGGAAATAGGATTCGGCAAAGAGACAGGAAGAGGTTTCACGTACATGCTTCTCTGCCTGTTAGTCTGAAAGTTGGCAGTGGCATCAAGCCAGAGGAAATAAGTACAGACTTCCCATTCCACTAACCCAGAGGCAAGACAGCACTAGGGCTCTGATGGGGGCTTTTGTCCCAGGCACACATCATCCCCCACCTGTTAGCTGTGTGACCTTGGGCAAGTTGCCTAACCTTTCAGTGCCACAACTTCCTCATTTGGAAAAATGAGAATAATAACACACCAACTCCATGGGGTGGTTCTTGTGATGATTAGATGAGTTAATATATATGAATTGCACATAGTAGGGCCCCGGTAAATGTTGGCCATTATTCTTGCCCATCAGCCTCCTCCTTTTGCTTCTTGAGATGTGATGATTTGGTTTTCTGCTAGTTGAATATCCACCACAAATGTACAGTCCAAGGCTGGCTCCCATTAGCAGCCAAACTTACTTCAAGAGGGGATGAACTTATTTCAAGAGGAAGGTCAAGGACTCTATCCCTCTGCCCCTGCTACATATCAGGAGGCTGGCAACCAACCACCAGCGGCCAGGTGGATGTGGGAATAATATATGAGATCCTCCATTATGACGCCTCTCTCCCAGCATGGAAAATAGGAGCAATGGCTGTTGACCCTTGTGGCACGAGATAGAACCCTTTCAGTTCCATCCTCATAATTCCCCTTTCCCTCCACACTCCTCTCTTCCCTGGCCTCATAGTCTCTCCTGGGCCTTCCTCACTGATATGGCCATGTAGGAAGTGAGTGGTCCCTCTAGTCCCCTCCTACAGGCAACTTAAGGTGCCCTGCCCTTGCCTCCCCATCCCCAGGGCACCCCCTGCCACCTTCTAGTGTGCACATAGGTGCACATGAACTGAAAGTGCTGAGGAAACCAGTGTGATGGAGCTTCAAGCATTTTTGGATAGAGGCAAATTTAAGACATAGAGGAACCTCATCCCAATTCCACTGTAGATCATTGACGCTTCAGACAAGGACAACTCGCAAGCCCCTGGCACAGTGCCTGGCACTTCACGGGAGTGCTCAGTATGAATTCACTTAAATAAATGAGATTTTTGGCTAAAATTGACCAGGAAACCTCTTTCTCTAGAATAGATGGTATCTCTGAGACATCCATTTCTTGAGGACAGAATTCTAATACTTCTTTGCATCTCCCAGAGCATTTAGCACAGAGCCTGGCACATACTAGGCACTTTTCTAAATGTGTTTGGATGGCTAAGTGAGTCAATGATGGGGCTCTGGAGCAGGATCCCAATCAGTCCATCCAGATGTGGAGCCATCCTACCCGGAGAGAGAACGATGCCGAAGGTCCCTGGGAGCCAGGCTTGATGCTGGAGGAAGCACCAGGGAACTGGTTGCATCATCATTAAGGGGCTTGTGATGATCTGCCACTTCTGGGCAGGAGCCAAAGCTCCAGCCCCTCCTTCTCCCTTAAGCCTATACATTTCCCTTTGCTCCTCTTCCCCCCTCTTCTTGCCTTCTCTGCCTTGGGGAGAGGCTGGGCAGAAGACAGAGAACAAAATCTGTCTCTTTGCCTACCCCTATGTTGTCTGAAAATAGTAACTAATTCAAAAGTCACTTTTCTTTGGCCTCAGAATAGGTCCCATGAGTGTTTGGGAGCAGATTGAACTTGCCTGGTTTTATCTTGCTTGGGCTGAAGTTAAAATCCAGTCACAATTCCTGGCCGCCCACTGGCTGAAGTCAGGGTAGGCAGCCTGGAAGCAGAGGTGTCAGATGGGGTGGGGATGCATTGTGGGAATTAAAATTGATCCGAAGAGGGCCTCGGAGGTGAATTAGCCACTCACTGGGCTGGGCCAGAACAGCCACCTTGCAGTGCTGAGTGCTTCATAGGCACTCGGCAAATGCACGCCACTGAGTCGCACTGGGCCTCCCATCACAGGGTTTGTCTTGTATCAATTCCAGACAGTATTTGGAATTATAGAATGTAGAATTCTAAACCGAAAAGGATCATTTTGCAGATGTGGAAACTGAGGCAGACAGGTGAAGGGACTTGCCCAAATGCACAGACTAAGTTGGGAGAAGGGGAATAGGCAACTGGTTCACTCCAAAGTTTCAGCAGAGTGGATTTAGCCCTTGAGCTATTATATAAACGTGACCTAAGGAGGAAATGGACATTTGGGGGCTAGTTTCCCTGCGAGTTGAGTAGTGGATTTCCTAAGACCTGTGTGTTTCTGATCTTTGCTGCCTCTCCGGTACCTACACTCTGACCAGAGAAGGAAAACAGCAGACAAGCACATTGGCCCTGTTTCTCTGCTGCCTCCATAACCATCCATCAGCCACAATTTCATGTTGAATGGGGCTGTGAGGAACTTCAAAGCTGAGATTATTACATTTTGTACATTACACTTCTGCCAGAGAGCTAAAAATACCATCCTGGTGGTTGCTAAGTGCAGGTCTAATGGTTTTCCTTAGCGGAAAGAATGGAATTCTAGTTTCTCTGAATCTGGAGGCCCCGAGTCCAGGGAAATGAAGACAAAATTATTGGAGCTGGTTGTAGAGTGTCCCAGGGGGAGGAGAAGCTAAGAGAGGCAACACAAGAATTAATTCTCCCCTGTGCCAGGGAAAATCTCCAGGGACTGATGTCCTCAGAGGTGCTGATCCCGGGAAGGAACACAGAGGAGCTGTGGCTTTCCTAGAGAATTCTCCCTGATCCTCAGGGTCCCCTTGGGGACCCAGCTTTCTGAACTTTCATTCTTGGAAACCTCACTCTTTGGTTTGTATAGAAATGGCCAGTCCCCAAAGCAGCACCTACAACCTAGTTATTTTAAGGGAAAAATATTGATTTAGGGAAATTAAGGAGGGTCTTGGGGACAGCTCACTGCCTTCATCAAGACCTGAAAATAGATCTAGGCTGTCTCCTAGTCGGTAAGTCCCAGAATTACCAAGTATATAGTCATCCCAACACTGTCTGCTTCCTCTCACCTGACACAGCCCTCTAACTACAAACAAAAACATTTGATTTATTATTTAACCAATACATCAAAAAAAGTCTTAGATCCAACTAGGAGGCTTGATCTCCCCTGAGAGATCCTCTTGGAGGATTCATGCATTCCAGTCACTGCCAACTCCTAGAACAGCTTCAACCCTCCTCCTTTGAAAAAGTGTCCAGCCCCAGGTCCCTGGAGCCACCATGGCCCCTCTGGAACCAAAGCGTCTCCTCGGGACATTTGATTCATTAGCTGGAGACTGTTGCCATGATTTCATCCTCCTGACTACCTAGGGCATTGAATTCATGTGAGTTTGCCTTCCCTATTGCAGGCTGATCAGTGGCCCTGGAGGTAGGTGAGGAGTTAGTTGGGTTGCAGGGAAGCTAGCCTGGAGCGAGATGTTTGAAGCAGTTTTTTAGCAGCTCCACAAAGGAAAGGCCCTGGGGTCTAGTGAGACGTTGTTTGTATCCATGTGGCAGTCAGTGGGTGCCAGGCTGAGAGCTGTGTACTCAGCAGAAGAAAAGGCGTGTGTGTCATTGTTGGGGGATAGGGGGTTGGTTTTATCTTGCTTATTTTGTTCAGGGAAGCATTGACGAGTTCACCTCCTTGCTCAGGCAATGATCACAAATGCAGAGTTCATCTTAGATGACTTCCTTGGGAAGAAAAAATAGTAGGAAAATAAATCTTTATGAGTAAGAAGTATAAGATTGCACTTGACTCACTACACTTGGCTCCACAGTTCTTTCTCCTGTCACCAAAAATCAATCCTGCTCTCCCGAGATGGAGATCTGCCCTCTTGGTAGACCACAGGCACTTTAAAGAGCAGACAAAACGCTCCAAAGGCAATTCCAAACAACAAAGAAAAGAACTTCTGGAAGTTCTCAAGCAAGGCAGCAACTCAGTCCCAAGGTGTCTATTTTGAAAGAACAGCGTATTTGAATGTGTATGTTCTCAGATGTTTGTTAAAACAGCCCCATGGGTTGCAACTCCTCAGCGGTCCATGCAAGAGGGGGAGCAGTGGGGTGATTCGTTTAAAACAGTGGAAAATCACAAAGCTCAGTGTTGTTTGACTTCCAATGTGTAGTGGGATACATAGATATTGTATATTTCTGACAGTATGTTTGCCTTACCAATTATGTTTTGCTTCAACCAGTATGGAAATGAGCTGCCCATCTGTGAGTGCGCAGCAATTAATGGCTGGGTCAGGCTGCTTGGAAGCTTTCTGAGTATGTGGAGCAATGGGTAAAACCTCACAGGATTTAACATTTCTACAGATGACTCGCCCAGTGTGTAATCCACCTGGGTATAATCGAGTGTTGGCTGCAATCAGATTCATTAGTAGCCCAAGAATTAAACCTACCCCCATCCCCAACCCCGTCCAATCATTCTCCGTTCTCCCCTGCTTGTGCCAGATATTTTATGAATCTTGAGTACCACAGGCTGCCAAACAGGCAGCTCTGCATCAGTGGCAAGGGGGCTAATCTATATTTGCATATTAACCATACTTCCCAGTGAATTTCAATAACTTGGAAATGGACATTTAGCAGCTGGGAGGGAGAAGGCATGTTGAGTGCTCAGAACAAGTCTATAATAAGCATCTGCTTGAGAGAGAGATCCTCTCTAGCCAAATGCCCAATGCCTGATCGGGGCCCTGGGCTAGGTCTGCAGCTGCACATAACAGACACTTAGCCTGTCTTCCCAGGTGGAGCAAGCAGCATTTCTGGTCCAAAACATCACTCTCTTATTCATAAAGTAGAGTTCCTAAGCTAGACTTCTGCCCACAATCCTTCTCACCCCAAGTAGGGCTACTGGTGTAAGACTCTCTCCTTCAGAAGATTTCACCCAGTAATTCCCACCACCTATCATGCCACAGGTGCCTCCATACCACATGCCACACCATTACATGCCTTGTTAATATGCTGCTAGGCAAGCAGTCCTAAGGAGGGCTGGTGCCACGTTTGTCCTGGCTAGATTTCTGTCTCCTGAGGGCAGGGTCTGTTCTTGTCTGAGTGCTTCATCCTTTGTACCACCACCCTCCACACACAATGCACACAGCTCCTGGAAGAGGGCAGAGACATTTCGAGGCAGGACAGGCAGGGATACTGCACAAGGGAACAATGTCGGGTAGGTGGCCCAGGCCAGGACTGGATCAGCATTCTCACCTGAAGCTTCTTCGGACACTGGGACCAAAAGAGGCATTAGCCAGATGCCACTGGGGAAACTGATCTTCAGACTCTGGGAAGCCCAGACATAGCTTCAAGTCAAAGGATCAGAGGCAAAAATAAAATCCAGGTTGCAAAACCAAGAGCTGAAGTTGAGAAGAGACAGCATCAGAGTGAGAGCAATGCCTAACATTGTACCTGGCCCAGAGTGAGTGTCCATCCTGGAGTTGTTGAATGAATGAGGAATGCTCCCTAAAGCCACGGAGACATCTGCCTTTGTAAAACTGATGAGTGTTCTCACTGGGTACATGGGAGTGGACAGGCCAACTTAAAGGGCCTGAAGTGGAATTGATCATAATTTTCTCTCTCACGGCCTCTTTTTCAGGAATCCCGGCTCCAACCTCTATAAATGTGTTGTTCATTTATTGTCTGGCACTAAGATTCCTTGTTTCCCATTTTCTCTGTCACTTTCTTTAGCCCACCCTAAAATTTTGCTCTCCTTCCATAAAAAAACACTCTTTCTCCCCAAAAAAGACGCAGTAGTATCCCTTCAGCCTCCTCATGTATCTGATCCTAATGCTTCTGTCCATGACTTTATGAGAGCCTTCTATACCAGCATTTCCCAAAGTGTGCCTTGTAGAACATTGTTCCATAGAATGTTAATGATAAAAAGGTTCACAGGTCAAATAAATTTAGAAAACATTGGATTTAACAAAATTAAACAAGGTTCTTCAGTGTAGGGCTTCTCTGTCTTTAAAGATACTAATAATGTGCATTCCTAGAAGGGAAATGCCAAATTTACTTAACCTCAGAGCACTTTTCTGTGGTGCTTCTGCTTCTTGCAGGACTAAGGGTCTGTGGAGCACACCTTGGAAATCTACGGTCTTGTCTTTTCTTTGGTGCCCCATCCTCTGTCCTCTTACCTGTAAAGTGGGGATAATAATAGTGCCCACCTTAAAGGGTTATTGTGAAGATCAAATGAATTAGTACATGTGAAGTGTTTACAATGTGTCTTGCACTTAGTAAGCATCACATATAAGGTTTTATTTTTAGTATCTTTGTTATTATTATTTCTGGCTCTTTTTAATCTACCTTTGGCCTTCGCTGCTCCACGGAACTTGCTCTTGACGGTACTGACCATTTCTCAGGCCCCAAATCCAGTGGCCTTTCCTTGCTCCTGATCTCCTTGGCCCCTGCAGCATTTGATGCTCAGTTCTCCCCACTTCCTAACACTTTACCCTTCTTTCCTTGGACCTCTCTTCACCTGCTCTCTCCTCCTGCTGTCTTCCTGCCATTCTGGTCATTACTCCTTTTGTTCCTCCTTTCCTCCACCTTATAAATTTAGGTTTTATCCAAGGATCATCCTTGACTCTTTTTTGCTCTTTCTCAACACTCTCCTTTGGAAACCATATCCAATTTCAAAGCTTCATCTGCCAACCTTGATGAAGGCAGGTGGTACCCAAATTAACTTCCTATCCCTAACTTCTCTCCTTAACTCCATACTGTCCTGCTTTTCTATCTTTGTGTCTCCACCTTCATTCCTTACAATCCATTAAACTCAATGTGTCCAGTGAGTTTATAGCTTTACCCCTTTAACTTTGTTCTTCCTTTCATGCTCCCTATTTCTCTTAGTGACACCGTTGTCCTTCCTGTCACACAAGCTGACTCCTCCTTGCCTCTCTCTAGGACCTACCAATTGTGTTACCAGCTGGCTCTGAACTCCATTTCCTTGTCTGTGTTTTCTCTGCCTCATCCATGATTCACTCCTTCATCATTCCTTCATTGCCTTGATAATCATAATGGCTTCTTAACCTGACGTTCCTACCACAGTTCATTTCCCACTGTGCTTCTAGAATACTCTAAAAAAATCATTATTTCATATCCTGCTTGAAAACATTCAGTTACTCTCTACTTACAGAACCAAGTTGCAACTCAAGGCCATTCACAGTATAGTCTCAGCTATCTTTCTCATCTCACCTCCCATTCCTTCTCTTCACAAACCCTTCACCACAACCCTCTGATATCTCAATGTGCCTCACATATGCCCCCATTCCTCCACATTTCAATTGCTGCTTTCTCCATGCAGTCACAGAGTTGATCCAGCTAGAGCCCGCCCTTTCCTCTTCAGATCTCTCACTGCACATGCAGATAAGTATGTCTCTTTGTGACATCCCCCTATGTGTGGATGTTATATTCCCGTTATATCCCTACTGTTATATCCCTACTAGGGGGATGTTATATTCCTTCAGGACAGGATCTATGTCTGACTCTGTCTGTCTTCCATCCCACATATGCTTTGCACAGGATAGTACCTCAATAGATGTTTGTTAGATTGAATGGATGGATAGGTGATTGGATGGAGGTACCTCTTTCTTCTTTTTGTGTCTTTTTTTTCTTTCACTGAGTGCAATCCCATGTACCATCTTCAACAAGAGACCCTGTAGCATCATATTTATTGGCTTATATGGCTGCTACTCCAGATCTTGGACTTGATGCTCCCTCTGCACAGATCAAAGCTCTCTTAACAAGGCACCCTAGCTGATAGCTCTCCAAGCAGTGCCCTCCTTGGATCCCTGATGCTCTTATCTTCAAAATGGCACTGGCATCAGCTGACCCTCTAATTGAAGCCATAAGCCTTTGTTATTCCCAGTAATTTCCTTCAGTGTCAAAGTGATCATCTGTCCTCTTAGTTCAAGCTAAGTCTCCGTCTGTGACACAGTGACTCTGATGTCCAGCATCAGAATGAGAAGTCCCCACCTCCCTTCCTTCTGCACTGCAATTGCCCCCTAATGCCTGCTATTAGCAAAGCCTGATAGAAAGCCAGTTATCAAGGCAATCCACAGAGTTCCAGCTCAGAAGAGAGAATTTAGTTGGAGCTGTGGCAGTAGGCAAGTAACTGGCACCATCATTTGCTGGGTCTGTAAGCTTGGGCAAGTTGCTTATCTTCTCTGTGCTTCAGTTTTTTCATCTTTAAAATAGGAGTAACAATTATGCTTACTTCATAGGGCCATTGTGAGGCTTAAATGATACAAGCAAGTGCTTGATAAATTTTACCTATTATTAGTCTGCCAGTATGTGTCTCAATTAATCTCTGCTTCCCATTCCACTCCCTCAAAAAACACACATACTACAGTTGTCCTTGATATTTATTTGATACAAACACTTTATTTCAGCATGTGACATGTGTGTCTGTACGTGTGTGTGTGTGTGTTCATTCTTTTGGAAAACAGCTTCACACACACAGAGTACGGACTTTACCAGGTATGAATCCCAAACCTGGATCCACCACTTACTGGCTGCATGTTAATCTTCACAGTAAAGACCCGTGGTCTTCTGGGAAATTGTAAAAGTTTATTTGTGAGCAGTTAATTTAGTGTCTTTACAAATCCCTTCCTCATCTGTGAAAGCAGGCTAATAATACTCCTTGCAGTGTTATTAAATGAGGTGATACACATGGAACTGACTAGCACAGGGTCTGGCAATGAGAGAACATAGTGCATGTTCTCTGTGTTGGTCTCAATTCTCTCTTCCTTCCCAACTGAGCACATTGGGCAATGGGTGGCTTGGAGCTTTGAATACCCTGTGACTGTCCCTATTTATTGTCCAGTTAGGCCAATCCCTGGAAGAATATGTGGGCCAGTATATGCAATGTGGCCATAACCCCAACTCATTCAAGATCCCATAGTGGCACTGGGGATGGAAGAAGGTGAAGTGATGCTGTGACAGAAAGAGCTCAGGCTGATGGACAAATTTGGATGAAGGTGAGGAGGAAGCTCATATCTAGGATTCCTGGGGGGTCCTAGAGGTGGCAGGAGGAGCCTCTAGGAGCTCTGTTTCTGTCTGATAATTCTGACAGCTTGTATAGCCCTGTCTCATGAGCTCATTTTTTAAAAAGTCTGAAATCGATAAAGCAAACTTTTTGAGAGGAAACATTATAATAAGGAGAAGGAAAGGGAGAAAGAAGCATTCTGATTTTAGCCAAGTACTGCTGGTACTTGACTTCCTGCAGTGAGAGGGCCCGTGGGCAGGATGGGCAGCGTGTGGAAGGAAGTATGGTGTGGAGCTTAAGGGGACAGGCCTTGGAGTCAAGGAATCCCAGGCTCAAATCCTGACTCATCACTTACTATTTGTATGACTCTGGGATGAAACCAGTTACGTTAGCCTAGGCAACATAGTGAGACCCCATCTCTACCAAAAATAAAAAGTTAACTGGATGTGGTGGCACATGCCTGTAATCCGGCTACTCGGGAGACAGAGAAGGCTAAGATGGGAGGATCACGTGAGCCCAGGAGTTCAAGGTTGCAGTGAGCCATGATTTTGCCACTGCACTCCAGCCTGGGTGACAAAGCAAGGCCCTGTCTCAAAAAAAAGAAACAGTTAAATTCCCAGGCCTCGGTCTCTTCAATTATAAAATAGAAATGATAATTCAAAGTGTTATTATGGAGTTTAGATAAAATCTATGCATGAAGCAGTATAACAAAATGTTGGCATATAGTAAATGCTTAATAAATGGTAGCTATTATTATAGTCAGCTGCTTACAAAAATATGGTAGTCCCCCCCATGCCCATGGGGGATACATTCCAAGACCCCCAGAGGCCACCTGAGACCACGGGTAGTACTGAGCCCTACATATACTATGATTTTCCTATGCATACATACCTATGATAAATTTTAATTTATAAACTAGGCACTGTACTCTTGTGTTTTGGGTGTTTTGGGGCCTTTATTAAGTAAAATAAGAGTTACCTAAACACGAGCACTGGGAAATGCAGCAGTTATCTGATAACCAGATGGCTGCTAAATGACTAACTGGCAGGTAGCGTGGACAGCGGATGTGCTGGAGGAAGGTTCTCATCCCGGGCAGGTTGGAGCCAGACAGCATGAGCAGGACAGCATGAGGTTTCATCACACCACTCAGAGCAGCCCACGACTTAAAACTTATGAATTGTCTATTTCTGGATTTTTGTCATTTAATATTTTCAGACCATGGTTGACCACAAGTAACTGAAACTGCAGATAAGTGGGGACTACTGTAATAGCAACCACTTATTATGTTTAGTTTGCCAGGCACTCTGCTAAGTGCTTTATGGGCCTCTTTCATTGAAATCTTCTAACAGCCTAATGAGGTAGATGTTAGGATTATTCCCATCTGACCAATGAGGCTCTGTGGCTTAGAGCGACTTCCTCCATGTCACCTTGTTTGTGTATGTAAGACCAGAATTGGAAACCAGGTCTGTCTGCCCCCATAGCCTGTGCTCTTACCTATGAAGACACTATGTCTTATACATTGCTAGGATTTTCACTGTGCTCAGAAGGGTTTCTTCCAAGTTCCTTCCAAATAATCAAAAATTCTACTCTTCACCTCTATCAAGGTGCCTGCCATGCTTTCCTTGGAAAATCTGTAGAGTTTTTAAAGCTTCTCCCTCTTAGATGTGCATACTACCCTAGGAGAGAGGGAAGAAGACTCATAAATCAACACTTTAGCAAGAACTGCTCCCCAGTGTGACCAAAAGAGCTCCTGTTGAGAGCACAGACCCCAGCCTTCCAACACCCCACTGCATGGAAATACAGGTGTTCCCATAGGGAAAGGGATGCTCTAAAAGCATCCTAAGGCGGGTTTCCCTTCCAAAGTCAGCCTCACCTTGGTTATAACCCAGGATTGGGGTGCTCTGCATATTCAGAAAATATCTAAAACATGTTGATTATAGAAATCAATCCAAGAGAGATTCCTGTTTTCAGTAAATCCTGATGCAAGCCCTTCAGCTTCTAAAGGGGCTATGTTTAGTTCTATTTGCATCCACAAACACACATTGAGCACCTACCTGATGCCAGGCATCAGGCATGCCAAGGTACCTAATAGGCCTCAACTCACTGGGTTTTCTACCCTAGGATGTGCCTAGAAAATGACGGGCAAGAGCTTATATGGTGGGACCATCAATTAAGGGCTTACTGTGGGGTGGGCATTGTTCTAAGCACATTTTACTGGTATCAACTCATTAGCGACTACTGCTGTCTCCTTTCTACAGATGAAGGAACAGAGGCCCAGAGAAGTTAGGTAACTTATCCAAGATCACACAGGTGACTAACTGGCAGAGCGAGGACTTAAAAGCAATAAAAAATATTTTTATTAGCCTACATAGGATTTTTTCATGATGTGCATTTAAAAGATCACAGTGCCCTTCAAATGGCTTCCTTGGGAAGCTGCATATTTAATCCAATGGTGCTGGCACTGGTGATTAGTTGTAGAATATCCCTCTAGAAATTGCCATTAGACCTGATTTAGAAATCAAAGAGGAAAGTCAGCTTTAATACATTAGAGTCATACTTTGTTTTGTTTTGTTTTTCTCAGAGTTGGGGGTCTCACTATGTTGCCCAAGTTGGTCTCAAACTCCTGACCTCAAGCGATCCTACTGCCTCAGCCTCCTGAGTAACCAGGACTACAGGTCACACCTCGTTTGTGACCCAAAATAACACTACTCAGCTTCTCAGCCGTGTGTGTGTGTGTGTGTGTGTGTGTGTGTGTGTGTGTGTGTGTTTAAAGAAACAAACAGGTCAGGCACAGTGGCTCATGCCTATAATCCCAGCAATTTGGGAGGCCAAGGCAGGTAGATTGCTTGGGCTCAGGGATTCAAGACCAGCATGGGCAACATGGCAAAACTCTGTCTCTACAAAAAATACAAAAATTGACTGGGCATGGTGGCGCACTCCTATGGTCCCAGCTACTCAGAAGGCTGAGGTGGGAGGTTGGCTTGAGCCTGGGAGGTCGAGGTTGGAGTGAACCTAGATCGCCCCACTGCGCTCCATCCAGCCTGCACAACAGAGCCAGACCTTGTCAAAAAAAAAAAAAAAAAGAAAAGAAAAGAAAGAAAGAAAGAAGAAAAGAAGGAAAGAAAAAAAGAAAGAGAGAAAGAAAGAAAATCAATGAAACAAACCTAGAAAAATAAAATGGTATTCATTCAATTTTGCTACAAACCTAAAACTGCTCTTAAAAAATAATCTACTAAAAAAATTAGAACTAAAAAATAAAATAGTGAAAAATATTTTATTTAAAAATTAATCTGCGCCCCCAAAAAGAAAAATTTTTTCAATTGAAAACATAAATGTGTTTGGGCCAGGCATGGTGGCTCACACCTGTAATCCCAGCACTTTGGGAAGCCAAGGTGGGCAGATCACTTGAGCCCAGGAGTTTAAGACCAGCCTAGGCAACATGGTGAAACCCCATCTCTACAAAAAAATACAAAAATTAGCTGGGCATGATGGTGCATACCTGTAGTCTCAGCTACTCAGAAGGCTGAGGCAGGTGGATCAGTTGAATCCAGGACGTAGAGGCTGCAGGGAGCCATGATCACACCACTGCACTCCAGCCTGGACAACAGAGTAAGACCTTGTCACAAAAATTAATAAATAAAACATAAATGTCTTTAAGGAAACCCCAAAAAAAGGATTCCAGAGCTGTTTTGAACAATAGCAATATAACTGGAATGGGTTGGAGTTGCTAGAATCTCTACTATGAAGGATCCTCTTTCAGAGACATTATTTCTATGTCTTTTGAAGATAATAATTTATAGAAACACAAAAAACTTCCCAGGACCCTGACCCCTGTTAGCACATACGGGCCATATTCTGGTGGGACATGTCCCTGACAAGATCCACTGTGATGAGTGCTGGCTCACTCCCTGTGTAGCCCTGACCTCTTTGGGAATCATTTAAATGTAACCAGCAACCAGCTCTCTCCCCTTATCCCTGCCTTTCTGTGAAGGTCCTCAAAAAGTAAAATACTGTATCAGTACCTACCCCCTACTGTAGTTTGGCTTCAATAGCCGAAGGCAAGACCTGTGGCCGTTCTGTGAATTCTTGTGTTAGGAAGTTATTGTGTGATTAAATAAGACTATGTGTGAAAGCAAGTAGCAGTATATCTGGCATACAGTGGCTACTCAATAACTATTAATAATAAGGAACTAGGTGAATATAACAGCTTAAAGTCACAGCATGGTTCACCCACCTCTACCTGATAGTGGGGCCTTAGCATTCAGCACCATGGCCAAGGACACTTTCAGACCAAGATGAAGATTGGGTTGCCGAATGTCTGGCTGTTCCTCGAACATGCCTGCTGCCCACCCCCACCACCCTGTGTCTGTTTCCTGTTTCCTGTGTCTTGCTTGTGCCTCTCTCGTATGTGAGCATTCTCTCTGTTGCTCTCTGACCATATTTGTCTCCTTCTATGCCTTTCTCTCCCTTCCCTTCCCCCCAACCCTAACGTATACACACAAACATGCACACTACTGTCTTACTCCTTGGGAAATCTCTGTTCTTTCCTTCTGCTCTGCCCATCTATGAGGCCAAGGCTGGGGACTGAAGTGAGGCCATCTGAAGGGCATAGTTTGGGAAGCTGCTTGACCTTGCTGAGTCAGGAGTTCCTCCTGAGATGCCTTCTGTGGTCCCAGGAACTGTCCTTAGTGGAGCAAAAGTGCAGCAGCAGCAAGGGATGATTGGGGTCTGGAGCAGATGAGGACAGCTAGGCAAATATTTTCAAGCTACATGAAAGAAAGCCTGCATGCAAGGACATCCTTTGTTTGCTCATCTGTGTTAATGGCACTACAGCCCTTAAGAAGCCAGATAACTAGAACTCAGCATAATTATCAAGAATTACATTTTACTGAAATACAAAAAAAGAGAGAGTGAGCGAGAAATGAATGAATTTGCAAGTTGTTCACAGCAAAGTAAGTTCTTACTGAAGGGAAATTCTTACCTGAGATTTCCCCTGGGACCCTCCCCTAGAGCTGAATGTTGAGGCTGCCCCACCAACAGCAATCTTGGGAGTACCCTCCACTGTTCCCACAAAGTTGGCTCTTGGGGCCTGATGAATGTGCTATTTCCCAGCTCTTATCAGTGAGTGCCATGTGGGACTGAGAGAAGAATATGTGTCCTTCTTCTCTTCTTCCCCATCCTGCCTTCCACACGCCCACCCCTCCACCACATCTAGCCCCACACCAGCCACCCTCAACATGACCAAAATGGAAATTGTGATCATTATGTAAACCCCTGCTCCTCCTCCTCTGCTCCCCATATCAAAGCTGCCCCCATTTATCTCATCATCCAAGGCAAGCTCCAAGTCAGCCCAGATTCCATTCTTTCCTTCCCACCTCACTCCTCATTTCAATCATCATCAAGTCTAGCCTCCCCACTTCCTCAGTATCTCTTAGACCAGTCTCCCATTTTTTATTCCCACTGCTACTTTTTAGTTAACCCCCCTCATCATTTCTCCCCTGGATTACTCAGTTGTCTTTCAGCTGGTCTCCCTGCATCCTGCTGCATTCACCTTCTAGTCCAGCCTCCGTTTTTAAATTTCTAAAACACAATTTAATTATGTTGCTATCCTGCTTAAAACCCTTTAAGTGCCTCCCCATTGTATGCAGGATCAAGTTCAAACTCTTCATCATGAGCCACCAGAGCCTCCCTAAGTCCCCTGTGACCTCTGCCTCTCCTACTTCATTGCCCCTCTGATTGCCCTTGCAACTCTGCCAGAGCAAATCGGTGGCTGTTTTCAAAAGCACAATGTTATTGAATGCCTCTGTGTGTTTGCATGTGATGTTACTTCTTGGAATACCTTTTCTCCCTTGTCGTCCCAGAAGACTCCCATTCATTCTTCAAGATTCAGATTAAGTGTCTCTTCCTTGCTGAGGGCTTCCTGCTTCTCATAACTTTCCTTTGCAACCCCACCTTAAAGATTGATTTAAATTTTCATCTCTATCATCGAGAACATAAGCTGTTTTTTTTTTTTTACTGTTTCCTAGACAAATAGGTTAGTCAATGTCTGGCACATAGTTGGTGAAAAAGAAATATGATGAAAGAATGAACTTTTAATTAGTCAGTCTGGGTGACCTTGAACATGTCACACAACCTTTCTGAGACTTAATTTCTTTGTCTAAAGATGAGGATAGTAATGCCTGCCTTGCAGGTTTGTTGCATAGATTTAATGAAACAAAATATGTAAGGCACCTAGCCCTGCCCAGCCCATTGTAACAATTCAATAAATGTATTTTCCTTGTCTTTTCTCTTTCTTCTTCTTGTTGCTATCATTAGTCCGCTTTCTATTCTAATCAAAATGGGCAGAGGCAAAAAGAGAAACCTCAAATGTCCAGTGCCAAGGTGCCTAGATGGGAACGGTCACGTATTGCCCATCTGGTAGGGACAAAGTGTCCTCACACCTCCACCTCTTACATCACCCAAGATCAACCAGCCCCTGGTCAGGATTTAGTGAAGGTTAACTAAGGTCTGGCAACAGATAGGTGTGCAGACTGATCACATGCCAGACACTGTTCCAAATGCTTTACCTATAATAGCTGATTCAGTTTCAAAACAACCCTGTGAGAGTAAATTGTTATTGTCCCTACTCTACAGAGAAGGGAACTGAGGTAAGGGAGGTTAAGGTCATCCAACTAGTAACTGGTAGAGTAAGGATTAAATCCAAACAATATTGCATCAGAGCCTATACTTTGAACTCCTACACGGTTCTTTCCTACACTGATTAAAGGGTATTGTGAGAACTAATGGCCACAGATCCACAAGAGAGCAGATCCCTTGCTTTCTTAGACTTGACGATATAATTTACAGACTCACCATATTAGAATTAAGGGTATACTCCAGTGGCCCCATTGCATAGTTTACAGTTTTTCATTGCAAAACTTATTTTTTAGTGAAAGGGTTGGGGGCATTAGCATTCGGCCCATGGCCATTCACTTTGTTTTTGTAAAGTTCTATTGAAACATGGCTATGCCCATTTATTTTTGAATTGTCTGTTGTTGCCCTTGCAGTACAGTGGCAGAGTTAAGTAGTTGTGACAGAGGCCTATGGCCTGCAAGCCTGAAATATTTACTATTTGGTCCTTTTTGGAAAAAGTTTGCCAACCCCTTCAGCTAATACTGTACTTTCAGCCAATGCCCTCTTGTCAAAGCAGGCTAAGAAAATCTCAATGACCCCAGATATCTGTCTGGGCAGAGTCTCTAGGGGCTGCTCCCTCCCCAGCCAGCGCCCTGCACTATAAAAGCCCTCGTTCCTACAGGCCATAAGGAAATGCATCATCTCCTTTAGGGAGTCTGTTTAGCCCAGGGTAGGAGCAGGCAGCTGCAGTTTGTGAGGCAGTAGCTCTGTGGATGATGTGGGGTTGGATTCCTTCTACTTATTTGGGGGTCCCTCGCATAACTCAGACCACAGGAGCCCAAATAAAGTGGCTGAGCAGTGCAGTCAAGACAAATTTCCTGACCCCACAGAGGCTGCTGGAGGCGGTCCGCTGATAGATGGCATAAGGAAGAATTTCTCAGTTGCCATCTAATCTGTGCCTGGGAAATAAATTGCTCTTGTCACTGGTGTCTGCCCTGGCCCTGCAGGCCCCTCTTCCCTGCAGAGCCCTCCCTGCACCTCCACCCCTGCTCTGCCAGGCTGGGAATGCTGCCTCAGGGAGTGGGGAAGGAGAGGAATAAGGAGATAGGAGAGGGTGACATGTTCTCTTCCACTGCCGGTGGGCCCCCTCCTGCCACCCGCTTCCCTCCGTAAACACAGGAACAAGGTCCTGCAGTGGGCCTGGGACAAGTCTTATGACCCCAGTTTTCTTATCTACAAAATGAAAAGCCTTTTAAAGTGATTTCAAAAACCTTGCCATTCTAAGTTCCTGAGACTGGGCTGGGGGAGGGAAAGGAAAGGGATTTGCACAGTTGAAGTTTAGAAGGATCCCTAAATCTACACATAAAGTACCTCTATGTGCCTCAATCTCTCAGCCTGAAGTTAGAGCACATCTTGGTTGGAACCCAGGGTGTAAACTCAGGTTATTATGGGTCATCGAGGGACCCTTGCCTGGACAGGGCCTCTCCTGGGAAACTTTCCCTTTCTCTAAAGGAAGCCCCTACCCCATTGTTATCTACGCCATCTACCTCTTTCCCCACGCCCCGCCCCCCTTCCTCCTTTCTGCCCTTTTGGTTTTCAAAAGGCAACCTCAACTAGTCACCACCTGAGAACTGGTGAGTTGACCCCATGAAGCCCTTTGGAAATGGGAGATGGTGAGAGGAGCTCTGCCAGACCCCATGAAGCCCTTTGGAAATGGGAGATGGTGAGAGGGGCTCTGCCAGACAGCTCCTGTTTGAAAGGGGACTTCCCTTGGGACACACAGGAGGACTTCCTTGCTGGGAGCTAAGTGTTTACTGAGGTGTCCTATCAATAATCCAGTAAGACAGGGACAGATGCTGGCTAAGACTTGGGCTCAAAGCTTTTTCTCTCTGGATGGAAGAACCCACATTAGCTGACATCCAACATCTGGTCAACCCGGGAGGACTAAATGGAGGAGGCAGTGTTTTAGTAGCCACCTGAATGAGAGAGGAGAGCTCACTTGTCATGGGCAAGGACAGAACAGGGGTCACCTCCCTGCTGAGGCAGACATAATCGCAGGCTCATCCTGGGAACTAAACTGGAACTGTCACTATGATTTCACAGTTGCAGCTCAAGGATAGATAGGGCTGAGAGGGAGCTTGGAAGTGTGGGTCATGCATTAGCAGCATGGATAGAACTAAATCCCAAGTTGGGGGGGTGGGGGACTGAGAAGCTGTAACCATGCTCCAAATTCCTCTCCCTCTCCTGAACACCTCTTCCCCAGGGGCCTGGATGCACAATGTTGGTCTTCTATCCTAGACAGAGCTGTCAGCAACCCAGTTTTTGTTAGCCACCTAACAAGTATCAATCAAGCACCTAAGCTGTTAGAAGCAAGTCAAACAGATCTGAGGACAGATCCCAGCTTCTGCGTTTATTAGTTGTGTGGCCTTGGTTAAACTGCTTATTCTCTCTGAGCCGTATTTCCTTATCTGCTAAATGAGATTAACAATAGCTACTTCTTAGGGGTTTTGTGTGGCTTAAATGAGATAACGTGTGCAACTTACCTTTTAGAGCACTGGCACTAAGTACATGCTCAGTAAACTAATTTATCTACCGAATATTTTGAAGTGCCTGCCGTAACTATTGTTGGTAGTATCTAAGACGGTGAAACTTGTGTCAACTTCAGCTGTAGCTATATCAGAATAGCACCAATGAAGTTATGACCTCAGGATCGTTCCTGATTGTCTTTAGGGCCATTTCCTGCAGCATGCAGAAGATTCCTTCCCAAAAAGCGTTAAAGGTCAGGGAAAGGCTCTCTCACACCTCCCGCCACCCTGGCATCATCAGTAGGGTGCAGGAGACAGGGTCTCCAAACCCTCATCTCATCAAATACTACCCACCTCCTTGGGCTATTGTGAGGAATAAATGACTTTATGCATGTAAAGAACTTAGGACAGTGGTTGCCATATGATACAAGCTTGATCGATATTCATTTTTGTTGTTTTAATAGGGCTCAGCTTTCATGGAAACAAATGGCATGTGGAGGGAGGATCATCCATCTCTCCATTTCCACTGAGGAGTGAAGTTGTAGCATGCAAGATGTAGGGTAGGCACAAGGAAGTACTTCCTGGCTGTATCCTATACATCCTGCTTACTGTGGCTTCTGTAAAGTACTGTCCAGACTCAAACAATGCCTAGAGTTGAAAGAAGGCAAACATGTCCAACCAAATTCCTGCCAGTAGTGACTCCTTTTGCCTTCTGGGCCCCGGTGTCCTTCAGGGTCTCTTCAGTGGTTCTAGCTGGGTTCAGGGAGAGAGTAAAGTACCACACTTGCAGGGCTTTGTGAAGTCATCCCATCCAACCTCTCCTTTCCCGCGATGCCAGTCCCAGCCCTTCCCTGGCTCACTGAGGTCTCTTCTCTTCTCAGAGGAGGTAATGCTGAGACCAAGATGGCCCAAAGAGCTTCTCTGTGCACTCAGAGGACCTTGGGAGAAGAAGAACTTCAAAAGGGTCAGCATTGCAACTCCCAGCCAGTGGCTTCCCAGCAGGAGCCTGACACATAGCATCAGCTCATCAGGGCCTTGTAGGTCATGCTAGAGAGTTTCAATCTTCTAAAAACAGTGGGAACTGAGAAACATTTTAAATAGGAGACAGACATGATCAAATTTGCTTTTTTGAAAGGTCACTCTGGCTGCTGTGTGGAGAAAAAAACTGGACATGAGTAGGAGGGAGAAATGGAGACCAGTGAGAGAGCTATTGTGCTGCTGGTCCCAGAAGGTCCCAAATGACAAGTTGACATTTGACCAAAGATCTGAATAAAGTTAGCCAAGCGTTTATGCCAGGCAGAGGGGAGGATAAGTGCAAAGGCCCTGAGGCAGGAGTGTCCTCATTTGATCCAGGACCAGCCTGGGGGCAGGGGAGTGTCTAGAGCAGAACTGGCCAAGGGAAAAGAGTAGGCATTGAGGTTAGAGAGGCAGTGGGGAGTCAGATCATGGAAGGCCTTGTAGGAGAGTGACCAACCACTCCATTTTGCCTGGGACTGAGGGTTGTCCTGGGATGGGGGACTTTCAGTGCTAAAACTGACCTGTGGATAACAGAACTGACCCATCCATCAGGCACAGGAGAGACTGTGCTTAGGGCCCACAACACTTTTAGGGGCCCATGACAATGTTTTAACTTTTTTTTTAATCAGAAGAAAAAATCAACATGATAATAATGAATTTAGTCTGGATTATATTTGTCTTCATTCCCATGCTATTTAAAAGTCTAATTTTTAAAAAGTTTTTATGGAGAAATGGGACCATGAAAGCAAAGGATCCACAAAAATCATAATGCAGCCCCCAAAACCATGATGTCAAGTCACCCTATCTCATAGGCCTTTGGAGGGACTTTGGCTCAGGATAGGTTGAACTTACTCACCTTTTACAGAGGAGAGAACTGGACACTTTGAAGCGTCAAAGTAAGGCAGTCCCTAAGAGATGCTGGTGGGTTTGCCCAGGGAAATGGCAAGGGAGAAGGGATTTGATGGAGTTAAGAAAAACTCTAATAGTGGGGTTTACAAGACTGGATGATTGTTTCCATGTGTGCCTTTGGTGGGCACGGGTGAGAAGGAGGCCTACGTGACTCTCAGTTCACTAACTTGGGCAGCCACATGTTTGAAGGTGCCTTTCGCTGAGATGTAGAACCGGCAGCCGACAACCTCCAGTAAGTCACGTCACTCTTCTGAGTATCAGTTTCCTGTCCTAATGGGGGCACTGCAGACCATCTCACAGCATTATTGCGAGAATCAGAAAAATTTTTTAATAACCCAAGTAAATGTGCCTGGTACACAGTAGGTGTTCATAAACATGAGTTGAAGCTTTCTTAAGGTCTAGTATCATTCATTCATTCTAGATTGCAAAAAAAGTGAAATTCATATATTACTAAGGTTAAATGTACTATTAAGAAAAATTCTATTAGAAGATGGAGAGTCAAGGAGGGGGCTCTTTAGATAGGGGGATCAGAGGATGCCTCCCAGAGGCAGCACCTGTGGACCAGTGAGTTCACCTGGCGCTGGGGAGGACCTTCCACCGAGAAAGGGGGCAAGCCTAGGAGTACTCTGGGTACCCCTAACAGGAACAGAGAGGAGAAGACAGCTGGAGTCCCCTGGAGGGCTGGGCCAAGCGGTTGTCAGAGGCATAGATTTGCTGAGGAGGCAACAATCACCACACTGTTCTTCTGACTGAGGGTTGCCAACACCCCCCATAAGCGACGGGTATTTACTTCTCCCGGCTGTACTGCATATGCTGGCAAAAGAAGCCTTCGGAGCTCAGCCAGGAGAGGAGGAGGACAACACTCACTCCATCAGCCCACAGGAACACTTCGTCCTGTCCCCGCTACCTGGGTCAGCAAAACCAGCCCCGTGCCCTCTGCACAGAAGCAGAATGGTGCAGACATCTCTGTCCTCCTCAGCACGCGCTGTGACCCCACGCCCAGGGCTGCACCTTCTCTCAGGGACTGTGGAGCCCAGAGCATCTGTAACACCGCGATGATGATCCTAGAAACCATACAGGGCTGCTGTGAGGCTTACCCAAAGTAACGAATATGAAAAGTGCTTTGTAAACTGCAAGGCGTTTTACAGATGTTCACTTACTATTTGTAAATGAAATCAATGAGAAGGCGCATGACGAGTGTCCAGGAACTGGGTGGAGGCAGAGAAGGTTAGAGGAGGAGGAGTGGCCACAAAGCACCCACAGGGACTGTGACCGACACAGAAAGACAGTGTGTCAAAGGTACATGAATAAACATGAGACGTCCTCGACTCCTAACTGCTTTAATTGTGCTCCAGTTAACAAGGTAGACAGGCAGCTGCTGGTTTCTCTCAGGCAGAAGAGGCCCTCCCCCTCTTCCTGCCCTGCTTAGCTGCTTGCCCAGAGGACAGGGGACAGGATCTCACAAGGTAGGTCCCTTTCCCTGGGTCCCCCTCCCTCCTCCATCCAGTCTGGCCCCCAGCTCCTTTGCACACCTTGACACCTAGCAATGCAGTCACTTGGGGCTTGGAACCAGTGCTCATAAGTAAGCTCTGCCAGATGCTGGGACAGGCCAGTGCTAGCCAGCAGTCACCTTTGGCAGGTGGGGCTGGCAGCAGGCTTCCTGGCGCTGACCCCAAGTCGGGCAGAGGCTCAGGATCCACCATGTGCAAGGGGGGGTCTGGCCTGAGGGAGGCTGAGAGAGACAGCAGGCAGGAAGCCCGGGTTTGGAGGGGAGGCCGAGGCTACCAGGCGACCACCAGCTGCCATTCTAGATTCAGGTTGTGCTTATTGCACATCTACTAAGTGCCCTGTGCACAGCACGCAGAGAGCTTCCACTCATGTTATCCTCTGTAATGATCACAGTCGCCCTGTGTGGAATTAGCAATGCTGCTATAGGGAGAAGAGCAGGGACCAAAGAGGGCAAGCAACTTGACCAGGGCCACACACAGTGCAAGGTCTCAAGGCTTCTGAGACCAAATTGTGTGTTCTGAAACTTCTGAAAACATCTCCCCACCCCACATCCATGCCCTCACCAAACTTACTGTGGACAGTGAAAACACCCCTGCTATCCTACCTCTTCTCTCCCCTGCAAGGCAGGTGCAGAGTGCGGAGGCAGTCCCTTGGGTATTCATCAGGGAGGGTCTCCGTCCAGGTCTGCTCGCCATCCTTCTCCATCCTGGCTTCTGGCTGGGTTTGGCCAGTGGGGGTCCTGGCAAGAGCCTGGAGGGAGAAAAGAGGGTGAGGTTGGGGTACTCCCTTGGCTGCCTCCCTGCAGGTCATCTGGGACTGGCTCTGCCCCATAGTTGAAGGCCATAGCTCCTCTTGAGGGGGCCGTTTCTATGATTCTCTTCTCCTAGGCTTTGGTCCCACTCCCTCCCCTCATCCAGTTAGCCTAGATGGTGACAGTGCCACTTTACTTTCCTTTGAGTGGAGCCATCCCTCGTGGTTTCTGTAGACCCTGCCCACATCTCTGTAGGCAGCCCCTTTATAAACCTTCTCCCATACCCTGATTTGAGTGTGCCACCTGCCTGGGGTGGAGGTGTGCAGCAGGGGGTTATGGAAAAGGTCTAAGGTGAGAGATATGGTCCTCCTAGACCCATATAGAGAACAGGATGCTGACTCTGACCTATGCCCCAAGGATATGTACCCCAAAGCTTCCCAAATTTCAGCAGTTTGGCCAGAGATCCAGCAGCCTCCTTGCTATCGGAAGATCCCCTCCACAGCCTTCTCAGGCCAGGCTGGTATGTGGTCATTAGCATAAGACAAAGACTCAGCTCAAGGACCATCATGATGTAACCAAGGTGTGAAAAGTAATTACAAGCTGGTGATCAGAGTCACCCTGGGTTGCACTTGCTGGAACACGCCTCCCTGACCTTGGAAGATGAGGGGGATGAGTTAGCTTTCGGATAACGGACACTGGGAACTCATACTCAGGAGGGAGGCTGGCAGGCTTGTCCCCATGAGGGGAATATATGGGACTGGAGGCTGCCCAACTGGACATTCTGGGGCACTGCAGGATTGAGAAGCAGCCCAGGCCTTGGAGCTCCAGAACACAAAAGGGGAGCTCTGGTTGTGAGGTTTCAGTCTGGGTTTGACCTCAGCTTAACCTCCCCCATGGGCCTAAGGATCTCAGTTTCATGAAGTGGACCCCAGGGGGTGGTGAGAGCAGCTGGCCAGACCAGGATGGAGACAGGGCACAGTCAGGTGAGCCCTTAAGCGGCAGGACTGACGAAGCCACAGAGTGGCAGGTACCTTACTCTGTGACAGGATGCCGGGGATGTAGAAGGTCCCCAGGAAATGTGAGTGAGATTCTCCAGGTGCTTTGAAGTTCCCTAATGGCACTGACTAGACAGCGAGGCCTTGTTTCACCCCTTTTCAAAGAGTAGCCCGGCACCAGGAGGCCAGGAGGCTCCAGCTCAGCAGCTAACCAGTGGGGAAACACAGGCAGTGCTTTTGGTAACTCGAGGCCTTAGTCCCCTCATCTCTCAAACAGAGGAGACATCCACCCTGAGACTGATGGATGAAGCAATTTGCAAATGTGGGAGATATTTTAGTAGCAGCAACTAAGAGCAGGATGTGTGTGTGTCACAAAGAAACACTTTGTACTGCTGCCCTTTCACAGCCACTCCTCAGAGAACCAGCCTCTGCCCAGTGGCAAGGGTCAGTGTCTCACCCGACGCCTGCCTTTCCTTGCCCCTCTGACCCCTCCACTGGACAACCGACTCACCTCCCACAGGTCTTGGTTTCTGCCTTTCTGCCTCTGAGCTCCCCAAAGTCCCTATCTAGGCTAAGCCCCTCTAGCCACAGCAGAGGAGAAGAGATGGTCGTAGCCCAGGGGGTCTCCCTGATGCCTCCATCTTCTCAGAGTGCCTTGAAAATACATCCTCCAGCTTGGGTGCCAGATTTCACAAATTAAAACACAGAACAATGAAACTTTTTAGTTTAAATATGTCCCAAATATTACATTATCTGAAGTTCATATTTAACTGGACATACTATATTTTATCTGGCATCTCTACCCCCTGGTCAAGAAGGTTTCCAACTAGAGTCAGCTGCCAGGTGCCTGCTTTGGTGAGCGGCCATGCTCTGAGCAGTACAACATTCTCAGCTAGGACCCTCTGTGGGCCACAGGCCATTTTTTAGAGCAGGAGCATGAGGGGCCCCATGTTCTGACAGGCCTTCTGTACTTTTTCAGGCTCAAAAAACCTTCAAACAATAATCCACTCAGCAGATATTTAGCAAACATCTACCTTATATGAACCACTCTCCTGAGCACTGGAGCTACGCTGGTGAACAGAGAATAAACAGCCTCATCTCTCATAACTATCGTGTTTGGAGCAAGTACCAAATGCCAAGCACTGTATTATGCATTCTAGAAGCCATCTCATGCAATCCTCACAAAAACTCAAAAAGGTGGTGTTTTACAGATGATGAAACTGAGGTTAATCATTTATTCATTCAATAAACCGTTATTGAGCACCTACTAGGTGCTGGGCATTATCCTTAGTGCTGGGAAGACAGCAGTGAACAAAGCAGATGAACCTCACTGCCCGCATGGAGCTTACACTCTAGTAGGGAACAGGGGTGGGGACACAGGAATGAGGAAAGAAAGCATCATGGACCGTGTGTGAAAAGATAATGAGTGTTATGAACAACACAAAGCAAAGAATGAGGCTATGGAGTGCCGGGGTGGGCTTTGTGATTCAAATTAGGGTAATCAGGGGAGGTTGCCTGACAAGGTGACATTTGAGCAAAAATGTGAAGGAAGTGAGGGGAGGTTGGGAGAAGCAAAGGAGATTCCCCCCAGATTGTTCTGGTTCTAGAGCTGGGTTCCCAATCACTATGCATTGTAGCTCACCAGACCTCAATTGAAGGTCTGCTGCCTGCTTGCCACTTTCACATACAAGATTTCATTTAATCCTCACACCAGAACGACCCTGAAAGTTAGTTTTATTGTCACACTTTCCCAGAGAGGGGAGATAAAAATGACTCAAAAAAGATGAAATGACTTGCCTCAAGTTGTGATGCTGGAAATTCCAGCCCAGTTGTTCCATTTCCAAGTCCACCAAGCACAATGGGCTCACCCTGTCTGCACAGCCTTGCACAACCCACTGCATTTTCTAAGCCTCGATTTCTCCACCTGGAAAGTGGGGTTAGTATCATTACCTATCTCATAGCATTGCCGTGAGGATCAGTGGATAATTCATGTAAAGTGCCAGGCTCCCTGCATGCATGCTGTTACTATGACTCTAAGAATCATGCTCTACTTATCACATCACCGTGGAGGACCAGGGTTAAACAATGTGGTGCTCAGGACTTGGGGAGGGAAAGGGTGCTGTGGGAGAGCAGGGGTCGGGGAAGTGGAGGAAGCACGGGCAGAGCGGAGCTGAAGAAAACCACCACTAGGCAAGCCCACCTGCCTGAGAGCGGATGAATGAATGTTGCTTAAACCTAAGTGGTACGACTCAGTGATTGTAATTACACTGGATTGAGGTTATGACTTCAGCAATTTTATTTTTCTTTTGGAGGTGCTGGCTCATTTTTTATGCATGCACAGGAACTAATTGCATCCCAGAGAATGCTCTCCGCCTGTTGGTCTGGAGGTGCGCTGCCATATGCTTGGTGTGTGCGTAATTAACCCAGTGCAGCTGCACTCCCCTCTGTCTGGATTATGGATTCGATTTCAGTTTCACTCTCAGGCAAGAGGCCCACAATCCCTATTTATTAAAATGATTACCCCTTAAAAGAAGGTGCCGGAGACAGAGCCCAGCACCAGGCTGGAAGCTGTCTGGGCCAGGCTTATGTAGATGACGCCTGTTGCCAGCATGCACAGCTCAGGCTTAGTCCCTGCCGGCCCACAAAAAGGACTCCCCACCTGCTAGGCATGTTGCTGAGCAGGCCCCACAGAGGGCTGAGGGCTGCAGGCTGCCTTGAAGGCATTTGTAATTTCTTGTTCCTGGGCTTGCTTTGCTTTTCCAGCCCCCACTCCATCTTCTCCCTGCCAACCTTCCTCCAAGTCATGACAACCACTGACCACTCAGACTTTCCAGAAAAGTGCTTTCAGCACCTGGAATAGGGACTTAGACATAGTAGGCACCTGATTAATATTGGGCAACGCAGGTGACTAGGATGAGAAGAGGACAAAGAAAAGCTCCATCCATCCTCCAGGGGAGAAACCTGAGCCTGTGACCCACGTATTTTGTGACCTCCACAAATAGTTGATTATCCAGACAGTGGCAGCTGTAGAGATTGATGGGTCAGGTACTCCTGGGAGCTTAGAGGCAGAGACAAGAGGAGGCTATAGGGAGCCAAACCAAGTTGCTGGCTGTCGTGGTAAACATCCTTTGCACCTTACTGCCCTCAGCAAGTGGGCAGTGGCTCTGAGGAGTCTCTCCTGGAGAATCCAGGGTCCCTGTTGAGCTGTGAGCCACTCTTTGTTCCATAGCCACGGCCGCCTCATGGTGGTGATTCACCCCACACACAGGCACTGAGTGTTCGCATTGTGCCAGATTCCCTGCTAGGTGCTGCGTTGGGGAATACAAGAAGAATGAGGAACAGGCTTGGTCCCTGAGGAGCTCACGTCTAGTGAGGAAGACAGATAAGTAAACAAATGTTTGCAATACAATGGGGTAAAGACTGTAATGCAGGCATGTTTACAGAGGTTTGAACACAGAGAAGGGAGTGACTAAATTTGCCAGGAGGAGTTGTGATGAGATTGTTGAGATTTTCATTGAGTACAGATGAGTTTTGGGGCAGAAGGGAGGCAATGACATTTCATTTATTCCACAGAGGTATGTGAGCTGGGTTAAGCACTGTGCTGGCTTTTAGAAGATGAACAGTCCTTAAGGACTCAAGGAAACTGCATTCTAGAGGGGAAGACTCACACTGCGCTCATTGACTCAGCAAGCATTTATCAAGCACCTACCACATGTGTTAGATGATATGAAGGTGCTTAGACACAGTTACTGCCCTGATCTAGAGGAAAGACGGACAAACAAAATCATTATAAGTCAGTGGAATATGTCCATCACAAGAAGAGCCTTTTAAAGGTAAGAGAGAAAGAAACAATTACTTATGTGGAGTGGATAAAATAGCAGCTCAAGGAAGACTTCCTAGGAATGGTTATGTCCAAGTTGGGTTTTGAAGGATGATTAGGAGTTGTCAGATAAAAAGTAGCAGGGGTGGGGGTTATTAGGTCAGTGGGAATGATTCTAAGGACATTATAGGGACCTAAACAGCTGCACAGTACAGGAGCTCAACAATAACATGGATGAGAGATACACAAGGAGACCAACATTGAGGAGAAACCTAAGTGCCAGGGTCCTGTTACAGAGAGTAAACCCCACACGGGGTTTCTCATGTGAGAGACATGCTCAGTTCCATCTTCGCAGTTGTGGTTTGTGCCCTATGTGTCTGTGTCATGTGGGTGTTTGAACATGGGGCCAGCCTTTTTCTGCCGCCAACAATGTCACTGGTCACTCTCCCAGTCCCTGGCTGAGAATGCTCAAGGGCCACTGCTTGGGCTTCTTGTGAGTTGAAGACAAACACGAGAAAGTCCTGGTGCAGTGGTCCCCAGTGGCCAGTGGCCGGACCAGCCATGTCAGAATCCCCTGCGGGCTATCTTCACACACAGCTTCATGCCTCTGTCCTGGAGGTTCCAGTTCAGTGCGCCCAGGCTATGACCCAGGGTCTGTACATGTTAGGCTCCCAGAGTGATTGTGATGAGACCCCTTCATCAAATATCCCTATATTGTTCACAAGGAAAGGAGGGTCCACTGTGGGGACATTTCAAGGGGAAGGAGGCCTATGGGTCAGCTGTGAGGGGTCCCCAGATGGCACAGCAGCCTCCAAGGATTCCCGAGGGGGTAGAGGCTCAGGAGCTGTGTCCCCAAGCACACTGGGGTGGGGGTGCTGTCAGTCGGGTTGTTTAGTCACTGATGATGATGCTATTCTTAGCACTCAGGCAATTTGGGCTTCTCTAATCAAGGAGCAGGGAACAGGCCAACTGAGGGTGCCAGGAGATTTGAAATTCTATGCAGGGCCTGTTAGGACTAGACCAGGAAAAATGACATTTTTGGGCAGGGATTGGTTAGAGGAGAATCAGATATTCTCCAGCTCTGCAGAGAAAAGGACAGAGTTAAAGGTGGTAAGATGCAGCAGGAAGGAGCGCGGTGAGATGTCTGATGAGTTATGGGCTCTCTGGTGGGTTACCTAGGCAAGAAGGTAGGCTCTCTCCTCTGCTCTCAGAAAGTCGAGAGCTGAATCAGGCAGGGAGATCCGATGGAAGATATGGAGGGCCCACGGGGAGGAGGCTGGGTCTCAGATCCAGAATCCTGTCACAGGAGGGCTGGAGCATCATACAGGAAGTCACATCCCAGAAAGAATGCATAAAGGGATCAGAGAAGGAGCCAAGCCACAGAGGAAATCAGTGCCGGCAGGGGACAGGGCCACGGAGTTTTCAGGAGAACAGATAAGCAAAAAGACACTAGGTTGAGCCAGGCCTGGACAAGCTAAATGGCATCTTTGTGCAAATTAGAAAAGGTGCTTCCCTCCACCCCGACAGATATAGCCATGCAGATTTCAGCCCCTTCTCAGCCAGGACCTGCACAGTTGTACCAGTGGCCTTGAAGCCGAGCTGCTACCTGGACTCCTCGGCTTCCCCCATCTAGAAATGGGATTGTACCCAGAGCTTGGTCTAGGACTGCTCCTACAATACCCACAGGGGTAGAGGGACTCAGGGGCACTGGGCCAGGCCTGAAGCCACAGGTGTTCCTTTCACAGAGGTGGGATTCCTTGAGTCCTTGGGAGCAAGAGACCCACCCCAGGGGGCAGAGAGGAAGATGGGGTAGGCTGGGTAGGGACCCTGAGCCAGATCCCCTGGGCTTAGCCCCTGCTTGCTGCTTCCCGGAGGCTGAGTGCTGTTTCTGGGTGCTGTGGCACAGCTGATGGCTGGCCAGGTCACAGCCTCTGTCTTCTGCTCACCAGGAAAAGGGGAAATTAAGAGTCGAGAGTCACTGAGGAGTTTTTGGTGGTATTGTAGCAGCACCCACTTTGGGTAGTTTGCTGTGTCTAGACAGTGTTCAGGCCCAATCAATACACCACCAGTCTCTGAGGGCCACCTGCACCTGGCCAGGAATAGACAACAAGCAGAGCACAAGTGAGCTGCCCAAACCTCCCACGCCTGTGCCTCGAGGAGGAGGGAGCTACAGGGAGCGGCGGGGGAGAAGGAGAGGAATCAGAGAGGAGGAAAGGAGAGGGAGGGGCAGGAGAGAACTGGGGGAAGGATGGAGATCAGCCTGGAGACTGGAAGACAGGGGAAAAGGGAAGAGCAAGGAAGAGAGGTGCCCCCAGCCCCTGTGGATGAGGCAGCCAGCGCTCCCTGTGGACAGCACATCCCGCGTCCCTGGCATCCTTCTACTCTGGCCTGTGCCCACCTCACGTCATCTCCACGCCCTACAACGTCAGGTCTTACTATCCACATCCTACAGGCAAGAATGGAAGCTTGGAGAGGTGAAATAATTCTCCCAAGGTCTCGGAGCCAAGAGGAGGCAAAGTCAGGACTTCTGCTGGGTGGGCCAGCCCCAGGGGCCACGCACCATGCCGCCTGTAACCAAGCCTGTGTGGCTCTGTGAGTGCAGCCCTCCTGGGCTTGTGCAGTGCCTAGGGAATGGAGTCCACGGTTTCTGAGGCCTTCAGGTTTGGCTTGAGTATCTGTGAGCCTATTTGTTTGCAGCTATATAGACAGATACCTGAGAGTCACTTCAGGGTGGAGATCAGCACCTAGGGGAGGGGGACAGGAAAGGAGTTAGTCATCAGGAAAGGAGCGGTTAGTCCCAAAGCCCTGGCTGTGTGACATTTCCATTGGACTTTCTCGAATGCAGAAAATGGTCTGTAGGTGCCCACCCACAACCATACCCCTCTGGGGTCCCAGGGTCAGGAACTCAGCACTCTATAGAGCAGACTACACAGACATGAGTTCTGATCTCAGGTGCTGAGTCTCAGACAGCCTTTGTCATGCCCAAGATCCAGCTCCCTTCCCCGTGACTGCACTCCCTTAGTATCAGGGACTTCCAGGCGATCGCGTGGCTGAGGAGTGGGCCATGAGCGAGCTGCTCGAGACAAGGCATATGCTCCAGTCTGTCAGCTCCCTCAGTGCCTAGGACACACAGGTCCTCATGAAACACAGGCAATGTCTCAAGAAGGTGAGGTGGCAGCAAAGGAGCTGCTTAGCCCTGCCTTGACTGCACAGTGGCCTGAGGGGAGGCCGTGGGAGAGGCGAGGCCTAGGCAGGTGCTGTCATGGGAGCTCAGGGAGGGGCTGTGTGATTCCACCAACAGCTCTGTCAACCTGGGGCAAATGATGTGACCTTCTCCCTGTCGAACTTTTCCTCTGACTTTCCCCTTCGCTGTCCTGGGATCCTGCCTGCAGTTCCAGGACTCCCTGCCCTGCCAGAGGGAAGCTGGAGCATTCTGTTCCCGCCATCCTCCCTCTCCAGCTGCTGCAAACAATTAAGCCCAGGACAGCCATTACCTCGTGCTGAAGGGCCTGTATTGATTAAGGATAATTATATTTACTCTTTGGCAGTGTGAGGCCTGGTGGGAATATTTTTTGTTAATTTGCTGCTGCTTGCCCTCAGGAATGGGGACTGATACACCCAGCCCCACGTAGATCACGCCTGCACATATGCACGCGGGCACGCACGGCTTCACTGTTGTTGAATTACTGTAAATGCTCATCTAAGGCCCATGGCATTCTGGGCTGCCCTGCCTGACGTGTTTATTCCAGAAAATAACATGGAAATGGTTGAAGGAAGTTTATTTTCTTTTGGCCATTTTTATCTTGGATAAGAGGCATAGGCGAGCCCACGTTGCAGCAAAACACACACACACACTCACACACACTCACACGCTTTTCCTCCCTCCCTCCTCCTCAATCAATATACTTTTGTAACCTAATTTCTAGGAGGAAAGGTGATACAGAGGTGTCTCTTTGGCCTGTCTCTGTGATATGAAAACCCCAATACTATGGGAAGGAAGATGGCCCTGCTGCCCCTCCTTCGCCTGCTGGAGAGCATCTTCCCGCCTCTCGGTTTCTCTGGCCAGTTTGCCCTGCCTCCCTGACAGCACTCCTCGTCATGGGGTTTTATTTTGGTCAGGCATGAGCATGCCTTCCCCTCTTTGTAGGTTATAAGTGCCTGTAGATATTTGCCAAGACTGGGCCAGGCACTGGGCTTGAGCTGAGAATATGGAAGCAAAAGGTGCCGTCTCTGCCCTCGGGTGGCTCACAGTCCAGTGAGGGAGACCCAGTAGGAGAACACAGGTACTACCGTGCTGTGAGTTAGAGGCCTGCGTTCAAACCTGAATCCAGAACTGCCCAGGGCTGCTTCATTACCTAGGGCAATAGCTTCTCTAAGACTCAGTTTCCCCCCATTGTCAAATGAAGATGACAACCCCTGCTTCACAAAACTGTTGTGACAAACAGTACATGAGGTCATGTCTGTGAGGTGCTGACAATGCCTGGCACATAGCAAGTGCTCTGTAAAAGGTCATTGTGAATGCTCAGTAGATGCTGACTATGTCCCAGGCAGATGTCCTGTAGACTGTCCCGTATAATCCTCGTGAGAACCTTATGAGGAAGGGGAAGCATGAAGAGGCCAAGTGACTTAACCTGGGTACATAGGAAGCTGAGATTCAGCCCCAAGCTGTCTAGCTCCATTGTCCATAGGCTCAACTACTGTGCTGTTCTGTCCTGCACCCCACCCCCAGGTAACATTGGCTGCCATTCTTTTATCAGCAGCAGCAGCAGCAGCAGCAGCAGCAGCAGCAGAGAGTGTCATGGGTGTACAGAGGAAAGGTATCTTACATAACCCGGGGAAAGTAACATCAGGGAAGAGCTCCCGAAAGAGGATAAATGGGCTTTTTCTGGCAGAGGGAACTGTGTGTTCAGTGGCCCAGAAGTGAAAGAACACGGAGTGTTTGGAGAACAGCAAATATTTCAGTATAAGTGGATGATAGTTAGGGTGGCCATATATCCTAGTTTGTGTGGGACTGTCCTGGTTTACACTTATTGACCAAGCTTAATTATAAATAGTCCCTCATTCACTCACAGACAATCCCAGTTAGGATGATAAATTATATGGTCACCACAATGCTAGTGTGCTGGTAGGTAACAGGGAAAGGCAAGGAGCAGGGCCAGAGAAGTAGAAAAACAGAGCTTTGCAAACCCACTGAGGCCTCTGATTGTATCTGGAAGGATATGGGGACTCACTGGGAATGGATTCTAGAGAGACTAGGCTGAAGCCAACCAGACCTTTAGGATATGGTGGTGCAGGGGGACAGCAATGTTGAAGGCATTATTCAGGAAGGAGAATCCACAGAATTGTTACCAAGAGGCAGTGGGGTTAGTGGGTAAGAAAGAGCATGAAGTCTAGCACCAGGCTCACTAGGTTCAAATCCCAGGCTGGCCACTTACTAGTTCTGTGCCCTTGAGTAAGTTATTTAATCTCTCTGTGTCTCACTCTGTTTGTCTATGAATAAGATATAATAATAGAAGCACCTCACAGGGCTGTTGTGAGTATTCCATAGAGTTAATATAAGACAATTGGAACCACACGTGGCTCACAGCAACAAGTCAGGGATGACTCCTTGGTCTCTGACTTAAATAACTGGAAGGGAATCTTGAGAACAGGAGGAGACCCTGGGGTATTGGGGGCGGGAGGGTGATGGGGAGAGACAGTAAAGCTCCATTTGGGATATGCTGCATTTGAGGTGTCAGAAGTGAGTGGAGCTACTGGATAGGTAGCTGGACATGCCAAGTCTGGCATCCAAGGAAGATCCAGGTTAAGATTCCAATCTTGACATCATCTGCATGTAGCTGGGAGTGGATGGAGTAGGAGAAGAGAGCACTGTGGGGAGCCTTTAAATTGCAGGTGGAGGAGCCTATGAGAAATGTGAGGTGTGCTCAGAAAGGCAGGAGAAAAACCAGGAGAGAATTGTTTCCCAGAAGCCAGGAGAATTGAATTGCAACAGGAGGGGCAGTTTTCAAGTGTTAGATGCTGCAAAGAGGCTGCCAAAAACTTTGCTCTTCAGACTGAAGAGCGCCCACTGGATTTAGCATCAGAGGCCATCAGTGACCTTGGTGAACACATTTCACTGTAGATGGCAGGGCTTACAGTGTGAATGGAAAGTAAGGAAGCCGAGAGAATGCACGTGGACTGCACTGAAGAACCTGGGCTATGAAGGAAAGGGGAACAATAACAGCAGTATGCAGGGTCAAGAGAGGTGTGTTTGTCTTGAAGGAGCACAAGCGTTGAGCTTGGGAGAGAATAGTAGAGATGGAGAGGTTGAAGAAGATGTCTGATGAAGGCACAATTGCTGGAACAAAGTCCTTGAGGAGGCAGAAGGGACCAAGATGCTGGGTGTACCAGCAGGATTAGCTCTGACAGGAGGAACGCTGCCTTCTCCAGTGACATGGAGGGAGAGAGAGAAGGATGAGAGGGGACACAGGTAACTGTGTGCTGTGTGTATGCCAAACATGGAGAGGTGGGTGGCCACCATTTTCTGTGGAACATCAGAGGCAAGATCTTCTGTCTCAAGTGAAGGGATGGGAGTGAGGAGGCTTGAGGAAAGGGATGAACATTTGTAAAAGCTGTGTGGAGAATGAAGAAAGTGTTTCCAGAGGATAGTCAGGGACCTGGGCAGACAGCTGTTGTTAGAGTGGTCCCCGTGGATCCTGGGGCCAGCTGGGATGATGGCAGGGCTCAGAGTAGGATGACAGCAGATGCCAAGGTTCTCAGCGACCAGAAAGCTGAAAAATGACAGAGACCAAAAAGAGGATAGACGTGTGTACCTTCTTTGTATATCCATCAAAGAAGCTGGATCCTTTAAAAAATGGAAATAGGAATAATAAAAGGAATAATTCTGAAGTGGCATTGCTTATCAAAGAGGGGGCCTCCCCACCTCCTGGAAAAGTGAGCTTCTGTCCTGGAGAGGTCTGCAGGGACATGATGAACTTGAAGGCAGAGCTGGTGTCCAATTTGCTTTCATCTCATGTTCTTCCCCCACTGGCATTCCACGTGTCACAGGTCGTTTTAAAATGTTGAGTGGTTGAGTGAGTGAGAGAGTGCCTTGCTCCCATCCTGAGAGACACATCCACCTGAACCTGCGTTTCCTGCTGTGCACCTCACCTCTTCCTCTCTCCAAGAGGTGTTCATTGAGCCCCTGCTCTGCTGCGTACAGGCCACTTCTCTTCTGGGGCCATATGGGGAATTGGAAGGTGGAGAAAGGGGAAGAAGCCATGTTTACTGTCACTCTCAGCGTGAGCCAAAGTCCCAGAGAACATAAAACCTGCCTACCCACCAAGCTCCATTCCCAGACCCCATTTTATGCCAACATAAAATGATTGCTACATCATCTGCCAGCACTTGGGTTTTCAGTATCTCTAAATAACATTGCAAAATGTCGCCAAAGGAGCAGCAGTAACACCGTGTAAGGGGAAACACAAGGTTCAAATTTGAGGAGCCTATGTTTTTGCAACCCTAGTTCTATTCTCTCAATGGGCTTATTTTGTCCTTATCACTATCTTCTTTCCAGCCTGGCACCAATGCCTGCATCAGAGAACCCTGAAATGCAGGGCAGAAGGGGCTTCACTGGCTCCTGAAGTCAAAACAAAGCAAGATGTCCACCCAGGCAAGAGTGGACACCCCACTCACCCATTCCCAGAGGCCACCTGGACACTCTCCAAAGAAGCAGAAACAGTCAGGCTTTGTTTTTAGCTCTCCTTGTGGGCCCCTGAGGCCTGCCCCACTTTCTAGAAACAGGGAGCTTGGGGCCCATGCCATCTGGAGGGACTGGGCAGCCTTTGCCTTCTCTTGCCACTCATGGGGAAAAGCCAAGGGAATGCAGCCCTCTCCATGTGCACAGCTTCCAGGAAATCCACGTGGTAGGGCCTCTGGTGGGACTGGAGTCTATCAGAACCACAGTGGTCAGTCTGTGCACAGGGCTGTGTCCCTTGCAGGAGCTCCAAGAGCCTTGCTATGGAAACCCCAAACTCCGGAGACTGTTCTGATTCTCTCATCCACTCCACAGAACCCAGCTAGCATTTTTCTGAGCTCAACTTGAGCTCAGGTCTAGGAAAAAATCTATAACTCAGAGGGAGAAAGACAATGAAAGCAATGCAGAAGCTCCCAGTTGAGCTCAATCCAGACAATGTAATAACAAGCATCATTTATTCATTCATTCAGCAAAGGGTGGAACTCATGCCTGTAAAGATGCTAACCATGCCAAAAATAAACATAGCATAATCTTTGCCCTCAAGATGCCGTTTATACTCTTGTTCTCTGTCTCATAACTGATCACAAAGACTGCCGTGATCCAAGGACCCAAAGCAGAAGAGGTGGGGAGAGCTGGGATTTCTCCTTTCTGAAAAGAATCCCTGGGTTTGTGGTACCCACCTCCCCAACTTTTTCTCTTCTCTGACAGTGCCTCTTGGTTCATTCTATCTGCCACATATTCTCAGATCATATACACAACTGAGTTGGAAAGGCACCTGCCATACAGAGACAGTCCTACAGATGGAGGTGGGGGCCACTCACGCTGGCAGAGCCACAGCATTAATTAGCTACTCCGTGGAGCTCCCGTTGGTCACTGTCCAGAGTGAAAGCTCCTTGGCATCATTTTCCACCCCTGCTCACTAGTCATCCCAGCCTCAGCTGAGATGGTTTTTCCAGCCCTCCCAGCCCCCACTGCATCTTTCCCAGCCTGGACTTCTCTCAGTGGCATTTCCTCTCCAGTCAGAGCCTCACTGGACCTCTCCAGGGAGAGTGGCACTGCTTTCTCACTCTAGGACCCTGACATTTTGGGAGGTCCCACCTTCCCTCATGACTGCTCCCCACAGGGATGCTAAAATGGAATGACTGAATTAAAGGGCAGGCAGGCATCTGGGCAGCATGGCCCGCTCAGGGTGGGTTGGGGGGCCTGGACAGCTGGGGCCTATGTGGAGCCCAGCACTGACCCACCCTCACCATCAGCCCTTCTGCCTGGAGTTCTGTGAGTCCCTGTCCCCTGCGAATGCCGTGTTTATCAAGAGCAGTCCTGAATCCAAAACACCTGGGCCCCTTTCTGGTTGACACTGGGGACCCACAGTGATGCCCATATTGCCTCCCAGGTGCCCTGCTTCCCAGCTGCCTTCCCTCTCTCCAGGACATGTTTTTATGCTACAAAGTCCCAATGGGCCCTGGCCTAGAGGCAGGGTCTGAGAAGCAGAAATGGTTGGAAATGACATATCTCAGTGAAGAGCCATCCCCTGACCCCCCCAGGCCTGTACTCCCAGGGCCGCTTGGGCATAGCCTTCTGCCAACCTGACCATCCTTCTAAATTCTTTCTTCTCTCCTAAACAGCCTCAAACAAGCAGACACTGAAATGAGACATTAAAGTGAATGTAAGCAGAGGAAACGGAAATGCCTAGAAAAGGCCAAACACACTAAAGGAAGACAGGCCTGGCAGAGCAGGAGCCAGGGAACTGATATGGCCTGTGCCCTTATGTGGTGGCCTCATTTTCTGCAACAGGCAATTTAGCTGCTTACAGTTGTCTCATTTACTCTTCACATCAACCCCAAAAGATAAGTAGTATTATCCTTGTTACATAAATGAAGACACCTCAGAGAATTTAAGACACCTCAGAGAATTTAACTTGCTCTGAGTTGCATAGCGATTAAATTGAGCATGCTGATTCTAGAGAAAGAAGAAATTTTCCAGAAGAGTTGCCCAGCAAGCCTCAGGAACTAGTGGGTGAAGAGTCAGGAACAATTCGTTTTCTGATATTTACCTACTGAGAAAGAGAGAGTGGTCAAACAAGTTAACATAAGCTCATGGGTCCTCCTCTCTGTTGGATGGAACGCAGGCCTGAAATGTACAGCGAGGGAAGTTCTAACTGCGCAGAGAAAGAGAAACACTACGTGCCTGAAAGGTGCATGCTTGTCTGAATCTGTGAGCCAGAGGAAGCCGCCCATGTGAGAGGATTGGAAGAAGGGTATGCCACACACTGCCTCCCAGATGACGATGTCCCAACAGCACAGGACAGAAAGGAATTGTGATAGGGCCTCTGACTAATTAGATGACTGCAAGTATTCTGCTAAAAGCAGAAGAGCTGATAAATTTTTTACTTGACCCACTAATAATTTTATCCCTTAAAAGGTGGAACAGACAAATAGGGGAACTGAGTCTAGACTTCATTGTGATCCACAGAAAAGAATGAATCATTGATATGAAGACTGCTGGTCTCCAAAGGATGAGGACTTGACTGTTTTCTTCACTGTGGTGTCCCCTCTGCCTAGAACAGTGCCTGGCCATTGTAGTTGCTGCATTATTTGTGCAGTGACCAAAAAGAGCAGGGATGGGAAGCTAGAGGAGCAGCCACGTCATCCGAGCATGACTGATAGCCTGGGGAGGGGACACCGGGCATCTTCAGACATAAGCCTGAGGCTTTATAAAGGGAGAGTCTACAGAGCACAATGGAGCAGGAAGTTCAGTTCCACAGCCAGAAGAGCCAAAGGGGAATACAGCTTAGGTGGGACAGGGAGATTATAAAAGTGAAATGTCTATATTACAGTCACAAACCGTGCCCACCTAAGAAAAGATACATCAAAAACAATGACTTACAAATTTCTGAATGGGGCAGTGGAGGGGAGCAGAAAATAAATCACTTTGAGAATCTAATGAAAACTCTAAACACTTCCCCCATTAAAAAAAAAAAGACACACCTATACAATGTTTTGTGTATAATTTTAGAGGGGGTTGGAGACTTAATGTTAAAATGACCTAACATAGAGGAACCAATGAAGACGCAAAGAATGCTTGCAGGGAGTTCCCACCTGGAAAAGGTGCGGGGCCCGTCAGAAGATGAGAGGGCTCCATACCAGAGGAGCAGCACCAGGGGGCACAGTACTCTGCAAGAACTGTGTCTGGAGGTCTGAGGCCAGTGTTGTGTCCCCAAAAAGTTCATATGTTGGAACCGAATTTCCAATGCTATAGTTATTAAGAGGTGGGGCCTCTAGGAAGTGATTAGGTCATAACTGCAGACGTCTCATGAATGGGATTAGTTTCCTTCCTTCTAAAAAAAATGCCCAGGGGAGCTTGTTCACCACCTTCCACCATGTGAGGATGCAGCAAGGACGGCCATCTCTGACGATCAGGCCCTCGCTGGACACCACATCTGCTGGCACCTTAAACTTGGACTTTCCAGGCTGCAGAACTGTGAGAAAGAAATGTTTGTTGTTTATAATCCACCCAGTTTATGGTATTTTGTTATAGCAGCTCGAATGGACTAAGGCACCCAGAATAAACCATTTTTTAAACAAAGAATTCCAGCCAAAAAAGGGCACTTTTGTATTTCTGTGGTTGTTACTGTTAACAGTAAGGATTCAGAATCAGACCTACCTGGTTGAATCTCAGCTTTGTGACTTTGGGCAAGTTCTTTAACCTCACCAAGCCTCTGTCTCCTTATCTGTAAAATGGAGATGATATCCATTCTCAAAGGGTTATTGTAAAAAATAAATGAGATAATGCATGGTAAGTGCTTGGCCTAGTGCCGGCACATTTGGTTCAATACATATTAGCCATCATTAGTATCATTATTCCCTGCGTGTAATGCTCTTCCTCTCCTTTTCTGACTATCAAACCCTTAAATAAAGGTTAGCTTTTAGTGGTTTTGTTATTTTTAAGTAATGCCTGAAGCAGGAAAATGAACAAGGTAAAGGACTGCTCCTTGGGGAAATGACATAATGTTAGCTTTGTCCAAAAGAAAGATCTAACAAAAGGGAATTAGGATAATGCTGAAGGGCAGGAAGGAATACAACATACCTACCTGTGTGGAGAACTGGGCCTCTGGAGAAGAGTGAGGAAAATAAAAGCACCTGCTTCTTGTTTGCTTCCATCTTTTTCACCAAAGGGAACAAATTTTGAATGAGGTCAAGACTCCAGACCCAAATACTTGGTGTCTCAGGACTGAAAGAATGGGCAGATACAATAGCTGAAATGTTGCTGGGAATTGTTGAGAAAGCACATGGAACAAAGGACATGCTCAAAGACTGGAAACAGCTTTTTCAAAAAGCAAGATTCTCGTTCTGGGTTGATCAGCCTGATGTCAAACCGATGAAACTCTAAAAAGATAGAGCAGTAAATAGATTGTTTGTGTGCACTTGGGAAAGAGATAGATACCCAGGAGCCAGCAGGGGCTCACTAAAAACAAATCATGCAAAATTTAAATGATTTCCTTTTCCTAGTAGGGTATTTTTTTTTTAGAACCCAAGGGGAATAGAATTGGCATATAGCGTGATTTCAGGAAAACATTAATGAAGTTATTCCCTATCACATTGTGAGTAAAATACAGAGATGTGATCTGGACAATAGTACAACCATTTGACTTCAAAACTGTCCTCCAAAAGTGCCAGCCCTTTTTCCCAAGTGTCAACAGAACATCTTAAAAGGTGATTTGTGAAGAGGTCTCTGTCTTTGGCCTCATCTGTTGTGTGTGCTTTTGTTGATGTTGTTGTTGTTGTTGTTGTTGTTTTTGCTTTTGTTTTTGTTTTTTTGAGACGGACTCTCGCTCTGTCGCCCAGGCTGGAGTGCAGTGGTGCGATCTCGGCTCACTGCAACCTCCGCCTCCCAGGTTCAAGCCATTCTCCTGCCTCAGCCTCCCGAGTAGCTGGGATTACAGGCGCCTGCCACCATGCCCGGCTAATTTTTTGTATTTTTAGTAGAGACGGGGTTTCACTATGTCGGCCAGGCTGGTCTCGAACTCCTGACCTCGTGATCCGCCCGCCTTGGCCTCCCAACGCGCTGGGATGTCTGTTGTGTTTTTTATAAGTAACAGTAAAAGATAGAAGCCATGTTAATGGAGGCATCCATAGCACATACCTGGGAAAATTAAATTAAATTACCAGTTGCATACAGCAGCAGGATTCAAGATGACCTCCACCACCTGGAGTGATAGGTTTACCCTGAATAAAGTGTAGAGACATCTAGAAGAATTCCAAGTATTTTATATAGATGTCCCACCCTCAAGGAGCTGGAGTACCACTCCCTACTCCGTAGTGTGGGCTGCAGGTAGTGACTTCCTTCCAAACAGTACATCACGGAAAGGAGGGGTGTAGTGTAACTTTAAGCTGACTTGACAGTGGAGAAGCCTGGCAAAATGACCTCAGCCCAGGTGAGCAAGGTTGACCTCGACAGTGACGCGTTATGTGGATCATATGTGCCCTCGGTATGACATGATGAGAACGGCACCTCTGTGGTCTCCCCCCAAAACACCCAGTCTCATTATGAAAAAAATATCAGACAAATTCCAATTGGGGAACATTCTACAAAATATCTGACCAGTACTCTTCAACACTCTCAGTGTCATCAAAATCAAAGAAAGTCTGATAAACTGACAATCTAGAGGGGCGAGGGTAGTATGTTAGTGTTTTTCGAGGGGGGGCATCTAAATTAGACACAGCTTATGGGAAAGACATCTAGGGCTTTTAGTTGACCACAGTCTCAATCCACGGTGCTGGGCAACATGGCTGTGAATACACCCGTGTGATCCTATGCTTCATCGACGGCCCTTGGGAGTCTAAATCAGGCAACTAAGTGGGACTCTGTACTGCCTAGACCACGTGGGAGTCTCAACTCTGAGCCAAAACTTCCTGGTCCAAATCCAGGCTCTGTCACATACTAGCTTTACGAGCCCAGTCAAGTCACTAAACTATTCTCATGCTTAGTTTCCTCATTTATAAATTGGGCTAATAATGATAGCTACCTCATAGAGCCATGGGACAGAGCAGGGCCCCTGGCACATAATAACTACTCAAAAATTGGATCTCTTTGAGCAGCAGAGATCTTCTTGTTTTTTAGAGTAGGCCTCATATCAGAAGGATATCTGGTATCTCAGAGAGTAGCATCAGGTGTGGGAATGTTGAGGGGCTCATGATGATACTGCAGAGAAAAGACTGGGCCTGGGAACTGTTACATCAGAGGGCAGAGTGAGGGCTAGCAGGGGAGTGACAGTCTTGGTCATTAATTCACTGAGACCCTAAGTATGTCCCTAAGCCTGTCTGGATCTTTGCTCCTTTATCTTCAAAATACAGATAAGGACACTTTTTGGTCAGTTTTATAGGGTGACTGAGAGGATAAAATGACTTAATACATATGGAAATGCACTGAATGAAAGACACTGTGGTTAATAAACATATGTTGGTATTAAAACTAACTTAAATGTTGATTTCCTTTTGTGTCAATTCACAGGGGGTGGGGAAAAGTACAAGACACTCTTACTAGAAATGCTTACTTTATTTAAACTGGAAAGCCACCAGGGACAAGTGAAGGGTACCGGGGATGGAGTTTGGAATCCTGAACTCATAGAGAAGTCAAGGCCAGACTGGAGAGAATCCACAGGCCTTAGACTCAGAGGTGGGATCTTGGGAAATTTACCCAACATCTGTCAACCTGTTTCTGAGCCATAAAATGGCTCAGGGGTCGCTGGGGGTCTATTTGCATGAACAGGTTAGCACTCAGCAAGCTCCTTATAATCTGCCCCTCTGGAAGCTATGAGGAAATGGTGGTGATCCTAATACCGCTACCCACAGGGTCTGTCAGGTGAGATGGTCACTGCCCTTGGAGGCTTCTGGAGGTCAGAAGAGAAAAAGCCCACCCTCACAGGAAACAAACCTAGAAGGTGCAGGGAAGCAACTAAGAGAGCAACTAACAGAGTCCAACAGAGTACAGACTGAGAATCATAACCCATCCCAGACTCTTTAACAAACACTTTCTATCAAAATCTTGCCAGTTGAGAAGATTCTTTGTAAAGTCGGAGCCCAGAGAAAATCAGATTACTGGGAGGGAGTGCGATCGGGCTGGTGCGAGAGACGGGGAGTCATTGCCAAGCTGCCCGCAGGGACTGTGGCTTACAAGGAAACATGGGGAGCCCCAAGAAGGCAGGCGGCCCAAACTGGCAGTGCCCAGTTCCAGACAGGGATGTGGCAGAGACAGTACCCATGACTTGGTTCTTCAGGATTCATGTTGACTTGTCACAAACCTCAGATGACCAAAAGTCTCTTGTCCAGGATCCACCCATGTGAACTTCAACATCCTTCAGGACATAAAGCCATGCATTATGCCCAAATTTTCATTCCCTAGAGATTTCTGAAGATGTTACCACATGCCTTTGGAGAAAAAAGCAACAGCAAGGTAATCAAAAAATTTTACAGAGCCTGCAGGTACACTAGATGATCACAGATGTGTTACCAGAAAGGGGTTCTGATCCAGACCCCAAGAGAGGGTTCTTAGACTTCACACGAGAAAGAATTTGAGGTGAGCCTATAAAGTGAAAGCAAGTTTATTAAGAAAGTAAAGGAATAAAAGAATGGCTCCTCCATAGGCAGAGCAGCAGCATGGACTGCTCGACTAAATATGCTTGTAGTTATATCTTGATTATATGCTAAACAAGTGGTGGATTATTCATAAGTTTTCTGGGAAAAGGGCAGGGATGTCCCAGAACTAAGGGTTCCTACCCTTCTTAGACTATATAAGGTAACTTCCGGATGTTGCCATGGCATTTCTTAACTGTCATGGCATTGGTGGGAGTGTCTTTTAGTATGCTAATGATTATAATTAGAATATAATGAGCAGTGAGGATGACCAGAGGTCACTTTCATTGCCATCTTGGTTTTGGCCAGCTTCTTTACCGCATCCTGTTTTATCAGCAGGGTCTTTGTGACCTGTTTCTTGTGCCAACCTCCTATCTTATTCTGTGACTTAGAATGCCTAACCCCCTGGGAATGCAGTCCAGTAGGTCTCAGCCTTATTTTACGCAACCCCTGTTAAAGATGGACTTGCTCTGGTTCAAACACCTCTGACAGATGGATCTGGATTTACATAAAATGACACAAATACTGATTTTCTGAATATCTGTTGGTAAAATCAACAACTAAAAATGATCCTCTCCCTGCCCTCCAACCGCCTACCCACCCATTGTCAAGCCACGGAGGCTCCCCGCAGGGGCCAGCACAAAGATCTGAATGCAGAGCTTCCAAAGGTCAGGAATTAGACCCTCAGCTAGATGTGGCTGACTCCCTCCCAGATCCCTGGCCCCCAGCGCTGCCTCAATCTCTGTAGGTTGCTTTGGAGGATGATCTGCCTGGCGTTTCTCTGAGAAACAGCTCTCAGCTTAACTCTTAGAGGCACTGAGCACCCTCCAAGCCCCAGGGATCCAGGTTGCCTCCTGTTCTTCCAAGTTGGTCTGAACCCATTGGATGCAATGGGTTGGCTTCTCTGCACTCATAACAGGGCCCACATTTTAAGAAGGATATTGACAGACTGAAGCATGTCCACAGCTGGGCATCCTGGCTGATGGAGGGCCTGGCCCATGTCCTACTGGGAAAGTTGAAGAGGGGCTTGCTGGTTGTCTTCAACTATCTGCAGGATCATCCCTTATAAAAAGATGTAATAAATTTCTGTGTTTCTTCAGAAGGCAAAATGAGGACCCAGGTATGGGAGTTAAAGATTTGGGCTTAATTCTGAGGCAGACTTTTTCACAGTTGGTGTCTCTGATAGTCTGATTGCATGGAAAAGTAATTAGTTCTTCATTATTGCAAAAGTTCAAAGCCTGGGTGACCTCTTGTCAAGACTGGTGTTGAGGAGTTCCACTTTGAATGAAAGATTGAATTAGAAGATCTCTAAACTCCTTTCCAAGTTTCAGATTATATATGTTTCTGTGTTCTCAGTAAGTACAGAGAGCAGACACTAAGGATTGGAGCTTAGCCAGAAGGAACTGAGACAAATATGGAGAATGGGGAGAAAATCCTTAAGTTTAGCAAGTCTTGGGGTTGGTTTTTCAAGCTCTTGTGTTTTGTTTTTCAAGCTCTTCTCAGCAGAAAGGGCAGTAAATATGAGTCTAAGTCCCAGGATCAGATTTGGCTTCTGCTTTGGTGTTTAAAGACATCTCCCCCTTACAAGAAAATTCTCTCCAAATCCTAGTGGGCATCTATAGCTACTTTTATTCCCTGGACTTTACCCTCTTTTCCAACTCCAAGGTGAGTTGGAACAGGGAGAGAGCTAGATGCAGATCTGTAACCCCCTTCACTGGTCAAATCCTTGGTCTGATCCCTTGTAAAATGACAGAGTAGATAAATGGCATTAGGCCTCTTCAAGTGGCCATCTCAAGTGACTCAGAGTTTTACTTCCCAGCTTATCAAGGATTTTCATACCTGATTGGATAACTGATCTTCCATCTACTCCTGGCCTGTGTGCCCTGGGCCCTGAATCCAGGCCCTGGACAGTCCTTCTCCCTCCTGAAATAAGTCCCCTTCAGGCCCACTTCTTGTTGGGTTTCCCTTATTCTTTCTTTTTCAGTTTCTTTGATCAGATTAGTTTGTTCTTTTTAAAGGTTTTTAACCACCACTGCCCACCACCACCTTCCTTGAATATCTATCTACACACTATTTCTCAGCTATCTATGTGAGGAGATACCCCCGGAGATTAAGAAATTGATTAATTAGGTGATATTGAGAGAGTCTGTTTTAGACTTCTGGCCTTCGTATATGGGCAGCAGAAGGCAGAGTAATTGTGCCAGAAATCAGCACCACCAACATTTGGACAGCGTTCTCTTTAATTTGTTCTCTTTTCCTCATCCAACAAATTCTGGCTGGCTTGCTGCTCTTGCCCTGACCTGCCTGAATTTCTTATTTTGAGCATGATTCCTAAGAAACTGAGGACTTGTTACCAGCTTGAAGTATAATTTCAAGCAAGTTACCTTTCTTTCTGGGCCTCAGGCTCCTTGTCATTGAGCCTTTGACTGCCCCTATGGGCTTCATTGGGAAAGGCCATTCAATAAGGATATATTGGATACCGATAAAACGAGTGCAAGGTTCCAGGCTGCTTGCAAGCAAGGGAAGGTCTGCACTAATCATCCCAGATTCTAAAAGGTTTCCAGCATCTGTCAAGATCCAAGTATAAACTGGGCACCATAATTGGGCCCTTAGTATCTCTAGCAAGTTTGCTTGACACCTCTGCAGAGCAGTGGATGGATCAGACATAGTGTCAAGTGGTGAGCCTGTTAATGTGCAAAGCACAGAGATGTCAAAACTGGCAAAAAGAAAAGCCTCCAGTTCTTCTCAATCTCCGTAAAAACAAGTGAATGCAGATGCTCAGCTGTCACCAGGAACCAGGGACCAAGGCCAGTTTGGCAACACTGCCAGTGTATGGTCCTGCTGCTTTCTTGGCTCTCGCCCCTCTTGCTTCCCACCTGCCCCTGAAACTTTAATTACCTCCTGGACCCAGTATGATGTCTGTTTGCTGGTGGTGAGCTGGAGGAGGGAGGAGAGATGGCTCCTGGAGAAATACAGAAGCCCATCAGTCTTCACAGCAACCATAGGGAACAGAGCGGCTGCTTTTAGTTATAAAGACATCTTGATGGGAAGATTTACCAAAGAGGTATTTATTCCGTTAGAACTACACCTCCCTTCAGCCTCGTTATCTTCGGCATCACATTTATCATTCTGCCACTGCATTCTGGGCGGGGTGGGGAGCGGGGACACACAGAAACTCTGTCTGAATCGAAACTGAGTTTTCAGATGGAGCAGTTCTGAGTCTAGGTAACCAGCAGGACCAGGGGCTCAGCTTTCCCTGCACTGTCTTGGAAATCGTTCTGGCTGCTACATGCTTTAGGGAAGGGGCATCAGAGAGATGTTTTCAGAAAAAAAGGAAAGGGAGTGAGATAATGGGGAAATATATGGGTAAAAATGATAGATGATTGGAGAATTATAGTAATGTTTATTACAGATGGCTTTGGTCGACAAAACCCTCCCTGGAAACCTTTCTGGAACTTAGAAAGTCTCCAGAAAAAGAACAAAAGAAGAACTGCCAGATCTGGTCCACATTGTCACCCAACGTCCCAGGCTTCTCTCGGAGTTACAAACCATAGGTTCTTCACCATTGTGTCTAGGCACTCTTACATGCACATGCTTGGGACCACATGCACCCCACCTTTTAAAGAGGCCTTGTCATTGGCTTCTTGATCCTTAGCCTGGGAAGGTGTAGACCCAATGTGGGTGAATGTACAGTGTGCTGAGTCTGTGCCTTTGATTTCCTAGATACTTCCTGAGTAAGGGGAGACCTGTGGTGTGGGTAATGGGATGGGAGGCAAGTAGAGAGGCTGTTCCAGCTAGAGTTATGATTAAAGCAGTATATTCCCCCCATTGAGGATCCCAGTTCAGTGGGCTTCCATAACCATGCCTGGAGCCCTGTGCCCATTGTTCTGGAGATATGAAAGAAGGAGGCATTCTAATCCCTGTGCTCTGGGAGATTATAGTCTGTCAAAGGGAAAACTTACAGACTCAGCAGTTCCCATTCCTGGCCTCAAGGATCTCCTAGAGAGTTTTTAAAAATATGTATCTCTGAATCCTGTAAATCAGTGTATCTCTGAAGATGTGTTGGACTTGGAGAGGCTGGGCATTTTATGGACTCTCCAGGTGATTCTCGTGGGGCCAGCTCAGTATAGATCTGTGGATCCACATTTGAGAACATTTAAATTGGGCAGTTAGTGAAGACTTCCTGGAGTAGGTGAGACCTGAGTTGTTACCTTGAAGGGAAAAATAGAATGGGAAGGTAGGACGTATTAGAACCTTCTCACTCTGCTATAAAGAAATACCTGAGACTGGGTAATTTATAAAGAAAAGAGGCTTAATTGGCTCATGGTTCTGCAGGCTGTCCAGGGAGCATGGCTGGGGAGGCCTCAGGAAACGTACAGCCAGGGGAAGCAGGCTCTTCTTACATGGTGGGAGCAGGAGGAAGAGGTTGGGGGAGGTGCTACACACTTTTAAACAACCAGATCTCCTGAGAACTCACTCACTATCATGAGAAATCTGCCCCCAGGATCCAATCACCTCCCACCAGATCCCTCCTCTGACATTGGGGATTACAATTCAACATGAGATTTGGGTGAAGACACAAATCCAAACCATTATCACAGGAAAAGTACAGGAAGAGCAAAAATGACAAAAGGTAAAGGCATTCAGGACAAGAGTTTTGAGCCTGTGAAAGGAAGAGTCTTACCTTCATCAATTTTCTCTTTCCCTACAGATGAAAGGGGGAGTCAGCACAGCCGGTGTCAGAGGAAAGCAAGTGTGGAAAACCTTCCAGGCCAGGAGGGTGCTGCCTGAGGCATCCACCCTAACTTCTCTGAAGTCCTGTTTAGTCACAAAATTCATGCAACCAGTGCTTATTATAAGCAATGTTTTCCACATTGTCTAGTTTAACAAAGCAGTTCTTCAACTTTCTGGTTTCAGAAAAATTACCAAGAATCCCAATGACCTTTTATTTCTGTGGAATATGTAGGGTTAGAAATTTAGCACTGTGAATTTTTAAATGTTTTTAAATACTTGTTTATTAATTCATTTTAAAATAACATATCCCATTACACATTAAAATACATTTTATGGAAAATATATTTCCAAAATTTAAAAAACCTGGAAGAGTGGCATTGTTTTATATTTTTGAAAATCTCTTTAATGAATTAGAAGACAGCTGGATTCTCACATCTGCATCTGCATTCAATCTGTTGATATCTGTGGTTTTGTTTGTAGTATATAAAGAAAACCAGCCTTACACAGCAGGGCGCAGACTCAGGGCTGAAAACCTAAGGAGCCACCCACTCTTGAGGTCCTGCAAGGGTAGGGTTGTCCCTGAGAGTGAGGGCCTCCTTAAATTTTGCACTCAAGGGCCCTGCCTTGTCTCACTTGGGTCCTAGCCTGGTCAGGCGGGAAAAACCACTGGCTTAAGATATGCTCCAGGGATTGCAAGGAGGGTCTCCTACCTGGAATATAGGCCAAGATACAAAGTCATGAATGAGTGCAAGGTCTGAGGAACCGCACTGGGCCCAGATCTGAGCAAGCCTTTTATGCTGCATGAAGAAACAGGCCTTTATCTGGAAGGCTATGAGGAGCCACAGAAGAGTCAAGCAGGGAGTGATGGGATCAGATTTGCATTTTTAGATTCATTCATTTGTTTGTTAATTGATATGTATTGAGCTCCTATTGTGTGCTGGGCACTGGGAATAACAGTGAACAGAGGTTTCTGTTCTCATAGAGCTCACATTGTGGGGAAGCAGATAATAAATGAATATAGATCTATAGATCCACGCTGCTGACGTAGAAAGATGGACCGGAGGATAATTAGATGGAGGGGAGAAGAGTTCAGGCAGTTGGAACAATAGCCACCGAAGAGTCGATAGTGAACAGAATGGCAGTAGAAATGGAGTAGGCGAGAACATGAGAGGGTCAACGCAACACTAAGGATGCAGCCACCAGTGCTACCTGGGAGAAATCAAAGGTGATGCCCAGCTTCCACCTCAGGCAGTCGGGTCTACTGTGATTTGGGCACCCAACAGGAGAAGCATTTGGGGGGGATAATCCATTTTGTTAGCAACAACACGTTGAGTTTGAAGAGCCTGAGAGGATGGGGTCATTTGGGTGGAGATGTCCAGTGAGGTGCTGGGTTATATAGGTCTGACCTTCAGAATGGAGGGCGGGACGAGGGATTGGATTGTGAGAGCTGTCAACCATTCAGGAGGTGAGTGGATAATGGCATTCAGGAACAGTGCTCAGAGTGAGACCGGGGACACTTATTCCTGCCACTCTTCCTCAAAGTCAGCGTATCTGAAATCAGATTTGTAGTCTTTCCCCCATCCCTGAAGACCATTCTCCAACTTAATTAATGACACCAACAACCTTGCATCTATTAGAGCTAGAAACCTGAGGTTCAGCCTGGATGCTGTCTCCTGCTCAGCTCCCACCTACCATGGCCTCATGATCTACCAGCTCTCTCACCTTGTCTGCCACACCCCCAAACTGCTGCTTCACTCTTCCAGCCCATTTCTTCTGTCTGGAAGGCCCATTTGAATTGTCCCTACCACTCTCATCAGAAACATCCACCTAAGAAATTCCTACTCATTCTTCAAGACCTGCTCTAGCATCCCCTTTCATTTTAGGTCGCCCCATATCCCTGCAACCGCACAACCACACAGCCTGAGACATAATTGTTCGTCCTCTTTAGTTTCCAATTTCGTGACCATGACTCTGTTTAACACTCATAACACTGCAGCGCAACCATTTGCTCACATGACTTTCTCTCTTACTACAGTGAAACTCACATGACAGAAGAAAATAGATTGAATTGTCTTTGTAGCATTTGTTTCGCGGGTGGCTCCTGAATGAATGCTAAGACCTCAACCAGATGGGTTTACTGAGAAAGGCAGAAAGCCAGGACCAGAACTAGGAAAGTGACCCTCCCCAGCTAGTCTACCCAGCATCTAGGTCAATGGGAATCCAGTCTGGGGTATAAGCAAGACCACAGTGGGCTGTGAGCATGGTAAAACTCAAGCAAATAGGAAGCAGTACCTTGGTTCCAGGGGCCTCATGCAGCAGTGGCTGGGGTGGCTAATGGACGGTGGCAACAGCAAAGAGCAAAGCAGTGGATCCGAGTAAAAGGACAGAGAGCTGAGCAGAGCTGGTGGCAGGATGGGGGGTCTCTCCATACCCCAGCACACCAGGCATATGGTGCATAGCAGATCCCAGAGCTCACCTGGGGTAACAGTGAAGATAGGTCCTACTCAGGATGGTCCTGGGGCTGGGGATTACTGAGCCTTCTTGAGTGAAATGCCTCTGAGCCTTCCAGCCAGAAGGGTTTGTCCAGGTAGCAGTGATAACACCTGTTGTTTGTGGGGACAGTGAGGAATCTGGCCTAACTAGGGCAAAGGGTTTGCACTGGTGACTAATGGGAGATGCAGTTGAATAGTATAAACATACTCTTTTTTATCTATTCAATCAAGAGAAGTAACAGCTACAAACCCAGACAGAAGCCCATAAAATGAGACAATTATTTTGAGATGGCCACAGGTAGACGGAAGTAAAGGTTAGATCCTATCCTTGTTCACAAAGACACGGGTAAATTGTGTGAATACCAAGCTCTGTGAGGAAAGGCAAAAGCTTTGTAAGACTTGCTGCCCACACCAAACACAGCCCTGAGCCCAGCGAACATAGATGGAGCTGTCATCACAGGGAGTTGCTTCCCACTCCAGATATGCCCCGTCAGTGCTGCTGCTTGGGGCAGAGCGGCAAGCCTTGGGCTCAGAAATGCTGCTTCCAGAAGCCCATAAACAAAAGGCAGCTGTCTGCTCTCCCTCTTCCAAGAATTCTTAGCAAGTACCAGTTTTCATTAATGGGAAGCAAATCCACTAATGGCATTCAGGAACAGCGCTCAGAGTGAGACCAGGGGCCTCACTCTTTTCTCTTATTCTCTATCCCAGGGCTCTAGAAAAAAGATAGCAGGGCCCCCTGCTGCATCCCTTGGAGCCCCATTTCTTCTTCCTCTGCTCAGCCCTGGCTGGTCATCAGGGTATCCTGGAGCAGGAGGGAGAGAAGAGCTCCATCATATCAACATTCCTCACCCAGGAGGGCAGAGAGCAAAGTGAAGATAATATACAGACTTTGGAATTGCACAGGCTTGCCAGTTGGAGATGTGTAACCTCTCTAAGACTCAGTTTCCTCATATATAACATGGTTGTAATAACAGTACCAGCCTCATAGGATTGTTACAAGATCTTTACATGTAAAGTTCTTAGTCCAGCGCTTGGCATGTACTTACTGCTCAATATAAGTTAGCTGCTGCCACTGTGATTATTATCTGCTCCTGGCCCTCATTGGAATTCCAGTGCTTAACTTGCGATGGAGGCAGGTAACAAAATTCTGTCTGCTTAGTGTCCTGGGACCCCTGGCAATATCTCGGATTCCTGTGCAAGATGTGTTCCTGCATCGTGAACCCACTGAAAGTCAAGGGACCAAGTGCTGGGGGTCACAGGACATGGGTGTGCTTACTTGGGCTCCACCCCTAGGCTGCACCAGCTGCCTTACCTCTCCTCTTGGCACTTGTATTTCCTGTCTCTGCTTTCACTCATGGGCAATTCCAACCGTCATCTGCGTACACATCTGTTCTCATAGCAACATACACTACATATGCATGTCTTCCAGCTTTGCTGTACACTTAGGCAAACTACTTAACCACTCTGTGCCTTAGTTTTCCCATCCAAAAACTGGAAATAATCATACAGGCTAAGTATTCCTAATCCCAAAATTCCAAATCTGAAACACTTCAAAATCTGAAACTTTTTGATTGCTGACATGATGCACAAAGAAAATGCTCAGTGGAGTATTGGATTTGGGATTAGGGATGCTCAACCATAAGTTTAATGTGAATATTCCAAAATCTAAAGAAGTCCAAAATCCAAAACACTTCTGGTCCCAAGCCTTTTGGATAAGGGATACTCAACCTGTAGTACCAGCCTCATAGGGTTGTTGGAGATTAAACCAGGTAATTAATGTGAAGCACTTAGAACAAAGATCAGCATATTTCAGGTGATCATTAAACATTAGCTGTTATTATCATGACTATTATTATTATTATAATAGAAACTTCACATCTCCCAGTAGTAGGGATTTTGCTCTGAGGCGCCACTGTCCTATTGAAACCCTGAATGAACTCTTCAGCCTTAGGAAACATTCAGAAACCATGAACTCGTTGACATAGTAAACCACCTGTGAGTGACCTCTTGACCCAAATAAGCATTAAACGTAGAAAGATTAAGAGCCCTGAGCCAAACCTGAGGGCCTGAGACCTGCATGTCTTTGTATGTTCATGGCAGATGATGGTGGGTGTGTGCACATACAAAGGAAGAGCACGTGGCATGAGAGCAGACACGTGTCCTAGACCTGAAAGTTGAAAGTCAAGGTTTTATGGTCCATGGCTGCACACTCTAAAAGAAAACATCTCACAAGGAGTGAGAGACTCTAAAAATGAAATTAGAACAAGAAATTCACATATACTTCCAACAAGGAAGAAAAATGAGACATCTAAAGAAATCAATGTGGCTACCTGGGAAACCTCTAATGAACCTAGATTTTAAAAGCCAAAAACTATATTTACAGCAAATATTGGATAAATTGTTAATATCTTTAATATATAAAGAGCTCGTGCAAATCAGTAATGAAACCCCTAAGGCAAAATAGAAAAGTGAATCAAGGATGTAATAAACAATTCGCTAAAGAAGAAATAAAGCTAGCTTTCCAACAGATGGAAAATCTTCAATCTTACTAGTAATCACAATGAAAATTCAAACAACTAGATAGCTATTTTTGGCTTGCAAATTAGCAAAGACTTTGATTTTGATTTTTAGTGAGTACCCTACCCAATGCTGGTGAGGGTGCAGCAAAATAGTCTCATTCAAACACTGCACGTGGGATATGGCACTCAGGAGAGTCACTTCTTGGATCTCTCCCGAGGAAATAGTGCTACTTTAGAAATACTGTTATTAATAATATTTGTATAAGCAAAAATTAGAAAGAATCAGAATGCATCCATGTAGAATAATGCTTATTATTATTTCAGATGGTAGTGTGGGAAAAAGCAGGAGACAAAATTATACACACAATATGTAAGTATGATTTAAAAGAAAAACAAGACTAGAAGAAAACAAAATACAATGATGGTATCTTTGGGTGGTGGAAGCATGGATGATTTGTTTAATTCTTTCTGCATTTTTGCTTGGTGATCAGATTTCTTACAATGATTGTGCATTACTTTTATTATGGAAAAAATAAACTTTATTGTAATACTGGAGATGTAGAAAGAATAGGAAGAGAGCTCACACCATGGAAGACAAATCCAACAGACAAGTGCATTCCTGTGGTCCAGTGTCAGGGATCCTTAAAGCTTCAAGTGGATCTGGCTTATGGGCAGAGCTACAATCAACATGAGGAACTTGTACTGTGTGAACATGGCAGAGATTAGTGTGCTGCCTGGGAAGTATGTGCGGCATTTAAGAACAACCTGAGCTGATGGGCCATTGTGCCACAAAGTAGGAAGAATCCTGGACCTCGGACATATGGGTCAAAAAATACTAACAGTGTCATAGACATCACTGATATCGGTGATCACCAGCCTAGTCCACCACTTCCCAAAGTGTGGACCCTGGATCACTGGTGGGCTCAGAATGACTCCAAATAATGCTGAAGCAGTTTAGGTGGTGTATGGACATGGAATTATTATTTTTAAGTTTTTCTTCTTGAATTTTCTTTCAATCTTTCTAGTGATACCAAAGAGAAGTCTTAATTTGATGCTAGGATATCTTTAACACTGTTACTGAAATGTCAGGGGTTTGGTCTGGGTCCTGCTGCTTGCCACACAGAAAGCCAATCACTGAGACAACAAGTGCTGCCAGGGAAGAAGGCTTTATTCAGGGCTGCAACCAAGGAGAATGGGAGATCAGTCTCAAATCCATCTCCTCAACCAACTGAAGTTAGGGATTTATATATAACAGCAGGAAAGAAATGTAACTATGTGTGGAAAAACAGGATTTAAGGAGGGGTAAGGAAGAGGGGTTGGAAAACAGGAATCGCCATGGATGAGGGGTCTGGCATCTCATGTCTGGATGCAGTGATCTGGTGAGTTTCAGATCCCTGATACTCTCTGGGAGGCCTGAGGGTCGGTTTTCTGAGGATGGGACTCAAATAAGATAAATGTAAGTTTCGAGCTTTAAGATCAAGAGGGTCCATTTCTATGTTTATCCAAAAAACAGTAAACATCAGTTTGATGGAACAGTTGGGCCGGTTTCAACACCTCTTTAACCCTTGCTCATCTCCCTTTCTAACCAAGTAGGAGCAGGCTTCAGGCTCAGTTCCTTAAGCAGACAACAGCATCTGGCTAGAATTCAGTAATGCAAGTGGTGTGTGGGTATGGCAGAATCACCAGGGCAGAAGAAGAATTAAAGTAGTTTGGTAAACACTGAACTAGTCCAGAACTTTGGGCATCTGGGACATAAAGGGTCAGGGAGGGAGGGTGATTTGCTGCAAGTCAACCAACTGGTCAACACCAGACCAAGCCTGGTCTCCCTGCTTCAACTACCGGCCCTTTCCCCAAGCTCTTCTGCTCTCCACGTGGAGCTGTCAGTATTTCTCCACTTTCCTTCAAAAAGCAGACCTAGTACTATCTTGTTCTTTGCTGTCTTTGTTATTTCTTGTTTGAGCTTTTTTTTTTTTTTTTTGGAGTTGGAGAAGGCATGGGATCATGCTATTAGCATAACTAAAAATGTTTTTAGTTTGCCTCTGCATTTTCCCCAAGCCTCAGCTTTTCCTAAAAATCCAGCATCTTCTGCATCCTTCCCTGGGGACCACACTACTCCTCAGTGCTGGGCATTGTCTGTTTACAACTAAAGCAGATTTTTTCTTTTGCTTTTGTCTTCAAATGTGAGCTTTTCAGAGTCTCTAGTGCAACCATATTAGTGTTTTAGATGCTTCCTGATTATAGTTATTTGTGCTTATGTAGTCAGAATTTCCCCCAAAGTGTTTCTGGATATGGATTTACACCTCAGTTCTGCCTGGGCTGCTAACTAGCTGAGGGACCTTGTGCAAGTCATTCACCCTCACTGAACAGGTAATAGCACTGCCCTACTTAGCTCTGAGGGTTGCCATGAGGACCAAATGAGTGGTAGTCACAAAGATGCTTTGCAGGGCATAATGGACCCCACATAATGCACCCCACAATGAAATGTGTTATTCAGCTCCTATTTTTCTTTTGCTTTTCCCATCAAGAAGAATGCTCTTCAGATTGGACAGTGTAAAACCAGCATCATTAAAAAAAGAACTAAAGCTCAAAATAGGAGCAAAGATAGAGAGCAGCTCAGTCTTTAAAGGAACTCAATCCCTGAGTGTCTCAGAACCATCAGGCCTGATCTGCAGAGCTGTGATGGATGTGTCAGGCTATGTTATGTCAGGGACCAGAGTAGGTTCCATGGAGGGAGAACAGGAGGGCCCGTGAGGGCTTTGGCCACTGTCACTGTGAGAAACCGTTGAAAAAAAAACTATGAAATTTAGATAAGAAAAGACTCAAAAGATGGCACACACATGCCACTGCCTGCTTAGAATTAGAGATTCCTCCAAGAACCTCACGATTTGTGGAACACCTCTCCCCACCCCACACCCTGCCCTGCCCCCCAGGACATTCCTCAGAATCTCACCATCTTCCCAGCAGGCCCCTCAGCAGTAATGGGGAAGAAGTAGACAGCCAAGGAAGAGTAGGATCCTTGCTTCTGTGATTCCGCCCATAGCCACCCCGTGGGTCCCCCGCCGTCTGTCTGGGTTCAGTTTGTGCCTCCACACTTATAAACCGTGTGACCTTGGGCAGGGGCTGTGTCTTGAATTTCCCATCATATGGAAATGATATCTTGTTCATAGTCTTGTTACAGAGTTTAGACAAGATGACATAAAGTTCTTAGCACGAGTTCTTCTCAAAAGACGCTAGGTTGTTTTTGTTTGTTTGTTTTTGCCTTCTCCATTTCCTGTAGCCCTATCTATTTCTGATTATAAAAAGAGGACTGTTTCAAAAAATTAAACATAAGCTTACCATATGATCCAGCAATTCCACTTCTGGTGGTATACACACCCAAAAGAATTGAAAGAATTGAAGGCAGGACTCCAACAGGTATTCATATGCCCATACTCATAGCAGCATTATTCACAGTAGCCAAAAGGTGGGAACAACCCAGTGTTCATCCGTGGATTAATGGACAAGCAAACTGTGGTCTATCCTTACAGTGGAATATTATTCAGCCTAAAAAGGAAGGAAATTCTGACACATGCTACAACATAGATGAACCTTGAAGACACTGTGGTAAGAAAAATAAGCCAGACACAAAGGACAAATACTGTATGAGTCTACTTATATGAAGTATTTAGAGTAGTCAAATTCATAGAGAGAGAAAGTGGAATTATGGTTACCGGCGGGGCAAGAAGAGAGGGTATGGAGTTTCAGTTTGGGAAGATGAAAAGAGCTCTGGAGATGGATGGTGGCGATGGTTGCGCAACAGTTTAAACAATGTCACCAAACAGTACGCCTAAAAATCACACATAGATAAAATATACATTTTATGTTATATATATCTTACTACAGTTAAAAAATTGCTTACACGACAAACATATTTTAATTTCAGTTATGACATAATTTTAGAGATATTAAAATGTGAAAATCACATAAATCTTTAGAATAAAAAGAATATGGTTTTTAACACTCAAAAAAAAAAAAGAAAGACTGCTTGAGCCCCCACATACAGAGGAGGTTAGAAATATAATCCATGGCTCATTGTCAAGGGCATGGAGAGACCAATCCTTAAGGGGAAATCCCAGTCAGAGTATTGCTTATAATTGCCTGGAAAGAGCCCCCATTACTCACAGTTCTGGGGGACAGGGTAGACACTGCAGGAGATGAACCCCGCATCTTCTGTAACATCAGCACACACACACACCCTCAGAGCCAGCCATCCCCACCACCCACTTCCAAACAGCAGAGGGGCTGCAGGATGCTCAGGGTCCCAGGGACTGTCCCCCTGGCCCCTGCAGGAGGCCATGCCTGCTGGCAGAGATGACAAGAGCCCAGGGTGAGACACATCTGGCTGTTCGTACTGGAGGAGGAGAAGACACTAACTGGGCCTCCAGTTGGGGGTGGTGAGGAGAAGCTCACCACTGGGTGTTTCCAGAATGTGTCCTGAGCCCCACAGCCTTCAGCTTACCTCTTAGAAAAGCCAAATCCCAGAGCAACCCTGTGACCCAGGACCAGAGCTGGCCACCCAGGGCTTCCTGAGCAGGCGGGAAACCAGGCATCTCTGAGTCCTCTGTCCAGCACCACCATAGACCCAGCACATTTCTAATGGCTTCAGTTAATGGTGCCAAAGATACCCGCTGTGCACTCAAGGCCTCTGAGCTGGCTGACTCACATCAGAAGACAAAATCACACCAGCTGCATTTCCAGGTGCCACGCTGTCTAGCTGTTGAGACCCAGGACTCCTGTCCTGGAACCAGCTCTGCTGCCAGCTAACTGTAAGGTAAATGACCTCGCTGGGCCTTTAACACCCATCCATAAAATATTTACTACATTCCTTGCCCCTAGGACCTCTGCAGATGGGGCGTGAAAATCTGTGGTGCATTCCACAGGCATTTACTGAGCACCTAATCATCTGAAGACAGCACACGGATCTCTTAGAAGGATAATGAGAAGGGTAAAAACAGATCCTGTCCTTGAAGAGCATACTCGTGTCTTAGGGCTGCCATAACAATGTATCACAAACTAGCTAGCTTAGAACAACAGAAATTTATTGTCTCACAGTTCTGGAGGCTGGAAGTCCAAGGTTAAGGTGTAGGCAGGGTTGGTTGGTCTTGGAAGGTTCTCAGGGAGAATCTGCCCCTGCCTCTCTTCTGGTCGTTGCTGGCATTCCTTACCATTCCTTGACTTGTAGATGCCTCACTCCAGCCTCTGCCTCTGTCTTCACATGGCCGTCACCCCCCTGTGTCTGTGTCCAGCTTTTTCTTTTCTTATAAAGACATCAGTAATTGGGTTAGGGCCAACCCTCATTCAGTATCTCCTCCTCTTAACTTGATTACATCCACAAAGAGCCTATTTCAAATGAGGTCACCTTCTTAGCTTCTAGGGGTTAGGACTTACATACATCTTTTTGGAAGACACAATTCAATCCAGGGAGCTTCCAAAAGTAAGAATGAAAACAATCCTGGAGAAGGAGAAGAAGCAAAAACTTTAGAGCCAAATAGAGTTGGGCTTTTTAACCTCTGAGAACCTCAGTGCACTCCACTGTAAAATGGAATAGCAATATCTACATTGCAAGGTATAATATATTCAAGGCAACAGGCGCATGTTGGCAGTAAGTACAAATATTTTTACAACTATTATTATTAATTGAATGACAAGGCACAAGAAGATGATGTAGCATAGAAGAGGTTCAAGCAAAATACCCTAGAGCAAGACTCCATCAGATTGTAAGGAATAAGATTACTTAATGGAATAGACATTTGAAATGACATTTGAACTTGGAAAGATGGACAGGATTTTGACAGGTAGAACCAGCAGGGGGGAATTCCAGGAAGTGAGGGCTACATAAACAAGCCTTGGAGGCAGGAGAGTTTAGAGCATGTTTGGAGAAGAGCTGGAGTTCCATTTGGCTGGAACATTGGGAAATGCATAACAAGTAATGGTAATTAGGGTTGTAAAGGAGCATTTGGACCACAGAGCATGAGGAGTTGGCATTTAATTCATAGGCAGTGGATGAGCCAATGAATGTTTTTTGGAAGGAGTGACGCAATTAAGCCTGCATTTCAGAATATTAATCTGGCTGCAGTGTGCAGGATCAGGGAATTCTGCAACCTCCGGGGCAGGGAGGGATCAGGGCCTGAAGCCCAAGGAAAGCTTTCCTGGTCCTGGTTAAAGACGGAAGGTGGGTGGTGGAAAGCATCCTTGGACTCAGTCATGGCTTGGCCGGTCACCTTGGACAAGTCATATACCCTCCGTGATTACAGTCGCCTCATTGTAAGATGGGGCAAGCCAGTGACAGGTGCTGGGAGACCTTCAAGACCCTCGTATGGCTAACACTTCCCAGCCTGAGGAGACACAAGCAGGCCTGTGAGCTGCTTTCACAGGGCGTCTTGCAGGTGCAGAGGGGGATCTTCTGCTCAAACCTCTGTCCCAACCCCTGCTCCTCTTCCGCCCCTCTGGAAGACCAAGAGCCTCCCAGATCTCTGGGCTTTGGGGAGGCCAGAGCCCAGTCAGGCTGCTGGTGAGCTGTGAGCAGTCTTAATTGTTCCGCATTAAGTTAACTTTCACCTCGATCTTACTTTAGAATTCTGTGAATATTTATGAGCGAGCTCTTGCTTAATGAGGAGGGGAAGAGAGACATTAATGAGCTTTCTTTCCCGGTTGGGTTTGGGGAATTTTTTTTTTTTTTGGCTTCACATCTCTAATCTGAATTCCAGTGATGCTGTACCTTTCTTCTCCGTGGTTCTTCAGAGGGAAGAAGACCTGCTGTAACTTTTCACTTCTACTATCCAGGTAGAATCCAAGCACACAAATGCAAAAGCTGAAGCAGTCCCACACTCCCAGGCTGGGGAGAGGCCTCTTCCCCCTGCAGTAGAGTATTTGTGTGTGTACACATGTGAGTGTGTGAGTGAGAGGCTGTGTGTGCACACTTGTGGTCACACATGGGGAAGTGTGAGCTCTCCTAAAAGCAAGAAGGCCTGGGTGGGTTCAAATCCAAATGACTGTGATGGTGCCACTGCACTCCAGCCCGGGCAACGGAGCAAGACCCTATCTCTAAATAAATTAATAAATTAATAATAAAATAAAACAAATGCATACAAAAGCTACTTCTCTCCTCAGGGATGAGAGAAAAGATAAGGCAGGGCCTCTTTCTTTTCTTGGGTCTCTTCTTTGCGGGACAAAAGTGTAATGTTTAGGGCCTCTCTGGATGCTATGCCTCAGGGACCAGCCCCAGGATCTCCCCTGGGACAGCACCTGTGGCTTGCACTCCTGTCAGCCAGCTTGAGCCAGGGCAAGACTGAGAGGGGAGGCCCGGGCGGCCCTTCTGACACAGAGGAGAAAGTGAGGAGTCTCCTTGGTCTAGCCACCCAGGGCATGGAGCAAAGAAGGGAAACTCAGGGGACAATAGACGGGTGTCACCCCCACTCAGGAAGTTTGGAAAATGTCAACAGTTCCCGCACTCCATCTGTTCCCCTGGGATTCATTGCCTGGTCTCTAAGGGAATGCAGAAAAGCCTGGAAGTTGCATCATGGATGGATCAATAAAGAAGAAGCAGAGAAGGCTCGCAGACAGGTGAAAACCCCTCGCTGGCACAACGTGAGGTTGTTTCTCCCTGGCCTCCCCTTGGCCTTTTAGCCAAGGGGCACTCTCCAGCTCATTCCATCTGACTCCCATCTGCCTTTGGCCTCTGACGTGTGATGTTAGTCACTTTGTACTTCACTGTACATTTGGCCAAAGCTGGTGGGAATCTGTTCTCAAGAACTCCTGCTGGGGTGGAAGCCTCGGGCCCTGGCGCAGGCAGATCCTCTTCAGTCCTCCCAGCCCTGGTCCTCCTTCCCTCCTGCCCAGAGGCCATCCTTGCTCCAAATCCCCTCCCCACACCAACTGCATCTTTTGTAGCAGCTTCACTGCCTAGAACCACCAGCCCAGGAGGGAGGTTCATATGCCCAGCCCTGAAGCCTGGCTGGCAAGACAGCTGCCTCATAATTCTGTGTGTGTGTGTGTGTGTGTGTGTGTGTGTGTGTGTGCACGCGCGTGTGCCTATGGGAACAGCTCACACCTGGTATTAGGCTAACCTGTCAGCCCTGATGCAGTTGACAGATGCTGAAGAACTAACAACAAAGAGAGAAACTAAACACTGATTTTGTGGTATAAAAGGCAAACTAATTACAGCTTCTTATGAGCATGCTCTTCACTATTTAAGTCCAATCACATGTGCACAGTGGCTGCTTTGCACATATTGACGCAATAGATCATTTCTGTTGTGGGTTTCGCTTGATTACAACACTAAATTCTGTATCCATATACTCAGCTTTCTATCACTCATGCAGTGTGGTGATCTGCTCCCAACTTTTTCCATAAAGTTTAGCTTTGTTAGAAATGTGAGGCATGATCTTTTTCAAGAAAAATGCAGAAAACCGAAGAAAGAAGATGGGTAGGGTGCTAGGAACAAATTAACCATAGTCTGATCACTCAAACCCAACCACTGTTAACATTGTCATGTTACTGTTTGTCTTTTTTCAGTCATTTTTCCTTGACAGAATTTAATTAGCTAACCCCCCAGTGTAAGTCATTTGGGTCGGTGTCGGGTCTGTGCTATAATAAACAATGCTATGTTAAACATTGTTATGCATTTACTACTGAGTGACACTCAGGTGAAATTATTGGGCCACTTTTGGTCTTGGACATTTTTAAACCTCTTGATGAATATTGCCAAGTCACTTTCCCAAAGAGTTGTACCAATCAGCAGTGTACAAAAGTGCCCATCTCAATGCATCCCCACCAGGACTATTTTCTCATTTATTTTCTCCCTAATTTTTGGTATTTTGATGAGCTAAAATGACAGCACTTTCTTGCTACCCCACTTCATTTTTTTTTTTTTTAGTAACTAGTGAAATTAGATATTTTTCCATGTGTTCACAACATTCAAAAGTTAAGGGAAAAAACATCGAGACTGCATATTTGGTACAGTGTACACTGCTTTGGTGACTAAAGTCTCAGAATTCACCACTAAACTACTCATCCATGTAACCAAAAACCACCTGTACCCCCAAAATATTGAATTTTTAAAAACATTGATGTGTGCATGTATGTGCACATCCAGGTGTGTAGGCAGATGCACCCTGTGCTTGTGGACTGCACCAGACACAGGCGCGTCTCAGAGCTCAGTTGCTTCCAAGTGTGTGTCAGTAGGTGTGAGTGCATGTAGTTGGGATGTGGCATGTAGTTATTTCACTTTCTTGTGGGAGCAAGGGAGGTGAAAAGAGAAAAATATAAGCTCCTTAATCATTCAGACTCAAGTCCAGGGTTACCAAGTTAATAGTTGTATGAGTTGAGACAAATGACTTCCCTTTCTCTTTAGGTTTTTGTTTCTCCACCTGTAAAACAGTTGGCAATAATACCTATGACCTAGAATTGTGGAGAACATTACATGAGGAATGAAGACACAGTAGAAGCGCCCACCCACAGTAGGAATTCCCCCATCTTTCCCAGTTCGGGGTGTGAAGGCAGGTATGTTTGGGCATCAGTGAAGACTCATTGGACAGCCACTCCTTGAGAGCCACACAATCCTCTGCTCTGTTCTCCAGTCACTAGGAAAGAACCAGGTTTATTCTTCAGGTTCTGCAGATGTTTGTGGAATGAATGAAGGAAGCTCCGTGCGAATGCACGCAAAGCTTTCCTGGAGGAAACAAGGGAGTCTGAGTCAGTTCACTCCACTCAGGCTTCTCTTCTCTGTGGACTTGACAGCCTACCAGGTCTGGGGTGACCCTTTGAAGTCTGACATTTCCAGCTCCTGGAGAGATGTGGCCAGGCCTCCTTAGGGAGTGAGAGGCTCCAGTGCTCGGACCCCACCCCTTCCCAAGAGGCCATGTGGTAGGGGTTTGCCTCCTGGCCACACCCGGCCGAGCTTTGGGCCTGGGCTAAGTCACAGAAATGCCCTATGCCTTTGTTTCTTCATCTGTAACATGGAAGTATCAATAGCACCTACCTCGTTGACTGTTGCAAGGATTAAACGAGATGATTCATATGAAGCTCTTGCTGCCGGGCACAGCATTAGCGCTCAGGTTGGCCCCACCCTGCCTCCCTTTTCCCCTTATTTCCTCCCCGGGGTCCTAGGAGTCACTGCTGGCAGTGGAGGTAGGGGCTGGGCAGCTTTCCAAGGAGGAATTTTTGTGTGGGGGGGGAACATCCAGGAAGGCCCAGAAATTCCTGCTTACCTTCTTTCTATCTTAGCCTCTCTAAGGAGCAGTGCTTATGGACTGCAGGTATGATATGTCAAAGAAAACCACAACTAGATAATAGCTAAAGCAGTAAAAATATATGTTATTCGGGACTATTGCAACGGGGGAAAAGAGACTTCAATATAGAACTGGGCTCAGTTCTCAATGTAACAAGAAGTGCGAATTTATAGCCAAGGAGCAGGGTCAGAGGTGTTGGTGGTTGGAAAATTACTAAGAGAAAACATCACAGGTAAGGGGGATTCTGGCTAAACCAACCTAACAGGAGTCTTGCTAAAGTCAGGCCAGGGCAACTAGATATCAACTGGGGGATGGCAGGGGATGAGGAAGCCAGCAGATACCAAGGCTGATCAGATACCCATTTAGCAGGATTCTTACTAAAATAAGGCAATCCAAAGACAGACATGGAAGTCCAACCATGGAGGCCTAGTTGGGAAGAGGATTCAGAGAAGCCTGACCAGAGTTTGGTCAAGGAGAGACTCTGTCACATGAAGGGAAGTGACTGATGAAGAAGGAGAAGAGGAAAGAAGGAGAGAAAGGAAAAGAAGAGAGGGGAACATCACTGTGCTAATTGCAATGAAACTTACAAAGAGGCAAAGGGATTGGTCTCAGCCCTCCGAGAGCTGAGATGGCACACAGAAGTCAGGACTCAGTTTGCCTGGATGCCCCATAGATTCTAGTCCAGGTTCTACCACCAAGGCTCTGAGGATTCAGACAGACCACCTTGTTTCCCTGGGCCTCATCGGCCTCCTCTGCCAAAGAGAGAGAGCCGGTTGTTCCTCTCTGAGGCAGGAGCAGCCTAAACAGAGCAAGGGCCCATTGCTTTGTGTTCTTTGTAACAAAGGTACCACATGAGTCAAGGTACAAATATAGCCAGGTATTCTGCCATTTGATAAAAATATTAGGGCACTGGGTGGGCCTCCTTAATATGGCTGAGCAGACACATCCTAGGGACTCTGGTGGATAAAATAGATAAGCACGTGCCTAGAACAGCAGAGCTGTGGGCTGTGGAGATAGCCGTCGGGATGGGATCTGGGCAGCTGGGCTGCTGGGCCTGTGTCCCCTGCACAAGCCAGACATCTGAAGAAACAGGGAACTTATGTCAGTATCAGTTTTCTGGCAATAACTTTCAGGCTCCTAAAGCAGATCTTTATACCAGCAATAGGGGTTTCTTTGGTAATAAGGTCTCTGCTTTAAGCATTTGTTAAAACCAGATTAATCTGAATAAGAAAATAAGATGACAGAGGCACATCAGTTACTCATCGCTCAGTTAATCCCTGGCAGTGCATGTATCTACCGAGCACCCAGCAAGGTATACGCAGAGCTCGTGCTAAGTTATGTCGACACAGTTCAGGCCTCAGGATACACCCAGGTCTTGTTCACAGGTGTGTTACTTATAGTGGATTCTCAATATACGCTGTTTCCTCTTCTCACGGCGTAGAATCCACAGTGCTTTCACAGATGTCCCCAAGATTGGCAGCCGCCTCCTCCAGGCCCCATGCTAGGTTGCTGTGCATGTTACAGAGCTCCCCGTGCTGCCTTGTGATTTCTCCGTTTATTTGTTGGGCTCCTCCACGAGCCTGCTCCTAGGATAAGCACCACGATCAGTGTTTCACCTTTCTGGACCCGGTGTCTGACGCAATGCCCGGCACGTAGCATATGTGAATAAACATCTATTCATGTCAGACAGTCACAGATCTGTCTTGGATTGTGGGCTTCCTGCTGGCAAGACCATTTCCGTTATTTATATTTGCACCTGAAGACCTTTCCTGGGGCCCAGCACATCATAACTCCTCTTCATTTGATCAGTGACTGATGCATTCAGCAAATTGTGTAAAAAGCTCAGGGAGACTGCCAGCACGTTGGTGGGGCACGGCCCCCAGCAGAGGGAGATGTTGTGTATAAAGCACTTAGCACAGTGCCTGACAATGAATAGGAGCTCATTGAATACTATGATTGTTGCCTTGGGCAAATCACTGAATGCCTTTGAAGCTCAGTTTCCTCATCTATATAATGGGAAAGGAATCCCAGCTGCCACAGGATTGTTGTGGGAATTAAGGGCAGCCACCAGTGAGGCCTGCCTGGCTCCTAGCAGGTTCTAGTCAGTGCCAGCTGAACCTGTCCAGCACCCTTTGACCTACCTAGGGAGCCAGCATCTGGCTAGGGAAGATTCCCAGAGCAGAGCCTCCGCACCTGGTACAGGTGTGTGGGGCACGGACCCCTTGGCCCGGCTGTGGCTAGGCGAGCCTAAGACAGCTAGAGCCTTCAGCTGCTTGCCTCTCATTACAGATGGCAGCCTCTGTTGACTCCAGTGTCCTGGGCGAATATTATCATCTTCCACATGTGCTATGATGTGAAGAGGGTCAGGAGGCTCTGACCTAGAAGACCAGACAGGCCCCTGCTGAGGGAGAAGAGACTTGGCTTCAGCTCTGGTGCTCAGCCTCCTCGTTGCCATGACTCTTTTCTGACTCTTCATGTATTTTTTAAAAATATGTAATTTTCTAAAGGGAAATTAAATTGGATCGTGCATTAATTTGAGGGACTGGAGTCTGATCAGGCTGGAATCAGAAATTGCTGGCTTCTGATCCTTGCTAGGGTTCCAAGCTCCCTGAGCTTGCTAGGGTTCCAAGAGTGATCTGGGGGCCCCTGTGACCTCACTATGACCCCTTCCCATACCCCCACTCCCACATGGAGGGCACTTGTGTCCACTGGCCTCCAGGCAAACTCCTCACCTGCTTGTCTCACCTGGGGAGATAGGGGCTATAGTTGGATTCCCAGGAGCCTGTGGTTACCTCACTCTCGTGGGAGCACCCCACTCCTGCCCACTACTTGACTTTGGAGCCTGAACTGGCTGCTCCTGCCTCTAGCAGTTCTAGATGGCAGACTGTATCTTGGTGGGAGTGAGGGGCACAGGATGCTGGGAGAACATCTTCCTGGATGCTGCCAGAACCAAGCAAGAGAAATCCGAGGGATGGGACAGCAGTAGTGTGTGCAGCAGGGACTGGCCTCTGGCTTCTTCTGCCAGCCTGTGCCCGGCTCCCTGTGCCCTATAGCCACAATGAGTGGGGCAAGGGCTTTAGCTCAGATACTCATGTGAAGCAGGACTGGGTTTGAGGCCCACTTCTACTGTTTATGAGCTGAGTGATTCCAGAGAGGTTATTAAGCAAATGAGGCCTAGTTTCATCATCTGTAAAATGGGGATGATAAGAGAACCTACTACATTGGGCCCTCGTACAGATTAAAAATGTAAAAGGTCCACGTGAAGAAAGTGCTTAGCACGGTGCTTGGCATGCAGTAAGCACTCATGACATGCGCACTGCCCTTATTTTTTATGATTGTCTACTTTGTGCAAGGAACTCTGCCCCTGCTTCCCCTGGAGGGAAGCCACATTGCAATCTGATGGCTCCTTCACACTGTGGCCCTCAGCCTTAAGCCCTACCACTGCTCTATGTTTGGTAGCATTGGGTGCCCAGGGACCCCACCATCATTTTTGCATTTCCCCTAATTCCCCATGCAGGGTGTGGCACACAGAGGCCACAGGCAAAATCAGCTGGGCAGCTGGCCCTGAGGGTGTGAAAACCAGCTCCTCCAGACCCACCAGTGGAGCCGGGGAGTTGGCCTTCCCTCTTTGTCATCACTGTCGGTGAAGATCAGCTGTCCAGGCCCTTCCTTTCACAGAAATGGCTGCTGCTCACTGAGCATCTACCAGGCACCGTGCCCGACACCCCACAAGCATCACCCCTCCAGTCATCACTATGGTCCTGTGATGCAAGATTAACATCATCCCCCATTTCCAGACGAGAACACTGACCCTCCAGAAGGCTGACGTGCCCGGCGTGGCACTGCAAGGAATGCTCTCACTGGTCCTTCATCACCACTCTGCGCTGTCCCTAACTCTTGAAGTCATTTCTGACCCGGGCCAAGGAAACAGGCAGGTGGGGAAAAAGAAATAGAAATGTCTGAGCCTAAATTCTCCAGGCCCCAAACTCTCAAAGAAAAATGCTAATGATACTTACCTATTCCCAGTAAGTAACGTCTCTCCAGGGGAAGTTGAAAATAGAATTTTAGTCATACCATAATGGAGCCAATTGATTTTTTAAAAATAATGAAGGCTTTGTCTTATGTAGCCAACTCTGACTATGGGTGCTACAGGAAAAGAGGAGAGGCAGAGAGTCCATGGCCTAGGGGTGGACGATCCGAAGAGCGCATTTGCCTTGGGAATTCAGTAAGTGGGATTCACCCAGGGACTCAGAAATACCCAAACCTTAAAGATCGACTCACCCTGTCCTTTCATCGCCCACCCCTTAGCCAGTCCCCACAGCTGAGCCCACACCCAGGTAAGGGAGGGACAGACCCCTCACAGCTTTTCTGCGTATTTCTTGAGCCAAGCATTGTCAGGATTTCCTGAGTGTGGGTAGCAAGCAGTAAAAATACATCAACTTTCATCTTGGTGTAGTATTTTCTGGTTTTGTCTAAATTCCTTGACCTCTCTTTTTCCATCTGATTTTCACCATAACACAGGACACAGAGACAATGTATACAAAACACCTAGTCCAGGACCTGCCACACTGTTGCCCCACTCAGTAAGCACTGATCCTCTCTTCTTCCTCTGTCTGAGCAGATGAGGAAAGTAAAGCACAGAGAGGAAGATGACCTGCCAAGACTCACACATCAGGATAGTGATAGAACCAGGACCTTCCCCCATTACACTGTTCAGACCCCTCTCCCCTGATCATCAGTTTTATACAGATAAGATCTAATGAAATGGAACATTGACCTGGTGTCAGGAAGATGCCACAGCAGCCGGGTGTGTGTGTCAGCCTTCCTGAGGCCCTGAAGCTGGAGGGGTGACAGGCAGAGGCTAGAGGGAGTCACATCCTGAGACCAATTATTTTAGCCCAATTATTGGCTTGGCTCCTTTTACAGCTGCCACAGCCCCTCACAGCAAAGACCCAATTTGTTGGACCCCAGGGAGAGTTCCTGCTCTTTGCACACACCCACATAAAAAACCCAGACAGACTCTGGAAAAAAAATATAGCCAAGTTTTGCACTTATTTTATGCTACTTAGTGGAGTGTTCCTTTGCCTTTTGTGTTATTAAAGCCTCGAGCTGACAGCCTGAAACCAGCTCCTTGGAGTCCTGGAGGTTACTCCGTTCTCGCCCTTCACAGAGACGTCTACAAGAAAGACTGGATTCGCTGTTAGCTCCAGGGCTGGAAAGAGACATTTTCCACCTCCCTGGGCTCAGCTAATTGGCTATAGATTCTCACTGAGAAGAGAAGGAATAGTTCTCAGACACCTGCTGTCTCTCCAGCCAGGATGGGAGCTTGGAGAGAAAGTTAGAAGGTGCCAGTCTGTGCCCAGCATCGGCCTTTGGGTGCAACCTTTGGGCAAACTGGAGGGATGGAGCACCAGAATGGGGCTTCTTCCTCTGTGCCCTGTCCTGGGTCACAGTGCAACCAAGAGGCTCTCCTCTCAAGGTATTCGGTCCCAGCATGAGAGCTGCCCTCTTCCAGGTAGGGAAAGGCCCATTCTACAGGACCAAGGACTGGAAGAGACTAGTCACTGGACCAGGGCACCTAACCTAGTCCCAAATCAGAAGAAGGGACATAAAAGCCAGAAGTGAGAAGAGCCACAGTCGCTCACCCAGTTTATTCAAGATAGAGCCACAAATAGATTCAGGAGGCCCCTCACACACTGACCCCTTGGTCATCTCCTGTTCCATGATCCTGGGCAGAAATGGCAGACAAGAGCTGGAGCTGGTCATGCATCTTTTATCTCAGTAATATCCTGTCCACATTGGGTGATGCTGGACCAGGAAGCAGCTTCTTGCTTGAAATTTCTGGTGCTGCCTTTAGAGCCCAGGAGGGGGCTAGGAAAAACCATTTGGTTGGTCCAAATACCAATCAGTGAATGAAGAGGCTTCTAGAGCAGGATGGGCACAGAGAGGAGCCATCAAGAGAAATTTCATCTCCCTGGAGCTGATGAACACCCCCAGAGCAGGTTGGGGACCCTGTCTTGGTCATTTTTGAATCCCCAGCACTCAGCCCAGTGTCTGACATGTAACGACTATCATTTAATATTGTTTTAACCTTTGATCAAATGAGTGGGTTGGTGCATGCATGCAAGCATTTGCAGGCGTGCACACACACGCATACACACACACACACACACACACACGGGAAATGTGACAATTTTTCCAAGTCTAGAAAAATAATCTTCTGGCTGGGCGCGGTGGCTCATGCCTGTAATCCCAGCACTTTGGGAGGCCGAGGCAGGTAGATCATGAGGTCAGGAGATTGAGACCATCCTGGCTAACATGGTGAAACCCCGTTTCTACTAAAAATACAAAAAATTAGCCGGGTGTGGTGGTGGGCGCCTGTAGTCCCAGGTACTCGGAAGGCTGAGGCAGGAGAATGGCATGAACCTGGGAGGCGGAGCTTGCAGTGAGCCAAGATCGCGCCACTGAACTCCAGCCTGGGGGACAGAGCGAGACTCTGTCTCAAAAAAAAAAAAGAAAGAAAAATAATCTTCCGCTGTTGAAACAGAACCGGTAAGGCCAGGACATTGGGTTCTGTATCCCCTTGGGCTCTTACTAATCAAAACACAACTACCACAGCTTCTGCTTTCTGCCTGCACAAAGCTACTTCCCTGGTTTCCACCTCTACCTTCAACAGCGGCCCAGGGCCCACCCATAGCTCCTCCATCTCAACACAGCCCAGCAGCCAGGCTTCCAAAGCTTCTCTCTTCTTTCTCTCCCAGAGCTAATTCCAATCCTTCTCCCTTACACTTCAGGCCTATTTAAAGGGAGACAGGTCACTGGCCCTGGTCTGGCCAGGGGTCTGAGATGATCCAGATTAGGGGTGGAGGATGGGGTCATTCAGGGTGTCCCCTCCCTCTTGCTCCATGGTGCTTGAGAATGAAGGGCAGACACTTAAAGTCAACATACAAGAGGCCTCTTTGGCAAGGCACATCTTGGTTCTCCAAGTCCTTAAACAGGCGCTGCAGAGCACAAGTATTTAATGCTTTTTGCAGAGTTGGCAGTCTCCTCTTGGAGCTGGGGATTTTGTTGGTCCTATTGATGTCCATCTCTAGCCACTTCCCCTCACCAACTTTGTGCATCAGAATTTCCAGAATGAGCTGAGATGAGAAGCTCTAATAACAGAGGAGAGCAAGGCCTGAGAGGGCTTGTGCATGCTCCCTGTTTACCATGAACACTGAGGTATTTATTGTGACCTTTAGTCTGCAGTTGTCTTGACACAGCATTGACCAAGGAAAAGGGTCAAGAAGCAGACCATATTTTGGAATTCAACTAACTCCTTTTCCTCGGAGCAATACCTCTCATAAGCAAGCCCTTGCATTTGTACATCATCATGGCACAGAGGAGGAATGAGTTTGTGGACCAGGAAACCTTTGACCCATGGCATTAGTTTTGGGGGAGGCTTTAACTCTCGCATTCATTGATCTCAGGAAATAAGTGAGTACCTGTCAGTATGAACAAACCGATTACAAAGATGCTGAGAAAATTCAGAGAAATGGAGTGGCAGACGTCAGGCCAAGTGAATCAGAAAAGGTTTTCTGAAAGAGCAGTGTTTTTTTTAAGACTTGAAAGAGGAAAAGGATGAAAGTAACATTTATTGAGTTCCTACTTCTCTATCCCAGGCGTTAGACAAGGTGCATGGACTTTCCTGTTTGTTTCTGTGTGCTACATTCTGGATAATTCCTTCTAATCTACAGTGCACTAATTTTCTCTTCAGCTGTGTTTATTTAGCATTTAATAAACCCATTCGTTGCTTACTTAATTTTAGCTGTGCTTTTTAGTTCTAGAATTTGTATTTGGGTTTTTTCAACATTTCTAGGTCACTTTTTAGTTCCCATTTCTTAAGAAAATGTTCAAGCTTGCCTTTATTATATTTTCTTGAATTGTTAATATGGTGGTCTGTGTCTGATACTTCCAATACAGCCATGCATCACTTAACAATGGACATAAGTTCTGAGAAATGCATTGTTAGGCAATTTTATCCTCATGCAAACATCATACAGTGTACTTGCACAAGCCTAGATGATATAGCCTACTACACTCCAGACTATGTGGTTTAGCCTATTGCTCCTAAGCTACAAACCTGTATAGCATGTTATCTTATTTTATTTTTTTGAGACGGAGTCTTGCTCTGTCGCCCAGGTTGGAATGTAATGGCGCAGTCTAGGCTCACTGCAACGTCTGCTTCCCAGGTTCAAGTGATTCTCCTGCCTCAGGCTCCCAAGTAGCTGGGATTACAGGCCCCCGCCACCACACACAGCTATTTTTTGTATTTTTTGTAGAGATGGGGTTTCACCATGTTGGCCAGGCTGGTCTCAGACCCCTGACCTCATGATCCACCCGCCTTGGCCTCCCAAAGTGCTGGGATTACAGGCGTGAGCCACCACTCCTGGCCATAGCATGTTATCGTACTGAATACTGCAGACAACTGTAACACAATGGTAAGTATTTGTGTATCTCAACCTATCTAAACATAGAAAAGGTACAGTAAAAATACGATACCACAATTTTATAGGACTGCCATCATATATGCAGTTCATCACTGACCAAAATGTCATTATGACATGCATGACTATATGTCACTTCTTTGGGGGTCTCTTTTTATCATCATTTTCTTCTGGTTCTTACTCATGGTGTCTTCTTCCCTTATATGCTTTATCTTTGACTCTGTGCTGGTCAGTGTATTTGAAAATTATTTGAAGGATAATCTGTGGTTTAGAATCAGTATTCTTCCTCCAGAGAGGATTTTAATTTACTGTGCTAGTCACCTGGGAATGTTACCAGTCCAGGACCTCCTTAACCCAAATTCCTTAATCCAAATTCAAGGCTGCAAGTCCATAGAGGGGATATTTACTCTCAATTCGTCTTCACCCTGAAGGTAAAGCACTTCAGGACCCCAACTTTGAGTGAAGTGTAGGGTATTTATTTAGGCTTCCTATCTTAGAGCTGGGTGGGGAAGCTGCAAAAACCACAGCTCATTGTTGTCACTATTGCTTCTGGATTAACTTTTTTTAAAGGCAAGGGTGGGGTTGAATACTGGGCTCACCTCTTTGAGTTCTCACTTCCTCAGAGATTATGGCCCATGATTCCTTATTACTTCGTTATGTCTTTGATGTTTTTAAGAAAATGTTTGTTATATTTCATCCAGCATTTTAAATTATCCTCAGCAGAAGGGTTTATTCAAACTGCTTAGTTTTACATTACTGGAAGTGGATATCCCTTCTCTCATTTTCCTCACAATAACCATGTGAGATGAGTAAATATAAATATTCCCATTTACAGATGAGAAAACAATGGTTAAAAATTTTAACCCAATCAAATGGTCCCCAGGTTGAGGACCACGATTTTTCTGAGCCCAAAGCCCATAGCGTTCCCATTATGCCATGCTTGGGAATGGAAAAGAGGAGCATAAAAGCCATTTAAAGTACATGGGTGAGAGTTCAGAGGAGAATGGGAGGGCCGGGCCGTGAGGGCCACGAGCATGTCCACGATAAGCAGGGCTTCCGCATCAACAGGAGTGTCCCCAGGGGAAACAGCAGGCCAGGCTGTGCAGACACTCCCCACTAGTGTAGAAGGCCTCTGTTGAAAAAGATGTGCCCCCCTTTGAGTGACCCCGTTCTTTGGGAGACAGATGTCCCCTGGAGCTGCAGCACACAGGAGGCAGGTGAGGACCCAGCATCTGGGAGTCAGTGTCGTAGCAGGGGTGCTCCTCAGAGCAGAGGGTGCCTGGTGGGAGCCGTGAGATGTCGCTTGGTGAAAAGGCCCCTGGGGAAGGCCAGACAGGATTTCGGATTTGGCCTGAGGGGAACCACAGTGTTCCTCTGGCTCACCTCATGTTCTTTTCTCTCCTCTTCCTGCCCTCCTGTCCCCGTCCTGCCACCAGAAAGTAACCCAGCAGCTGCTCCAGGATACCTTGGTCCCAGACCTCTGAGCCTCTGTTTTCATTCTGTCCTTCTGTAATTACTTGTCCCCCACATGCAGGTTGCTGCCCTGCTCTGCAGCCGCGGGGAATTTTCACACCGTCCACACAGGTGGCTCATTGAATTCTCCTTAGGCGCTCCCCTAGCCACATGGGCCAGCGGCAGACTCCAGCTCTCCATGTCCCCCCGCTCCTCGCTTGACTCTTGTTCTCAAGGAGTTTGGTTTTTCCCTAAAGTTTAAGGTCTCTGCTTAGCCATGCTCTTTAAAAGAGGTTGACTTACATTCCCCTAGGAATTTCCTTTTGGACTTGATAACATTTCTAAGATTAATTTTCATACTGTCCACACAGGAGGCCATTGAAATGCACAGGGTATGTGTCAGTCTGACTGTGAGGGGCTCAGGAAGGAACCTACCAACTGGGAGACAGAGAGGGCAGACTGGAAAGTGCAGCCAGACTGAGGCAAGGGTGAGGGGACAAGGCTGGCCCAGGTGCCCACCCAGGTTGTGGCATCCAGGTTGTGGCGGTGGATCTCTGGCCAGACTGGAAGAGTTCCTCCCAACAGTGTCCCCACGTTGCCCTGTCTGGTGGACTGGGCTGAGATGTATGTGTTCTTTTCTTGAGGATTTTCTTACCTTTTTTTTTCCCCCTGTTGGGGTTGATATTCCATTGAGACTAATAGTCTGTTGAGTCATTTTAAAGGGGCCCTGTGACAAAGAGAAAGGAAATAAATAAACCCTGCCTGTCAGCTTAGGCCGCCCTTTCCTCCATGCCACCTGGCTCTGCTTTGTAGCCAAGAAGTCCCCTGCCCTTTATGTGATCCACCCGCCACCCTGCAGCTGGGAGGATCTCCCTGTGCTTCACCCGTGCTGTCAGCCACTCACACGGGCCCTCAGGGGAGCATGGGACAGGGAGGTGGGGAAGGCGGTGGCGCCTCCTGTGCTGTCTGTCCTGCATGCAGCATCCGCCCTCACTGAAGGGCAGCAGTCAAGGGCCTAGGCGCCTGAGGCAGACCGCCCGGGCACCAACTTCAGCTGTACTGTTAATTAACGCTATGATTTGGCAATTATTATTTAACCTCTTCAAGCCTTAGTCTCCTAATATGCAAAATGGGGATAATTATAGAACCCATCTCCCTATCTGGGGTTGTTTGGAGAATTAAATAAACTAACAGTCACAAAATACTGGGACCAGTGCCTGGCACATAGTAAGCATTCATCCATTGTGACTTCTCATGCTCTCCCCAGCAGTGGAGCAGGGCACCTTCACTCCAGCCTCTTCCCTGGGGGTCAGCTAGATTTCCCACAGAGGCTACAGGCAGGGCTGCTGAGGAAGCCTTGCGGAGCCCTGCAAGTGACCTCAGCATGTTCCCTTCCCTGCACACTGCAGCTAGGTCAGACCCAAAACACAGAAGGTTAATTGAAGGGCAGAGAGCAGAAATGTTGTAAAGGGAGGGTTCAGAGCAAACATAAAATGCGTGCAGTCGCAACAGGGTGTGGGGAAGGCTGACAGATGGGTCCCTGCTAGCCCTGCAGCAACCCCTAAGACCACCTGCCTCTTTCCTGCCTGATTAGAACCTAAATTAAACTAAATATTGACCAACAAGGAGAGCATGCTGCCAGGGCTAAAGAAAGGCTCTGATTGCCAAGGAAACAGCAGAGTCCCTGGCCATAGCATTACCCTGTCACCTTGGCGGAAGCCAGGGAGGAGCTGGGCAGCAGCAGGGGTTGGGGGACGGAAAAGGAGTCAATGCCAAGGACATGAGGCATGTGAAAGAAGGCCTCGGTCCAAGGGGAAGGGCTGGGCAGCTCGGTCTAGTGGCCATTGATGCCTGCCCTTCTATAAGCGCTATTATAAAAAGGATGTAAAGTAGCATAAGACACAGCCCTGCCCTCAAGAAGCAAGAATCTAGTTGGCAAGATGAGCCCCACATAAAGAAAAGTTAAAGAAGGCAGGAGGGATTTTGCAGGACTGTTTGTCACATGCGCAAAATGAGTAGTGGCCTCAGAAGGGAGTTGGAGTCGATGGTTCTTCTTTTAACGAAGTTTTTTTTTCTAACTTTTTAATTATGGAAAATTTCAAATGTATACAAAACCGGAGAGGGTGGTGAATGAAAGCCCATGCACCCACCCACCTGGCTTCAGCACACTGCACATCCTATTTCTCACTTGCCTTTCATTTTTTCCCAGAGTATTTTAAAGAAAAGTCCACATACGTGTCCTTTCACCCATAAATACTTCAGTATGCATGGAGCAGATGATGGAGCACCATCTCCGACCTGGTGTGAGTGTATGTGTGATGGTGAATATCAGAGGGTTTCTCTGACGGGGTGAGGAGAAAGTGATGTGTCCATGTGGGGGCTTGGTGTCTGTGAGGAATTTTACACAAACACACACACAACCAGCAGCCCTAAGGACCACCTCTAATCACCCCAAAACTGATCCTAGCATATCTCAGCACAGACAAGGCTGGCTGGAACAGCTAAGACATGGGGATCTGAGAGAGGCAGAGACTGAAAGAGAATCAGAGAAGCATCCATGTACTTATAAAACATGTAATGGAACCCTACAGCATGGCAGGTGCTGTGCGAGGCTGTGGAGAGGCAGAGGTGTCCCAGGCAAACGAGGCCTCCACTGTCACCAGCTCACATGGGGTGGGGGCGGGTAAGGCTAGGGTGCTAGGGTGTCACACCAGAGGGCATCTCACCTGGAACTAGAGGGCAGGAAACAGAGAGAAAAAAGGCAAAGGCTCAAAGAACCAGAGACTTAAAGATAGAGGCCGAAGGGGCCCTGGCTCCTGTCCTTCGCAGGCAGGTGTCCAGACCAGGCCCCTGCTGAGGACTGCAGGAGGAGCCTCCTCACCCCACACAGCCTCAGGGAGTCAGGTGAGCCAGTGTACAGCACGCAGCTCCATTTCTGCCTTCCAAAGCAGAAGAAATACTTCAGGAGAATGTTTGATGCTCAGTCAAATTTACTGAGCTGGGTCAAACCAAACCCAGAAGCATGGAGCCCAGAGCTGGAAGCTTGCAAGATGTGAAAGGGCTCTTCAGGGTTTTCCACAGCTCAGTTGAAACATTCAATTGTCCCTAGGCCCTGAGCAGGATTTTAAGTACCCAACATGAGGTTAGAGGCCATAGTTAAGTTGGGGACCCATTTAGTCCTGCTACAGGCTCAATGTGACATTCCTACTATGTGCCTAGTACTGCACCGGGCCTGCTCTCATGCAGCTTACCATCTGGTGGGTAGAGAGACATGAAACAAGCATCTTGTCAGTGCTGCACTGTGGGGTCTGTGAGTGCATATTAACCATTCCCTGTAGGGAGACATTATTCTCAATTTTACAGCTGAAGGATCTAAAGCTTAGAGATCTAAGTCGCTGCCCCGAAGTCACACAACTAGAGAGAGGAAGATGCAGACTTGCAGGCCAGGGACTTCTGACTCCAAGGCCTACGTTCTTTGCATGACATTGTCTTGTACCCAGCTTAGGGCCTGCCAGAGCGGGGGCAGGCAAGTGTGAAACAGCCACTGGCAGTGCAGCCAAATGAGATGAGGAGCAGGCGGTGCTTTCAGAGCTTGGAGGAAGGCTGTGGTGTTGACAGAGGGACAGATGTACTCTGGAGTTCCCAATGGCAGAAGTGGCACTCACAGGTGCAAGTTACAGGAAAGCCGATGATGTGAGCAGCCCAACCATGGCCCAAGTTGTTTCATGCAGAAGAACTAAGCACTGTCTGCCACTGCACAGATCATGAAATGCTTTTACAGACTTGATTTTTATAACAACCCTGTGAGGTAGTTTATTGCTATTCCATTGTTCAGATGAGTCAACTGAGGCCCAGGAAGTTGTGCCTGCTTGAGGTCTCTCAGCTGGGTAGTGGGAGAGCAAGGACTTCTGCACAGGTCTGTCTGGCTCCAAAGCCTGTGCCTGGCAAGTTCACCAGTAGGCTGAAAGGCCGCCGTGGAGAGGATTCCTGTGCCACGTGGGTGTAGGTCCTGCCACCCTGTACAATCCTTCAAGACCTGTAAGAGTCTGAGACTTAATGGAAGAGGGATAACTTCTGGTTCTCGGAGGATGAGGATGGGTGAAAAAGGGAAGAGAGGATGCCCAAGATGGAGGGCAGCACAGCGTGGGGAATGCCAGATCAGATTTGCAAAGCGCAGTTGGAGCAACCTGGATTTACCCTATGAGCAGTGGAGAGCAGAGTGCTCTGAAGAGTGGGGGACACCTGGTGGCCATATATTGGGTCAATTGGCCAAACCGCTAAGCACTGAATCTGGCCTGGCCTGGGGCTAAGACTCCTCTGGTCACTACCGCTACCGTTTTGCCTCTTGCCTACTTCTACCTCCCACCTGTCACTACCTCAACCACGTCCCAGCTGGAGCCACAGAAGGCAGAATCAGGGGTGTGCGAGGAGAGGCAGGACTGAACCTCAGGGAAGACTCTGGCCATAAGAGTTTGTCTGGTTGACCAGCCCAGCTTCTGTGTCCTAGCTCCCTGTCACCTCTGTGGACTTCCACTTTGACGCTTCACCACCTCTAGCTGTGCTATTTTTGGGAGCTACGTCAGGGCATAAAGGTGTCTGACTCTGGCCAATGCTGCCTGTGCTGCACAGACTGCATGGAGCCCTTCCCACCTTCCCGCTTTCTCCCAGCATCCAGCCCTCCCTTCTGCCTTACACGCCCACTTTGGCACTAACCAGGGCTAGTCATGGCAGTTGCTCTACTGTGCAGTTGAGGCAGCTCATCCCTTTCTGAGGAATGTGTGCTAGCCTAGGGTGGCAGAAGGCTGAGAAGCAGCCCCGGGGAGAAGGCTTTTGTGTGAACATACGGAGAAAGAGAAACAGGGTACAGGCCTGAGGGACAAGGGCTCCACCGCTTGACCAGACACATGTGCTGCTCCTCATGTCTCTTTCTTGTGAACCCTGACTCTCAAGGCCTGGAGAGATAAATTAGAAGTTTCCTGGGATCTGAGATTGGGAAGAATGGACTGAGCAAGGCCAAGTCTCTGTAAAAGCATGCCTCTCATAATTGGGCTTGGGCTTTCTACCTGCCAGCATGGCTCCCAGCCCCAACCAGGGATGCCCCAGGTCAGGGCGTGTGCTCTCTCCAGAGCTGAGGGGCTGGCTCATCACTAGGCAGGGGGCAAGTGGCTTCACAGCCTCTTGAGCTTCAGCCCTTCTACTTTTCCCCTCCAAAGTACAAATGTCCTTGTAGACCACACTCTGAGCCAATGCATCCATAGGGCAGGGAACAACTGACTGGACATTTAGGAAGCATCACCACAAATAACCATATCCCAATTTTCTTTTTTTTTTTTTTTTTTAAATTTATTTTTTTATTGATAATTCTTGGGTGTTTCTCACAGAGGGGGATTTGGCAGGGTCATGGGACAATAGTGGAGGGAAGGTCAGCAGATAAACAAGTGAACAAAGGTCTCTGGTTTTCCTAGGCAGAGGACCCTGCGGCCTTCCGCAGTGTTTGTGTCCCTGATTACTTGAGATTAGGGATTGGTGATGACTCTTAACGAGCATGCTGCCTTCAAGCATCTGTTTAACAAAGCACATCTTGCACCGCCCTTAATCCATTTAACCCTGAGTGGACACAGCACATGTTTCAGAGAGCACAGGGTTGGGGGTAAGGTCACAGATCAACAGGATCCCAAGGCAGAGGAATTTTTCTTAGTGCAGAACAAAATGAAAAGTCTCCCATGTCTACTTCTTTCTACACAGACACGGCAACCATCCGATTTCTCAATCTTTTCCCCACCTTTCCTGCCTTTCTATTCCACAAAGCCGCCATTATCATCCTGGCCCGTTCTCAATGAGCTGTTGGGCACACCTCCCAGACGGGGTGGTGGCCGGGCAGAGGGGCTCCTCACTTCCCAGTAGGGGCGGCCGGGCAGAGGCGCCCCTCACCTCCCGGACGGGGCGGCTGGCCAGGCGGGGGGGCCCAATTTTCATTTTAGTATCTTCCTATTGACAGGAGACCGGTAGTGAAGTTGATGACATCTCCTTTCCTGGTTTTTATCCCACAGGTGGCTGGCTAGCATTTGCTCTTCCATCTCCGTCTCGTTTTAACACTGGTTTGCAGTCTGCTCACACTCTCTGTATTCATCCATGTCAGTGTGTTTTTCCTAGGAGCTGTGCAGGCTAAAGGAATTATGTCTCTACAAGAACCAGACTTCATTGCGCTCTGCGATGGGCTACAGTGATCACCTCTTTTGGTGACAGGGCTGGTGCAGGCAGCTCTCTGGTCTTTATTGCCCTCCTTCTTGTCTTAATAGGAATAGACTCAGGTACAAGAACTTCTTGGGCCAAGTGACAACAGGAGGGTTCCCAAGAATTAGGTTGGGAAGAGGACATCCACTTTAGAAGATGCCCAATAAGAATAACCAGTTGGTTTAAGGCATTATACTCAGTAATAATGTTAACATTTAACTCTTTCACTTCTAGAAACTCCATTTGTTTCTTTTTCACATCTGCATTGTGATTCCTGATAGTGTTCTGTTGCTTGCTAATCTTTGTGATTTTATGCTTTATTTTTAGAAAACATTTCATACATGACTGTTCCGTATCTATCAATTCTAGTACCTGAAGTGTTTGGGGAGGGTCTAAATCTATTGCTTGTTTGTTTGGTTGACTCACTCTTGGTTGCTTGCTTTTTATGATTTATTTTACTTGATCTTAATCTATGGGAATCCTGAAGCCCTAGGTTAAGAATGTTTACCTCTGGACAGGATTTAAATATGGTTTGCTCATAAGTCAGGTAGTACTACCATCTTGGGATGACTTCAGCCCATTTCGAGGCCCAACTTAAAGCTCTCTCTGTTTGCTTTTAGCCCAAGGTTCCATCTCCCAGTGACAAATCAGGGATCACCTGGTTACGGTTGGTGTATACCTCAAAGCAAATGTTCCTCCCTCTGCTTACTGCTGACTCCTCCCAGCTGTGATGTGGCCTTAGATTTGTTCCTTTTTATTGGAGGTGAGATAGATTCCCCTACTTCAAGTGAATCATACAATGCATCAAAAAGTAGACTTTATTCAGGATAAAAGTGTTTTGCAGCAGAAAGGCCCTCTGATGATCCAGTATGCCGAGTCAGCAGTTCCACCGATAATCTTTTCATAATTCATTCACTCATTCAACAGATGTCTTGAGTGCCCATCCTGTGCCAGGCATGGTTCTAGGTACCAAGGATACAGCCTCTCTTCTCCTGGAGCTTGCAGTTTGATTCATGAAGTCCATCCCAGAAGCCAGTCCAGTCCATGGAACACACACCAGGGGGATTGCTTTCCTTCTCATTCACTCATGAACAATTGAGTCCCTACTTGGCATCGTGCAGCATGTCAGGCACCAGGGATCCAGAGATAGAAAGCCCTGTCCTCAGATTGCTCTTATTTCAATAGGGGAAATAGACATTTTGGGGAGGTATGTCAGGGCATAAAGGAGTAAGTGCTCCAACCAAGGTGGAAAGACAGGAATAGGTAATACTCTGCCTGGGGAAGTCAGGGAAAGCCCAGGGAGGTGACATTTGAACAGCATCTGGAAAGATGAGTCTGAGTTACCTAGCAAAGAGAGAGAGAGAGGGCCATTCCCAGTTGAGAGAAAGGCCTGGTTAGAAGCTTGGAGTCATGGAGGAGCCCAGTGCATATGGGAGCACAGATGCATACAGTGTGGCAGAAGCATGTGACAATAGAAAGAAGGGAAGGGTGGGAGCTTCGCTAGAGATGGAAGGGGCTGCCCCACTTCCCAAGCCTGAGCCTCACCCCAAGATTCTCCCCTGCACCCTCACAGTGAGTCAGTTACTAAGCCCAACAGAAAAGGACGAATAGGTACAATAAGTACCTATCTGTCCTCTCTTTCCCATCCCCAGTGTCATTGCCTTGGCTCAGGCCTTTCCTGCCTGGACTGATGCAGTAGCCTGCTAACTGGTTTCCCTGTCTCTACTTTCATCCCCATCCAATACATCCACCACACTGCTTTCAAGGTGATCTTTCAAAGATGAATATTTTTTCCTATCATTTAAAATCCTTCACTGGAAATCTGCTGATTTCAGGAAGAAGTTCAAATTCCTGGATTAACCCAGAAGAATCTTCATGTGACTACCCCTCCAGCCTCATCTCCCACCTACCCTTTACTCCAGCCAGTAATTTCTCATAGTTCTTCCTTCACAGCTCAGAAGTCAGCCAGTGCTTCTGCCTCCAAGAGATCCTCTGACCACCCTCCAGTTTGATTTAGAGGCCCCTCCTTTGTGCTCACACAGGACCCTGCATACATCCTTCTTGTAGTGTTGTGACATTGGACCATCATCAGGATTTATTTGTCTGTCTTCCCTATAAACATCATAAGCTCCTTGAGGGCAGAGGACATACCTATCTATTTAGCTTTGTATTCCCAGTCCTAACAAACACCCAGCAGATGTTTGATGAGTTCATCAATCCAGGAGGATGGGGGGGAAAGTACTGGCCAGTGCGAGGGGCTATGGGTAGGTGGAGTAGACAGTGCGCAGGGAATCCCTCTGGATGAACAGGCAGGATCTCCCACCCGATGTCTGACTTTGTCTGTTTCCTCATGTACGCATGACTGGTCTGAAGCTGGTTGCTATGACCCCTTTCCGCTGACATGCTATGAGTCTACAGATCTGTGACCTATGGAAAGAGGATGATTTAAAGCAGTAGTCCCCAGATCACCAACATCAGTGATGCCTAGGAACTTAGAATGCAGATTCTCACATCTCACTCCAGAGCTACAGGATCAGAAATCTGAGATTGGGGCCCAGCAATCTATGTTTTATCGAGCCTTCCAGGCAATTCTGATGCACACTAAAGTTTGAGAACCACTGGTTTAGAAGAACAGCTCTGTCACCCAGGACAGCCATTGAGGTGGCAAGACAAGATTATTGCCACAGGCCAACAGTAGTAAAGTGATCTTGGCCAGGAGCCTGCCGCTGTGACTGGCTGTGACTCTACAAGCCACAGCAAACCACAGCAATGATCTGGAAGGGTCGCCCACCCCTTTTCGCAGGACTCTCTGCTGGCAGAGCTTAGGAAACATCTCCCAGAGAACCTCCCAGCAGGGTTTCTAGGTTCATGCCACTTTGAAAGTTTCTCCATTGTCTCAAGGCTGTTCTTTTGTTTTTTATTTAACTTTAAGTTCAGGGGTACAAGTGCAGGTTTGTAAACTTGTGTCACCCAGGTATTAAGCCTAGTACTCATTAGTTATTTTTCCTGATCCTCTCCCTCCTCCACCCTCCAATAGTTCCCAGTGTGTGCTGTTCCCCTCTATGTGTCCATGTGTTCTCATCATTTAGTTCCCACTTAAAAGTGAGAACAGGCAGTATTTGGTTCTCTCTTCCTGACTTAGTTTGCTAAGGAAAATGGCCTCCAGCTCCATCCATGTTCCTGCAGAGGACATGGTCTTATTCTTTTCTATGGCTGTATAGTATTCCATGATGTATATGTGCCACATTTTTTTTTTGGTCTGGTCTACCATTGATAGGCATTTAGGTTGATTCCATGTCTTTGCTATTGTGAATAGTGCTGCAATGAACATTCACATGCATGTGTCTTTATGATATGGAAGACAACCTAGGCAATACCACTCCGGACATAGGAACAAGCAAAGATTTCATGACAAAGATGCCGAAAGTAATTGCAACGAAAGCAAAAATTGACAAATGGGATCTAATTACACTAAAGAGCTTCTACACAGCAAAAGAAACTGCCGACAGAGTGAACAGACAACCTACAGAATGGGAAAAAAATGTTTGCAAACTATGCAATCCGACAAAGGTTTAATATCTAGCATCTATAAGGAACTTAAACAAGTCAACAAGCAAAAAAGCGAATAACCCCATTAAAAAGTGGGCAAAGGACATGAACAGACACTTTTCAAAAGAAATACATGCGGCCAACAATCATAGGAAAAAAAGTTCAACATCATTGATCATTTGAGAAATATAAATCAAAATCTCAGTGAGATACCAGCTCACACCAGTTAGAATGGCTATTATTAAAAAGTCAGAAAATAATAGATGCTGGTGAGGTTGTGGAGAAAAAGGAACACTTATACACTGTTGGTGGGAGTGTAAATTAGTTCAACCATTGTGGAAGACAGTGTGGCAATTCCTCAAAGACCTAAAAACAGAAATACCATTCGACCCAGTAATCCCATTACTGGATAAATACCCAAAGGATTATAAATCGTTCTGTCACAAAGAGGCTGTTCTTTCTCATGTGGATTAGCCAGGTCTTCAGCTCATTCCTCTCCTCCTCCAGCGAGAAAGCAGAACGCTCTGAAGTCAGACAAGCCTGATGTGGAGCACTGGCTTGAATGAGCCGATGATCTTGAGCACGTTACTTAACTTCTCTGAGCTTCAGTTTCCTAATCTCAAAAATGGGGCTAATAGTACCTTGTAAGTTTATGATAATTAAATGGCCCATACTTATGCTAAATAAAAATAAATTATTACTGAATTGCCACTGTGATTATTATTAGATTACCTTGCTCTGAGCCTCATCTGTCCCGTCTGGGTCCACCCCTAGGTGGTGTCTTCAGAGGAACTTCAAGATTCCTAAAAGCCATCCTATCTTTTTGGTTCCTGGCTCACTGCTGGGGCTCACTTTGCAGGTGAGCCAAGGAGAGTGCCCAGCTGCAGAGACACGAGCAGAAGTGTGTGTTGGGGGTAGGGGGTGCATGTGGTAGAAAGGAGAGGTGATATGGGGTTTCATTTCATTTCCCAAGTCTCCCACCTTGAGACTTGACAACATAGGGCTAAAGTGTTTTTGTAGAATTGTGGCTAGGCTGATGCCCTAGATCTGGTCGCCTCTGAAGTGTTCTCCTCCCTTGCTCTCTACCAGGACTGCTGCCTTCCATGTTGGCTCCCCAGAAACCATAGCTTTGGGCCAGATAACTAGGAGCTATGCTTTGACTTTGGAATCAAAGGGACCTGGTCTGTGCCCCAGTTCTGCAGCTGGCTAGCCAAGTGACCTTGGGCGTATTACTTACCACTCTGTGCCTCAGTTTCCTCATCTGCAAAATGGGGATAATAATAGTGTCTACTCATGGGAGGGGATTTGGACATGAAAAGAGGCTGCACAGGTGTTTGTCACAGGATGAACTCAGCCCTGGCTGGTATTTTTGGTGTCTTCCATGATGGTCTACTGTTGTCTTTTGCCCCCGGACAAGGAGGAAGCCACAGAGGTCTGAGTCCCTGGAACACACTATGGTGGCCCAGTCTGCTCTAAGAACTCTCCTCACCCTGGTCCCACCCAACAGGACAGCTTCTGTGCCCCATCCCCATCCCCAACACTGAGGCTCTAGGAAGCCAAGTTCAGGGGCATCCCAGTGGAGAAGATAGGTGCAGCAGTGGGTGTGGCAGTGAGGCTGAGACATCATCCTTGCAGAAACTCATTGAGGATGTGTCTCCCTGGTTGAGCTCCCAGCAGCTGGGCCCTAACCGGCCAGTGCCCTGGTCTCCAGTAAAGAATGGACTCCCCACCACACAGGCAGCCGTGCCCCCACCTGAGAGGCAGGCAAAACTGGATGGGGGAGCTTGGCTTGCACTTATCTCTTGGCACCTGGAGGAAGAAATGAAGGGAGCAATTAATTGTACAAGTCAGGTGGTTTGTGCAGCTTAAGTTCAGATAAAAAGTTTAATTATCCCTAAGCCCTAATACAAATTAATTAGCCTTCCATATTAGGAGGTTAAGCTTCCTTGCTTTTGCCTCAGTCCAGACATTACTGTGGATTACTGAGGATGTGCTGGGAGAGAGAGAGCAACCAAAGCAGAGTCCCTGAGCCCCACCTGCTCAGGGCGACAGCTGCCTCCACACTGGCCCCAGATAGGGTTTGAGTGTGAGTCCTAACTCTGGGCTGGGCACCACAGCTCACCTGTACCTGGGATGTCACCTCCAGGAAGGGCTTTCTCGTCCCTTACTATCCCTACCCACAAAGCCAGGGTAGAGAGAAGAGGAGAGTCGTTATTTGCATGAGCAGAGGAAGACAAAAAGGAAATAACGCTTTGGGTTTAAATTTTTTTTTTCTAAGCCATGACTGTTTCTGCTTTTTCTTTTCTTACCCTTTCTTTCTTCAAAATTCCACAGAGAAAATAGGCCATAAATGCCATTAGGACTCAGAGAATCACCATTAGCTCCCCTACTTCAGTCTTCTGCCCAGGTGGGCCCCAGGAGGGACCATGGGATAAAGGGCCCTGCACACCACGGTCATTACACTCATAATTAGCTGCCATTTAATGAGTGTTTACTGTGTAATAGGCATGTAGTCTTTGCAACAACATTGAGTTAATTTACTCATTAACTCATACATTCAACAAACATTTATTGAAGTGCTTTGAGCAGGGGAAATGACATGCTTTGATTTGCATTTTAAGAATATGCTTCTGGCCGGGCGCGGTGGCTCACGCCTGTAATCCCAGCACTTTGGGAGGCTGAGGCGGGCAGATCACGAGGTCAAGAGATCGAGACCATCCTGACTAACACAGTGAAACCCCATCTCTACTAAAAAAATACAAAAAATTAGCCAGGCGTGGTGATGGACACCTGTAGTCCCAGCTACTTGGGAGGCTGAGGCAGGAGAATGGCATGAACCCAGGAGGCAGAGGTTGCAGTGAGCCGAGATCGCACCACTGCACTCCAGCCTGGAAAACAGAGCGAGACTCTGTCTCAAAAAAAAAAAAAAAAAGAATATGCTTCTGGCTGGGTGTGATTGCTCACACCTGCAATCCCAGTGCTTTGAGAGGCCAAAATAGAAGGATCACTTGAGGGCAGGAGTTCTAGACCAGCCTGGGCAACATAGTGAAACCCACCTCTACAAAAAGTAAATCAGCTGGGCATGGTGGCAACCACGTGCAGTCCTTGCTACTCAGGAGGCTGAGGTGGGAGGATCACTTGAGCTCAAAAATTGGTATTATTTTATATATAAAATAATATATAATTACATATCTATAATTATAATATATATAATTTTATATATATAAAGGGAACAAAAGTAGAAGTGAGAATTAATTCTGGTTAAGAGACTTTTGCAGAAGTCCAGTTTAGAAAGTATGGTGGTCTGGACCCTGGGTTTATTTAATAAACACTTATAAATAAAGCTCTTCCTATATGCCAGGTTGAGCTTTCACAAAAAGTAACTCATGCAATCCCTCACAACAACCCTGTGACGTAGGTACTATTAATTGATCAATGCCAGGAAACTGAAGACAGAGGATTTAAGTATCATGGCCAAGGTCACCCAGCTAACAAGTGGCAGAGCCAGGATTTGCCCTGGGTAGCCTGACACTCAGAGACCACGCTTTTAACCACTGTGCTGTGCTGCTGCTACTGAGCGGAGGTGGAGAGAAGGGGCTAAGCTCCCGCTGACTCCTCACAGCCCTTTTCCACAGCCATCCTCTCTCTAGCCCCACCCTCACTTCCCCTTCTGTCCTTCCCTGACCCTGGGAGGAGCAGGATATGACGGAAAGAGCAGAGGCATGAAAACATCTCTGCTCTAACCCCAGTTGTTCTGCCTCTGACTACCTGAGTGACCTTGAACAAGTTCCTGTCCTCTCTGGACTTTCCCTCCTCATCCCTAACGTGGGTTAACCCTACCTGATAGGGTGGGTTACTGTGAGACCCACTAATGCAGATAAGTTCCTAGCACAGGCTCTGGTACATTGTTCCTTTCCATTCTTCCATTCCCCAACTCCTCTTCTTCGGGCCAAACGTCCCCATTCCTTTGATTTCCTTGAGAGGAATTCCAGACAGTTCACCATCCCAGCCTCCCTTCTCTAGACATGATCCAGTTAATCAGTGTCCTATAGACTATATAGTGCCTGGAACTCGACACAGCAGCCTAGAAATGGTCTGCATCTAGGAGCAGAGTACGACACCCACTCCCTTTTTCCAGACACTGCACTCCCATCAATCCAGCCAAGGATGGCATTAGGTTTTTAACAGCCTCTTTATACTGGTGGATGATGTTGAAGTTAAATTCCCCGGTGATTTTTAACAGAGACTCTTTTTAAACCAGGTCCTTCCCATCAGCTATACGTCATTGATTATTTGAATAAAAATGCTGGTGTTCTCATTTATCTTTGTTAAAATTAATCTGGTTGGTTTCACCCATAATTACAACCTGTTAAAATCCTTTTGACTCCTAAAGACCTCAATTCATAGTAGCTCTGTCATTTAGAAATGTGAGGAACTTACTTTCAAACAATCACCAGTAGCAGCCTCATCACCATCGCTACCACAGGATCTAAATGAAAAAAGGTTAAACGAAAACAGTAATTTGTTAGTGAGCAGAGTCAAAGGAAGGATGGAACAGCTAAGCGACAGGAAAGTCGGGGGTACAGCTGGTCCTCGGTAAGAATTAGAACAGGAACTCCAGCTCCATCACTGTCTTTTCCATCACGCATCTCCTGCTAGTGCCAGCCTTCTTCCTCCCCGACTGCAATCCCGCTTTTCCCCATGGCAGACAGCATGGCTGCCAACAGCTCCAGAGCTTTGCTTGTTGCAGCATCGGCTTCTTTGAAAGAGACTGATCTGGTCCCTAACGTAAAAGTCCAAGGAAGGGGAAAAGATGTTCAACATCATCAGCCATCAGAAAAATCCAAATCAAAACCACAATGAGATAACACCCACCAGGATAGCTATAAAAAGACGGACAATAACAAGTGTTGTCTCAGATAAGGAGAAATTGGACCCCTCATTCATTGCTGGTGGGAATGTAAAATGGCACCGCCACTCTGGAAAACATTTTGGCAGTTCCTCAAACTATTCAACATAGTTACCGTATGACTCCTAGAGAAATGAAAACGTGTCCACACAAAAACTTGTACACAAATGTTCATAGCAGCATTATTCAGAATAACTCAAATGTGGGAACAACCCAAATGTCATCAACTGATGAGTGAATTAACAAAATGTGGTCTACCCAGACAGTGGAATGTTATTCAGCCATAAAAAGGAATGGAGTACTGATACATTCTACAACATGGGTGAACCTTGAAAACACAGTCAGTGAAAGAAGTCAGACATGAGAAGCCACATATATGGTTCCATTCACATGAATTGTCCAAAACGGGGACATCTATAGAGACGGAAAGTAGATTCGTGGTTGCCTAAGTCTGAGAGGTGGGGTGTGGAATGATCACTGACTGCTAATGGGTACACATTTCTTTTAGGGGTTATGAAGTGCTCTAAAATTAAACTGCGGTGATGTGAGCGCAACTCTCTAAATACATTAAAAACCATTGAAATGCATAATTTAAATGGTTGGATTTTATGGTATGTAAATTGTGTCTCAGTAAAGCTTTTAAAAAATAAATCCAGGAAAGGAAGTCATTGGTTCAGCTTGGGTGAGATGCCCTATTTTGAACTCACCAGCTGTGGCAAGTGGGCATTGGGGCATGGGAAATATGGCAGCTTATCTGGACAGTTTACATCATCATGGGAAAGAGGGACACAGTTCCTATTGGGGTGTCAGCAGACAAAATAGGTGCCCACTACACTGGCTAATTCTAGACAATTTACAGTTATTCAAACACTGAATTAAGTGTTTCTTTTGAATTATCTCATTAATTATCGCAACAACCCTGGGGATATAAAACCCATTTTATAAGTGATAGAGGCTCAGGTTAAATAAATGCCCCAGGGTCACTTAACTAGTTGGTAACTAATGTAAGCTAGGGTTCAAACCCAGGTTGGACTCCAGTGTCCTCTCTTAATTATTAGGCCATGCTGCCTCCCTCTGGCTTTTATAAGTTGTTGAAAAATTCCGGAACATACCACTGGAGACCTAACTTGAGATCCATTCTTTATTTCATTTACTTATTTACTTTTTCATTAAAGGAGACATTTTAACATGAAAACCATGAACTTCCTTTGCTGGCATAGGACCATAGTTGGTAATCTTTGAGAAGTGCCAGAAGACTGGAGATGGTTGTGCAAACCCTGCTAACCACACTGCTATCCACACCACACTCCTCCAGCTTGTCAAGGGTATAAAGAACTGGGACAAGAACACATCTTGTTAAAATCATGATGCAATAGGTCTGGAGCAGTCTCCTGATCTACCAACCAGTTAACCTCACTGTCAAAACAAGAAATAAGGTTAATTTGGCAAGATGTGTGCCTAGTGAACCAATACAGCTTATTTTCCAAGTATTCACAAGCTGTCTACTTAATAATCTGCTCTCAAATTCTGCCAGCAATTTGATGGCACAATTTACAGATACCAAGCCTATTGGTCTGTGGTTTCTCAGACCTCCTTTTGCCTTCTTTAAAAATTCAATACAGCCGTTTTCCATCTCTAGTCTCTTGGTAATTTTCTGCTGCACCATGATTTCTCAAAGATCCAGGGCAGTGGTTCTGCAACCCCATCTGCACATTCCTCCTGTCTCCCGGGTGGGATTCATGTGGGCCTGTGATGTAAATTTACTGAATTCAGCTGGACACTTGCCTGCTCTCCCGTCTCCTACTTTAAGCTCTGGATCCTTCTTTTTGGCATTTGTTCCAGCCTCTCCAAGATGCAGCTCCTTATTCCCGGTGGAGAAGGCAGAGGACGCCTGGGAGTGGATTGTTCGGCTTTCTCACTGTCATCTGTCACTAGCAGACCATCTGCCCCAGCAGGAGGCATGGCTTCCCTTCTCCCTCTTTCTTCATATGGATGAAGCAATCTTTCTGTTGTCCTTAGCATTCCTCATCAGCCTTGGTCACTCTGAAATGCAGCCTTCCTGGCATTGTTCTTCTGCACTCCTGCCATGCTTTATTTTCATCCACAGCCCTGTGCCCACAGGCCCCCTTTCAGTTGTGTCATCTGAAAATCCCAGCTAAGGTGATATATCTCAGAGGCAGCCCCTTTTTCTTCATCAATGGGGCTATTTGAACTTGGGACAACCAACTGTGTTTTTAGAGTTTCCCATCAACAGAGACTGTGGTTTTCAGAATGCCTAGCTAAAAGTAATAGTATCTATTGTTTGTGGAGCTGTATATGTCACAATAGGATTATGATCTAGGTTACTGTTATTATCTTCATTTTACAGACAACGAAACTAAGGCCCAGAGTAACATTCCCCCAAGATCATATGGTTATTTTATGGAGCAGGGTGAGTCTTGAACCCACATTATCTAAATTCAGAATCCATGTTCTCAACCACTTCCCTGGAGGCCTCTCCTGAGTACCACGGCAGAGGAGACAACCCTAGCTGCAAAGATCTAGAAGGCTCTAGCACAGGCCTTAATGCTAGTGCACGTCCAGGAAATCTTGAGCCAGGGCAAAGGGCATGAACACTGAAGGAGAAGGAAGACAGTCTCAAAACAGGAGCCTACTTCACAGGGAATTGAGAGGCTTAAGTGAGATCATTCATTCATTCATTCACCGAATACCTGTCTACCTCTGCCATGTCCTCCACCAAGTTCTTGGGTGTTCATACTTCTGAAATAGCTTGCCCCATCCCCTTCCACATCTTCTCTGGAAACCCAAGCCCCGTGGTTTCCTCAGGACAGATGACTTTGAGTCTATTTTAGCAGAAACAATTCCTGGTCATCCTAAGCTTGTTTCTGCTCCAGACACCCAGAGGGCACAGAGGCAGGGGAGATGGTGTTTCTGGCTTTAGCCGAAGGAGTAATCACAGCTCTTTGCTTAATAAGGCCTTTCAATTATCTCAATAAAGAGGAGACTAAACACTTAACCACTGTGGAAAGCATCTTATTGATTGGAGGGACAGAGGCTCTGGCCTGCATGCCGAAGACTGAGTAGGATCCAGGCCAACCTGGTTCCAGAGGGCAGCTGCTAGGGTGTGAAGTACTTAAAAGAGTTTCTCCAAGCTCTGAGAGGAGCCAGCACAGTTCCAAAGTGGCTTCACAGCTTTAAGGGGCTGAGCTTCAGAGCTCATGGTCCTCCTCTGAGATGCTATGGCTACTGGAAAATAGACAAAAGCAAGAAGAGTGGCTTTTAATCCCAGCTGAGCAAATGAGAGCAGTCCATGTAATTATCTCAGCCTCAGTTCCTGCATCTGTACAATGGGGATAAGAATACAAAGTTCACAGGGTTCATGGGGCTTATGTGAGGTAAATATGTAGAAGTGCTTTGTAAATTATAAATCTACATGAATAGGTGAGTTTGTTATTTGTTGTTATCATCATAAATGAGATTCTGTTACTCTTTTGCTTAAAACTCCTCATGGCGCCTCACTGAATGGGATAAACCCATATTCCTCCCCATGGCCCGTCAGACGCTGCATGATCTGGCCCCTGCCTGCCTTACCCTCCTCTTGTGGTGTCCAGTCCTGCTGACCCTTTGACAATTCCTAGATCAGGCCAAACTCCTTCCTGCTACTTCAAGGCCTCTGTACTTGCTGTTTCCTCTACCACACACACTTGTCCCCAGGTGTTTTACATGGCTGGCTCCTTTACATTCAGCTCTCAGCTTAAATGTTAGCTCCTCAGAGAGGCCTTTCCTGACCACACTCCCACCACCTGATGCAGCACCTCTCTCTAGTCTCTTTGTAGAACCAACAAAGACATGATATTTTTATGTATTCACTTAATTGTTTACAGTCTTGTTAGGATGTTGGCTCCCTGCACATAAGGATCTTGTCTCTCTTGTTCACCCCCAGGTCCATGTCACAGTACCTGGCACATAGTAGATACTCTAAGCAATTGCTGAATGAATGAATGAATAAACAGGTGAATGATTGGCAGGGAAGCCTGCCTTGTTTCCCAAATGGCCCTCTCTCCCTTACACCCTGTTTCTCTCCCTCTCTCAGATACGGAGACATGGTGCCTAAGACGATTGCAGGGAAGATCTTCGGCTCCATCTGCTCCTTGAGTGGCGTCCTGGTCATTGCCCTGCCAGTCCCTGTGATTGTTTCCAACTTTAGCCGGATTTACCACCAGAATCAGAGAGCTGATAAACGCAGGGCACAAAAGGTAAGCCTCAGACGCAGGGAAGCGGGGGCAGTGTAAAGGATGCGGGGGAGCACCAGTCAGGGAGCCAGGACTAGAGCTCCTCACAGGATCACTGCACAGATGGCCTCTGGCTTTGCAAGGTAAGGTAGCTTCAGTCCCTTCCTGCTCACCAGTCTCCTGAATTCCAGCCCCAGTCAGTTCCAAAAGGCACTGAACCCTCAATTATCTGTAAGCTGATTATCCCCCTTTGGACATTTTTTGGCAATTTCCTTGGCTCCTGGCTCCACCTCCACTCCCTCAGCCACTGCCACTCAGCCATCCCCGCACTCCTCCCTCTCCCAGCCAAGAGCTTACTAGGAAACATAATCTCTTTTTAATATCCTATAAAAGCCTATACAAAACCCAGTGGCAAAAATAAATTTGTTGAAAAGAAAAATAAATACTGTGAAAGGAGAGCATCCTGAGGCCGTTGAGTTCAGGGACAAATGGCACAACAGGCTTTAGGAATTTCCAAGATATCATAGGGCAAAGGCACTGAAGTCAACTGCAGTTGGTGATCAGGAGACTAACCATCAGTCCTGGGGAAAGATTTAGATTATGTTCAATACACACTGCTGAAAATGGCAGGAGAGGGTAAAATACGGTCATTTGCCCATGCAATGAGGAAAAATGTCTGAAGGCTTTGGTGCTCAGAAAGAAGCCTCTTTTTCCAGCTAGCCCTCAATCTTGTTTCTAGAACAACTCATCAACTCAGCCAACTCTTGTTCACTTGCATTTTTAAGGCATCTAGCCAGTGAGGTTCCTGGGTAGTGACTTTCCCCAGGTTTCCTCTCAGAAGAGGGATATCTGTGTTGGGGAAGTGGGAAAGCGGTGTTTTTCATTGTCTTCAGATCTGGGCTGAACTGTGGTGCCCCTTCAGCAGCATCTCAGCCCCCAGGGGTTATGGCCAGAGCCTTTCTGAGGACAACGGACAGGAGGAGAACTGTTGAAAGACTGGCTTTTGGAGGCTTGGGGTTTTGTCTCCTTACTTTATTCTTTTATCCATTATTCCACAAACATTTACTGAGCACGTACTATGTGGTCGGCCCTATGCATTGCAGCCAGATTCTTTCCTTGCTACAGAATCCCTGCTACTGGCCTTCTGCTTGCAGGGATAACCTCCAGGTAGCAGGGCTTGCCTTGGGTGTAAAGGCTCAAAGGGAAGTTAATGTCGTTATGGAGGAAGAAATCCAGAATTTCAGAACAGATCTGTGTATGCCGACCATCACAAAGCTATAAAGGTTACGAAAGCTAGCTCCAAAATGTATAATAATTATTACATAACAATTTACATATAATTGTGTAGTGAATCCAATTGGTTCCCACCTCCAGCCTATCACCTTCTGTGTGCCTTTATGGTTGGCTCCTTGCCCTGCTGTCCCCTCTGCCTCTGCTTTTATTTATCCTGACCTGGTCTGTTAAGTTGCCACCTTAAGATTTATCTTCTGGCTCTGTCCGTCATCCTTTGTGTCCCATACACACCTATCTCCTACCTCTTCACCCAAGGTCAGGGTTTCCCTACCTCCTGTTCCCTGACAGTCATCCCAGAAATGGAAATCTTACCTCTTTCCCTGTTCAAGTCAGGCAGCAAATTTGAATAGGGCCTAAATTTGTTATACAGAAACTGGGATCTCCTTCCCACATTCAGGAACCAGAGACCCTGAAGGGCCAGGGATCCTCTAGTGGCCCTGCCCCCAAGGGGCTAGAGCTGACACAGGCTTCTGGCAGAGCAGGTGAGGTTCACAGGAATCCTCAGCTCACACACTAGCCCACGGCTGTGCACACACCAGTGACAGCCCATTCCAGCTGTGTTCTCAGTGGCTCCTACAGCTACCTTTACTTCACCTGGGAATTGATTTATTATTATTATTATTTTAGAGATGGGGTCTCACTATGTTGCCCAGGATGGAGTCAAACTCCTGAGGTCCAGGAATCCTCCCACCTCAGCTTCCAGAGTAGCTGGGATTACAGGCGTGCTCCCAGCTCTCCCCTAGGACATTATAAAGCTCATCCTGTGTGATTAAAATCTAGGAGCAACTCAGGCTTCTTCCTTCCTCTCGCTGCTAAAGATGGGTCTCCCTCCCACCCTGACCCTTTCCCTCTCCCTCTTCTCTCTCCCCTTGAAATCAGAGTAAATATTTACAGTGTTTTCACCTTGCCTGGATACTGTTTCTCCTCAAGGCTGCTCAGCTCTGTGTCTGTCACCTTGGGCTTCCTATAAGAGGGAAAAAAAATGCTGGCTGCTCCAGCATTGAGTCTGTCACCATGGGTCAAGGCAAGTAGGTCCAGAGGATTTGGTGGAAAGTGGAGAGATGGGATGGGAAGGAAACTAATGATAGTTCTCAGCCCAGACCACATAATTGGGAGCTGGAGTAGCTATATCGTCATCCTCTTCCCATGACTGGTTTGCTTGGGATTATTACTAAGATTAGTCTATTACTATTTGCCTTAGATACTGTGTCCTCTGAGCCAAGTGAACTGGAGATAAGGGTCTGGCAGTGGACAGGTAGAGAGGAACATCTGGATTGGGGCATTTCGTTCCCATCTCCAGTTCTGGTGCATACCCATATTCTTTTTTTTAATGAAATGTTTTATTGAGATAATTATAGATGCTCACGCAGTTGTAAGAAATAACACAGAGCAATCTCTTGTAAAGTTTGTCTACCAGTTTCCCCTAGTGGTAACATTTTACAAAACAATAGTACTATATATCACCACCAGGATATGGACATTGTACAACCTACCAATCTTATTCAGATATCTCCAGTTTTACTTGGACTGGTGTGTGTGTGTGTGTGTGTGTGTGTGTGTGTGTGTGTGTGATAAGTTAATGCATCCACTGCCACGGTCAAGAGACTGAACAGTTTCAACATCACAAGGATCCCGTGGGTTGCCCTTTCATAACCCCACCTTCTGCCCTAGCCCTGCCCTGTCCCTAACCCCTGGCAACCATTTATTTTTCCATCATTTATAAATGTTTTAATTTCAAAAATGTTATATAAATGAATTCATGCAATAGGTAACCTTTGGGTATTGGCTTTTTCCATTCTATATGATTCCTGGATTTTCATCCAAGTTGCTGTATAAGTAATCCATTCTGCTGAGTAGTATCCATGGTACAGATGTACCAGTTTGTTTATTTGCCTGATGAGAAACACCAGGGATGATTTCAGTTTTGGACTATTACAAATAAAGCTACTGTGCACAATCATGTAGAGGTTTTTATGTGAGCATAAGTTTTAATTTCTCTGAAATAAATGTCCCAGAATGCAATTTCCCATGTTTTGGCCTTTCCATTTCTTTCTCTTTCTCTTCCTTCTGCCTCTCCAACAGCAAAAGATAGAAATACTCATGGTTAAAAGGCACCCATCAGCCAGACAGGAAGAAAGTGCTTAATTGTGAGAGGCCTCCCAAGGATTGATAGAAGTATTGGCTTGAACATAGATGGTACCTGCAACTGTACCTAGGGTAGCAGCATTCTCCTTCCAGATCCCCTCTCCTCCAACCCTGGAGTCTCCACATTTGTTGAAAATGCAATCTCCTGGGCTTTGCTCAAATTTTGAAACTTGTCTGATGGTGGAAATTCAGGGAAGGAGGAGGAGAATGTTCTGGAAGCATCATTTGGTCTGAAAGTTGGAGGTCCTGAGCTGAAGTCTTGATCGTCCACTGCCTTTCCCTGGATAAGTCACTTCCCTCACATCCTCCTTTTTTTTTTTTTTTTTTTTTGTCTTTGAATTGGTCTGGATGATCTCCAAGCTCTCTTTTAACTCTCACATTGTTCTTAAGGCCATGGAAGAGGGTGAAGTTGACCAATCCACTCAAGGATTGAGCCCATTACAGTGGCAGTATAAGCATGGCCTTCCAGCCAACTCACATAGGATCTTCTTCCTTCCTCGGCCATCATAAACTTTGCTTGAGCACCTGTGCAGTGTGAAACCCTGTGTTGGATGTTAGAGATAAAAATAGGTATAAGCCACAAGCCCCAGCCCCCAAGAGCTCAAAACCAAGCCATAGAGCCCCACCAAATTTCATATTCTGGGTATGGTTATGTAAATCCATTGCAAACCTCTTTGTCCTGTGTGGGAAGAGATTAAATGATCTAGTACATTTGATATGACAATCTGTTGCTTTAATAGAGCCCAGGGTAAGATATGATTAAAAGAAGTGCCACAAAGAAGAACAGGAGAATCTTTCATCTCTAGAAACTAATGAAGACGGACCCCAGATACAAGAACGGTCTGGCTCCAAGTGGTGCAATCAAATTATATAAGACTATAATAAGCTTGACACAATTGGATTTCCATATGAAACTCTCAACACCCAGCACTCACCTAAAGCAATTGCAGCCACATCCTCAAATGATGAGGAACTTGCTTGAATGTAAATATCTAGCCAAGGGGAGGGCTGGAGCAGGATTCCCATGGAGTAAAACTGTCCTGGCCCCCTAGTCAATGTTCTCTGCTTGTAGAGAGGAGGAATGATAGGGCTGATTTGCCATCATCCTTTCTCTCCCAGGTCCCCCTTTTTATTCTCTCCTTCATCAAGAGGAGCAGTCTTCCTCAGACTTAAAGGAAGATCTTTCAGGCTCAAGTCCTGGCCCCTTCCCCACATTTAGAAGCCTGGGAAGGGAGTTGAATTGTTTCTGCAAGGAGATACTTCCCAGGAAGCAAGAGATATACATCCTTTGTGCTTCTGTTGTCCACCTGAACCCCTGAGACTGTGGCCTCCTTTTAGCAGATGAACCAGCCCAGCAGGACACTTGGGGAGAGGGTGACAAGAAGTGGAAATTGCCACAATTTCCCTAGGACTCTTTTCCTGCTTAGGGTCCATGCTGAAGTCACATGTGGACTTGCTCAGAGCCAGGAGGAGGGACCTTCTACTCCAGGATGGGTCTGCTATCCTTGTGGGCTGTTCTGCTTCCAGTAGCAAGCACCTGGGGCTGTAAATAGATTTACAGAGCCCAAACCTCAAGCTGCATTTTTTTAAACTAGCAAGAAACCTCTACCCAGTCCCTTCTCCCTCTCTCAGTCTCATTCCTTAGTCCTCTCTCTTTGGCTGTGCTACTGTCATAGTGACAATGATTACAGTCATTAGGAAGGAGAAGGGCAGCCAGCATATGTAATGTGTTCAGCTTCTCCCTGTGCAAGCAGGAGAGATGAGCTTGATACCATGCAGCCCTCCTGCATGGTATCAACATGGTGATACATGGTGAAACCCCATCTCTACTAAAAATACAAAATTAGCTGAGTGTGTTGGTGGGTGCCTGTAATCCCAGCTACTCAGGAGGCTGAGGCAGGAGAATTGCTTGAACCCAGGAGGCAGAGGTTGCAGTGAGCCGAGATCACGCTACTGCACACCAGCCTGGGTGACAGCGAGACTCCGTCTCAAAAAAATAAAAAAACCATATACATGCATGAATCTACTCCCAAAGACAGATATACAATTGTAAATGTGTTTATTAACTTTAAAAATCGAGAACCTACTGTTTACTGGGGGTACATCAGTAAACAAGGCAAAAACTCCTGCCCTCAAGGAATTTACATTTTAGTGGAAGAGAAAGAGAAAGTATCAAGAAAAATATATAAAACATATATTTCCTTAGTAATACGTGCAAAGAAAAAAATTGCAGAGGAGTTAAGAAGCATTGAAGAGCACATAGGCCCACTCCTTGCTTTTCTCATAATTAACTAATACTTGGGGACCTACTATATGCAGAAAATTGTACTGGACCCTAGAGGAGAATCAGGGCAGCTATCACATACACTCCTCTAAGGAGTTTGCAATTTAGTTAGAGATAAGAAAACTGAGGAGCACAACTGAATAGCACATGGCATTTTGCAATACTGAGTAGATAAAGGTCATGAAACCTTTGGGAGAAGAGAGCTTGGATGAGTGATATTTCTCCTGCCAGGATTATACCCGGGCTGGAGAGATGAGTGGAGACTCCTGGGAATTCTGACCCAACCAAGCTATACAAAGTGGGTACACAACTGGAGATGCATGAGGTTGGAGAGAAACAGCCTCATCCCCTTCATCAGGTGTCACCTGGGAAGCCAGCCTCACAGCTTCACCAGCCTTGCTGTCTTTTTGTATCATGGTCTGCCTCATTCTTTTATTATCTCTGCCAATCACAGAAGGCCCGCCTTGCCAGGATCCGTGTGGCCAAAACAGGCAGTTCGAATGCATACCTGCACAGCAAGCGCAACGGGCTCCTCAACGAGGCGCTGGAGCTGACGGTAGGTGCCTAGAGGACCTGGGCTAGGGAACATAAAGGGGTAGATGGGCTTGTTTTCTCTTTCCCGGGACACCAGCACTCTCACCAGAGCCCCAGTATGAACCCCAAGGAGGACACGTTTCCAAACTTTCCCCAGGTAGCAGCCCCCCATTCACACACCACTTCCATAGGATTATCACCACTACCTCTAAACCAGGTTTAGACCAAGGGCCCCTGAGCCCAAAGGTTAGCATATTCAATGCTGACCCTGAAATTTGGTCAAATAAAAAAAAATTTGATTATTCTATTGCCCTTTGACCTTTAGTGGAGAAATGAAGGAGCTGGAGAGGGGAAGAGCCACCAGCTTTTTACTCAATCTCTCTTCTTTTTTTACTAGGGCACCCCAGAAGAGGAGCACATGGGCAAGACCACCTCACTCATCGAGAGCCAGCATCATCACCTGCTGCACTGCCTGGAAAAAACCACTGTGAGTCCCAGCCCTTTGCCACCTCCTTTTCATCGCTGACCCTGACCCTTTTCTAAGGCTGTACTCACATCTTCACTCTGGGCCAGAAGTCAAAGTCTGTCCCCTTCAGATCCAAAAGGTAGTGATGGGATCTACTGGCCCTCAGGTGGAAGACCCTGAGGAGTGGGGCAAGGTCACCAGGGTGGGAGACCAGCTCTGTCCTGCAGGAGCATTGAGGAGGCCATTCCCCCAGCCTCCCACACACTCCTACACTCGTCTCCACAGCCCATTTCTTGATTATTGAGGACTTAGGGGTCTGCCTATCAGTTTCTCAGTTCTGACAGGCATCACCCTTCAAAGCTTGGGCTGAATTTGTGTAGGAGAGTAGAGAAGAGTGTTGATTTCTGTCCCACCTCTGGGGCTGGGTTGATGCAGCCTGTGGGCCCCTTGGCTCCCTACATCCTCCTGCAGACAGCGTGTGAAGGAGGTAGTGCATGTATTTCTCCAACTAGGATTCAGAAGTACCGCCCCCCCACCCCCACCCCTGCCCAGTCACCCTGTGGTTCTCAGGGAGTCCAGATGCTAACAGGCTGATTGTTAAAACAGAGCCATGGTTTAGGGTGCCACAGCTGGAGTGTGGAATGATGCTTGTGCCTAACCATCAGACTGAAAGGAAGGGCAGTGGGGCCAACCCTGGACCCTTGGCAGAAACTGCTAGGAATAGTAGACAGGGAAGAGAGGTCAGAGTAGAAAAGCCAAGGAGAAACAAAGTGAAAGCCTTCCTGCTCCTTTCCAGAACCTCCTCCCCAAAGAGTCTATAGTCAGGGCTCAGTACCCTAAGGAAGGAACTTCCTAATTCTAGATGTTCCATATCCTGGCCTCCCAGATGTAGAGAGAATAAATGTTAGATGACTCCTTTTTTTTTGGTGGGGAGGGGGGTGTGGGGCTGCAGGGACAGGATCTTGCTATGTTGCCCAGGCTGGTCTTAAAACTCCTGGCCTCAAGTGATCCTCCCACCTCAGCCTCCCAAGTAGTTGGAACTACAGGTACAGACCACCATGCCTGGCTTCGATGACTCTATCTGAGCCAAATGTGGACCCTGTGGATGACAGTTGAACCCAATAATTACTTCCAAAATGGGAAGGTGCTCTGCAAACCCTAGTTACAGGATTTATCATCAAAAACATATATTCATGTATAGACTTTCTCTCAAAGACTCTGAGCTTGCCAAAGGGATAGGCCCGGACCCAACTGCCCTTTCCAAGTTGCATGTGCTGGGTGGAATGTGTAAATTGAAAGGATATGGGTGAAAATATTTGGGTTTGAAGGGCTGGAATGTTGGCATTAAAGAAATGAGATTTTAGAATTGAGGGATGGAATGCTGGCATTGAAGGGATGGAATGCTGAATTTGAGGGAAAGAATGTTGGATTGTGGGGGTGAGATATTGGGATTAAAGCTCTGGAATGCTGGATTTTAGGGGAGGAATGTTGGACTTAAGGGGTGGAATGTCAGGACAGGAGAGGCAGAATGTTGGGATAGAAGGAATGAATGTTGGGGTTGAGCAGGGTCCTGTTGGGGCTAAAGGGTGGAATGTTGGGAGGAAGGGGGCAGAATGCTGGGAATGAGGGGTGGAATGTTTGACTCAAAGGGTGGAATGCCGGGATCAAGAGATTGAATGTCAAAACTGGCTTGGGAATGCTGGAATGTACAATCAATGGTGTTTTTATCTTCTGTTGGCATGTTGTCCTGTAGGGGTTGTCCTATCTTGTGGATGATCCCCTGTTATCTGTACGAACCTCCACCATCAAGGTATAACTTTTTAAAAATTCAATTGATGTTTTTCTCTCTGATAATTCTGAGTCTGTGGATTCTCCCCTTTTTACCCCCCGGCCTGGTTCTGTGCATGTGCTGCTGATTCTTCTGGGGCTCCTCCTACCTCTGCTGTCACACCCAGCACCAGCTCAGGCTTCCAGTTTCTTGCGCTGAACCACCCAACTGTCTTTCTAGTTCCCTCTTTGGAACTCCCCAGGGGCGTGGAAGGGGTGGTGGAACATGGCACCAGTGCTGGTATCCTGTTAGTCTCCAAGTGCCACATCTGTCTGTGCCACATCCCAGCTCCGTGGGGACTCCTGGTATTTGCCGCCAGGCTGGTCTTTCCCTGAACTCTGTTTTCATGCCACTTCTCTTCAGACTTTCTCCTCACTCTGGCAGCCTTAGCCAGACCATCAATGCCATAGATTTGTAGTCAACTTGGCCAAACAGCCATTTTTTAGTTATCCTGGGTTCAGCTATACCCCATCCCAATGGCCTCCAGTCAGGAGACAGTTAGCAATCCCTTCCCATGCTTACACTTGACCTAGGGAATCCTGTGCCTCCAGGTATATTAAGGACTCATATCCCATAATCAGGTGGGGAAAAAAATAATTAAAAGAAACCCTATCCGTGACAGTTTGCCCACTGGCCTTCAGGATCAGTGCTCTCCCAATTCTGTGAATGACCCCCATGTTTAAAAGTTTTTGTCATACCCTTACCTATTAAATCCAGGAAAGACAACCTAGCATACCCACTTCCCACAGTCAGTGACTCCTTATCTGCCACCTCTGGCAGATCTTGTACAAAGCCTGGAAAGTAAAGTCTTTGCCTCTAGCTGTGATGATGCCATTGAATTCCTCTGTGTCCTCTATGTCCCTTCAGCTCAAAGCTGTAGGTGAAGTATATGTCACATCATGATTTCACAACTGCAGTCCCTACCCTTTGAACTGATGGCCAGGGCTGCCAATATGATTCTCTTTCTGTCCTCATTGGATGCCCATGGGACATCACCCCTCCTGAATGCTTATCTGTGATCCGGGCAGCTGGGAGCCCTTCCTTCAAGGTCCAGAACAGAGACAGGCAGCCATACAGAGTATAGGGGCTTACCTCTCTCCTCCCTACCTCCTTTTCCTACTTCTTCTCCTTCTGCCTCCCGCAGAACCACGAGTTTATTGATGAGCAGATGTTTGAGCAGAACTGCATGGAGAGTTCAATGCAGAACTACCCATCCACAAGAAGTCCCTCACTGTCCAGCCACCCAGGCCTCACTACCACCTGCTGCTCCCGTCGTAGTAAGAAGACCACACACCTGCCCAATTCTAACCTGCCAGCTACTCGCCTGCGCAGCATGCAAGAGCTCAGCACGATCCACATCCAGGGCAGTGAGCAGCCCTCCCTCACAACCAGGTGGGTGGCTTCCATCCCATCACCCGCAAAGGCTCGAATCATCCCATTCACAGAATTAGACAATTGCAGCATTAGGAGAACCTTGAGGATCCTCTAGCCGCTCCCCTTATCTAATGCATGAGCCCCTCTACCTTCCTCCTTTCCTTGCAAGGAAACCCAAAGGCCCTTCATATGCTGTTGGAGTAGGTACTATAGCAGTTTAGGCTGAAAATAGGTAACAGGGAAAAAAAAAAACTTTAAAAATAATTATATATATACATATAAAATAATGTGTCTCTAGATACACAAAAATGACCTGATCTGGTACAAGGAATGGACCAACCATTTTCTCAAGAAACAGTTTTCGTATCTGTGTTACTCATGGCTTATCCTAGGCTGATTTGAATCCCAGAGACTGACTTTTCCCTCCCCCTCTGCTTATATTTAGGCCACTTCCCACTACCTCCAAATGCGTTGCAGAGAATTCAGGGAATGCAAATGCCAAATGCCACAAATGATAGATATACAATCACTGGTGGGGGTGATGTACATTCTGCAATTCAAAGCCTACTATATACAACTTGGTAATTTCTGGTAGTTTGGGAATAATAATTAGAATGGATAATTACAAGTTGATTACAAAAGGCAGAGATAGAGGCACAACAAAATATCCTCCTAGTTACCACGAGCAAGAAATGTAGGGGGTCAAGGAAGCTTTGGGACGCTGGCCAGCAGGAACCATCATCAACTCACTCTTTTCTATCCCAGTCGCTCCAGCCTTAATTTGAAAGCAGACGACGGACTGAGACCAAACTGCAAAACATCCCAGATCACCACAGCCATCATCAGCATCCCCACTCCCCCAGCGCTAACCCCAGAGGGGGAAAGTCGGCCACCCCCTGCCAGCCCAGGCCCCAACACGAACATTCCTTCCATAGCCAGCAATGTTGTCAAGGTCTCCGCCTTGTAAAACCACTGGACAGAGGGCCAGAGTGGGTAGTGGGGAATGAAGGGGACTGGCATGTTGGTGGGTGGTCACTGAGACCACTCCCTCCCCCCTTTCCCCACTATTTCTGCCTGCCCCATTGTACCCCTAGCACTGAGACTTGTGCCTGGAAGGAAAAAGAGGTAGCAAAGGGGCACCTGAGGTTCACGCTGCTAGCGTGGACATAGCCCTGTGATACTGCATCTCACTGGGGCCAGAGGAAGGGAGGGAGGGTGGGGGGGTCGGGGATAGGCCGGGGGATATAGGCTATGTGCCAGGACAGGGCCTGGATGGAGGAGCCTCAGACTCAGACCAAATAACAGTCGTTTCTGGAGACCCCAGTGAGGAAAATACAAGACCAAGAGCAGCAAAGAGGCCAAGTTGTCACAAGCAAAACAGGAAGAAAATATAACACTGTGTATTTAAGCACCTTTTTCAAGGCTCTTAATGGATAATATTTATTCATGGGAAAAGGTGGAAAACAAAAACACCAACGGATTTTTGTGAAATGTTTTTCTCCATGGACCCAACACCTTTGAACCAAAACAATGCATTTTGTGAGGGATTTTTTTTTCTCCTTTTATAGCAAAAGCTTTTAGGCTAAGAAGTCAGTTATTGCTGAGTTCTCTCTCCATTCCCCCAGGTGGGTGAGGTCAACTGAGCCTGGGCCCCCACTGCCCAGCTGACCTGTGCAGAGCTGCCAAGTGACCACACGGCAATCCTTACCCTTTGTCTGTCCCTGTCTCCCTTGTCTCTGTACCTCTCTGCTTACCCCTAGCTGTTTCTGTGTCCAGCCATCTGTCTCTACCTGGATCCCAATGATCCTGAAACACATCAGTAAAGCCTTCTTCATCACTGCCACGCACAACAGACTTGTGCCTGGGAGTTCTATCTGTGTGAATGCAACTGCAGAGGAGGAAAGAGTGAAGCAAAAATTGGGAGAGTTTAGGGGTAAGGGAAGTCTACCTCACAGAACAGAGGTACTTCCCTTGGGGTTGGAACCACTCGTGTTTGCAGTTTCAGTTTCTGGGAAAGAAAGGGAATGAACAGATTTATCACACTGGAATCTTGAAAAGGCAAATCGCCAACACCTGAGACGCGGTCAACTCTGGTATGTGCCAGTGAGGGGAGAACGGAAGGACCCAGGGCTCGCAGCCTCAGCCGGTCATTAGGGCACCTTGCTATGGACCCTTCCTTCAAGACCCACCATAAAGCCCATCCAGAGCCCTTCCAAGAGGCCCCGGGAGTAGTTTTCTCCAGAGAGGGCAGTGGTACGGGGACCAAGATTCCTCTGACTTATATCAAACCAGAGGCAACTCCCACACAGAGGCTGTGGAAGGGTAAGCCTGTGTGCCTCAAGAAAAATGCTTCAAAGCAAAAGCAAGTAAGAGATTCTAGATGATTCTTACCTGCTATGAAAGATGCCTTGATGTCTGAAGAGGCTTCGGCCTGATCTCCCTGAAGATGCTGAAATGGGGGAGAAGCCTCATCACCTCTGTGCAAGCAAAGGAGTGAAGATTATTTCTTGAACACCTGGACAACATATCTATTCAACTAGCTTGCACCCTGGTGGAGCTGGGGGCAGCATTTCTGGAATCCTCCTAACCATTGTTCACTGCTTGTAGCAGAGTAGGTGGGCCTCAGGGTTAGTGACAAGTCCTTTCCTGCCCTTCCCAACACCCAGCCACCTTGCTGCAGTCTCTGTAGCCTGGGCTCTGAAATACATGAGCTCCTCGGGAGCTGCCTATCCATCCTACAGCTTAGTGGTTAGCTGTTTAATTGTAGGCCAAGAATTTCTCTCCCCACCACAGCCATCTAAATGAGTTTTACTAGCCAGGAACCTAAAAACACCCTTCGTGGGCTTCCCTATGACCCCAGCTCGATTGACCCTGTAGGTTCAAAAGGTTTCGAGGTGGCACCTAACCAGAATGTGGGCAGAAGGCAGAGGAGAGGGAGCCTTCTTTCTGTCTTTATCTCTTTATGCTTATCCTCATTGACCATGGGCTGAGTTCTTTCTCTGGGTCCCCTAATGTGGGAATGGAGTGGTTCTTGCCCTCTGAGCTTACAGACTAAGAAGGCAGAAAAGCTTTACAACTACAGAGTACATGTGTATACACACAACCAACCTAAACACATCAGAGAATACATACTTAAATCAATTCACTTCATATACACATCTCATTAGAAGACCAAGCTAAACTTCACTTAGAGGGCGGGCAAAGGACTAGAAAAGAATTTTTCTCTTAAAAAAAATGAGTACTAGAGCAAAATTATGAGTGTCTAAGTATCTTAGTTATGCTTCATAAGATCTGACTGGGGTAAGAGATAAAGAGGTAAATAGGGCTGGGCGCGGTGGCTCACATCTGTAATCCCAGCACTTTGGGAAGCCGAGGTGAACAGATCACCTGAAGTCAGGAGTTGAAGACCAACTTGGCCAACATGGTGAAACCCCATCTCTACTAAAAATACAAAAATTAGCCAGGCATGGTGGTGGACCCCTGTAATCCCAGCTACTTGGAAGGCTGAGGGGGAGGATTGCTTAAACCCAGGAGGCAGAGGTTGCAGTGAGCCGTGATTGCACCACTGCACTCCAGCCCAGGTGACACAGCAAGACTCCGTCTCAAAAAAAAAAAAAAGAAAAGAAAAAAAAAAAGGAGGTAAATTAGAACTGGTTGCACACACATACAAACTTCCTGTGATGAATTTAAGAACAGATCATTACAGGGTTAGAATAGTGACAGATTCAACAAAGGATCTGTTTGATAGGGCACCAAGGGAACATTTTACTGGTTCCCACAAAAATTAATAAATGTTAAATATCATGTCCCAAGCAATTTCCCATGTTTTTTTATTGGTCCTAATCAACAGAATGTTTTGTGTTCCTTCCACTTCACGTTCAGAGCCCACGTCATGCCACTTCCTAAAAGACCATTAGACCATCCCCTTTTCCTCCATCCTCCACTGTAGCCTTAGCCAGAGAAAAGATCCAGCTCACTTCTGGTCCAAAAAATGTCAACGTTTGGAAAATGGCTCATCTACACTACAGAACACAGCCAGATGACACTGCTAAAGGGTACTGTAAGAAAACACAAGGTCCAAAGTATGCTGAATTGGTTTCATAAGTCTAACTCATTGGCCAGTGACTGAAAAACCAGGATATCAGGATTTTCTGGGGGCCAATAGCCATGACCCTTGAGCTTTCATAGTTCATGAACCACTTTGACATAATAAAATATTCCCAAAACCACCTATTCCATTCAGTCCCACTCAGCATTAAGAGGGGGAGGGAAAAACAAACCAACCAACCAACCTAACAGTTACATTCAAATGTCAAATGAATGTGAACCTAGAAAATGTAGTATTAAGAGCATATCAGAACTAGAAAAGATTTAAGAATATCTAATTCATTTTACAGTATAGAAAACTGAGACCCAGAGAAATTAAATGACTTGTTCAAGGTCATGCAGTTATTTAATGACAGATCTGAGACCAGAACACGAGTCTTTTGGCTATTAGTCTAATGCATTTTCTACCACACCCACTGCCTCTGAGAGCAGTGATGCTTTGGAGAAGATCCATCAAAGAATCCATACTGTAATTGGAGACATAGTCTTATATGTCAATACGTATATGTCAATACTACTTGGACACAGCCCTTGGAAATCACCTGACTGTACCAATACAAACCATACTTTGGAAACCACCATTCTCTGGGTAGAAACATCTATGGACTATCAATTTTGTCAGAAATCAGTGAACAAGTGAAGAGTCAATTTTTTTTAGTCAAATATTTTCTCTTCTCAATGAAGAGAAGACTAGGACAGTGACATTTTGAAGCATACCTTTTATACTCCTTGTGGTTCTTATGACAGTCTGTGATGGTAGTAGGTAAAGTAGCTAAATCCTTGATTCAGAGAGGGGAAAACATGTGGAAAGAAACTGAACGACTTATCCAAGTTCACATGACAAGTTAGTGGCAGAACCATTATTGCAATCCAGGACTTAAGACATCTTGTCCTAGGATTTTTCCTCCACATTATATTGCACTGCTCTGAGGCTTGCTTATATTTTTCATACCTGGATTTCCAGGGTGGTGACGTGGGGGAGGGAAGTATTCAATTCAGAACCACCGTGAACCAAGATCTCTGGAAACAAACTCTGTACTATTTCTCCTTCATCTCCTATTTTCATAACTAGTGCCAAGCTCAGGACTAACTGCATAGACTCCCTTTCAAAAGACCAATAGATATTCTCAGTGACAGTTGAACACATTAGTTTACAATCACACAGAATTTGAACAGAACTTAAAGTTGACAGTTAATGCCGATCTATAATTAACAAAAATGTCAACTTGTGGATATGCTGATGATTTTATCCAGTTTTCAAAATATGATTCCTACAGTTCAGGATATCACTTATTAGATTGTAGACAAGGAAAATGTACATTGGGACATTATGTACTTAAGAGTTTTTCCTTAAGTTTTGCAGAGGAAGTGGTTGAAAATTGAGCTAACACTAGATTTCGAGGTTACTAAAGAATTCCAGTTTTCCAGTCTCCCACTTCAATTACCAGGTAACTATAAGGCAAAAATATCCCAATGCTGTGAACTTAAGGCAATATTCATTTCCTTTCTACACTACTTGGCATGGTAACCATGACAAACTTTTATTTTCTCTTTCTGATTTCCTAATGAAATCTCATTATTTGCAAAGCTTTAAAATGACTAGATGAAGGAAAAACATTGTTATGACCCATGACCCTCGGAGCCCAAACAGCACCATGAAGAGCATCATTAAAACTAAGAGAAAGTGGCTATCAGAAAATGAAACAGCTTTAAAGGGGTTCCTTTTAAGTCTTGTTTTCTATTCAGAATGTTCTGTGTTTTTTCTCAAGTGTGGGAATGACATTTATCTTAGCAGGTTACTCAACTACACTGGATGATGTCACTCTAACCAGTGTACGGCACTGACCCAAGTCCTGGGGGGCTCCTTGGACCAATGGACTATTTTACAAACCTGGGAGGTGGGAGGGATGGTATATTTTTGATAATCAGACATTCCAATGTAATGTTTTCCTTAGAGGTCACACCCTTCCCCCCATTAATGTCATCGTGAGATACATCAAGTGTGTTCTTTTCTATTTTCGTATAATAAATGGGCTTTGCTTATCAACATCACAATGGCAAAGAAGAAATATACTGTACAAAACTGCAGGAAGATAAAACATGAAAACTTTCTATGAAAAAAAAAAAACACCCTTGAGTTTCCTGTCGTCTTCTTTTGAAACTGTAGTGCATATGTTAAAACATGTATATCATTTACAGTATTGAGTCGTGTGCCACTGCTGTACCTGATGTATCCAATCTGGATTAAACAAATTATGTGCCACAAACCCTAAAATGACTGTTTCTTTGAATACTGATTCTCCTTTCCTCCCAAAGGTGCTGGTATATGCTAGAAAATAGAATAATTTGAACACAGATTGGCTTTCTACCTTGCTAGAGAAAACTCACAGAATCTTAGAAGGGTTATTAAAGGCCTAGAGTAATCTTCCCACTCCATCCCTCAATGTAAACATAAACAACTCCTCTATGATATCGCTGATGGTTCTTGCCTGCTTGTATGCTGTATTTGTGGATGTTCGCTAACAGGTAAAGCATTCGATTTTATCTATCAACGGCTCTATTTTGAACACTGACCCCATATTATTGAAAGAAAATCTGACTTTATGTATCAGTACTGGTTTTACTGAGTACCAAGTTCTCAAATTAAAAAGAAAACTCAGAATTAAATGTTCTGTGGGGTATTGTAGAAAGCTTGGGAATCAGATGGTGGAGATTCAAGTTTAGGTTCTAGCACTGAATTGTGACTTCCCATCAGTAACTCCCTCTTGGCTTCAGTTAGTTTCCTCCTGTTAAAAATGGAGAATTAGAGCATAGTGGCATGTGCCTGTAGTTCCAGTTACTTGGGAGGCTAAGGTAGGAGGATCCCTTGAGCCCAGGAGTTCAAGTCCAGCCTAGGGAACATAATAAGACCCTCATCTCTAAAAAAACAAACAACAAAAAATGGGGATTGGATTAGTTATCTTGGAAATCTGTTCCAAACTTAACAATTCTGACTTAGGTGATAAGACCAACCGGCAGTCTGTTTCACCGTTGGCAATGAGGAGAATCCTTTTAATTTCCCCACAACTAGATCCAATTGATGAAAACAGTAATAGAAATGGAACACTAAAACAAATACATGATGCCCAAAGACCTTAGAAATTAGCTGTGAAATTCATTTTAATCATTGATGCTCACATCCTTATCACCCACTAGGTGTCACTGCAGACCCACAGACCAAATAATCTTCGGGTAGAAATAACTGGAAACCAGATATGCATTGAGCAATTTGTGTTCTTTTTCATTAAGACGCACTGAATGTCAAGTGAGACATACGTGCTTGTGTACAGAGGTACAAAATAATAAACACATTCTGCCAAAATAAGTCAATAACCTTGCGATGGAGTTCTGTCAGCTAGGGTTATCAAAAATACATATTTTTAAAAGACTAATGTAGATTTCATTTAAGGGGGAAAAAAACATAAAACTTCATACTACTCCCTTTGTCTCATACAGAGTGATCCGCAAGTACTGTATGTTCAATTATTTTTAGTATTCAGGGGCTGAACTTTGCCTTTAAACCACATTTTAAAAGGTTAATAAGTATTACTGTAATACCTAAGCTACTTTAGAAAATATTACCTTTAGTCATCCAAAATAATTCATATTCTAAGTCAGAATTATTCAAAGTAGCAGGTTTCTCAAATATCTCGCTACATGTTAATATTGCTAGCCTAATTCAAGTTACAGCTTAACGTGAATAGTTGCAGTGTTAATGATTTACAAGTATTCACAAATTCAGACATTTAACCAATTCACATCAGCCTTCGTCCAAATTACTTGAATTTATAAAGGCTTTCTGTATTTATAAATTTGATTATCCTTTTCCTGAACTAGAAACTATTTTTTCTTCAGCATATGTCATATAATCATAGAACTAGAAGGGATCCTAAAAATCTTCTAGTCCAACTTTCATTTTATTGATGGGAAAACTGGACCATGAGAGGTTAAATGACTGGTACAAGGTTAAAAAGTAGGTAGTAGCAGTATCAACCAGGACAAGTACCTTTTTCACACCACCACAGAGCCTTCTCAAGTGAATCTACTGTAAACCTCTCTATGGTTCCTAACAGATGATGGAAAGATGCACCTAGACTGACAATCAAAAAAAAAATTTTTTTCCACACAAAGGTGAGTCACACACAAATAGCAGTATGTGGAAGATCCCTTCCACATCCACAACTATAGCTACCTGTTAGTTGAGAAGGTGGCAGCTGCCATTTTCCTGGTAAATGCTTATGGAAATTGAAGCAATTAGTATTTTTGTATGTTATACATATGCTTACCTCCAGCTTATTTTTGTGGGGAAAAAAAAGCAAGCACAAAATAGAGAATCCAATTACTCTGAAGACTAATGGGTAACCTCGTCTCTAATTAAGATGAGGCAGTACCCTAATTAAAATCCCCCAGCAATGACAAACTGAACTTGGCTGTATTGTGGGGGAAAGGATGGAAAAAGTAAATTCAATTATATATCAATGACAGGATCTTATTTAAATGTGTAATTAAAATCTCTACTTCTTAATGACATACTGGACCTAATTATGGATTTGCTATCTACATTATTAATTAATTCACATACTGACACATGTAAGAAAAGCCTAATATTGCCCAATCCAAATGACAGGAATCCAAGTTAAGTAGGATTTTAGAATTGTGTTATGTAGGTGTTGGACAATAAATGACAATGGCTGTGGGTGTTTGCTGACAGCCCTGGGGAAAGTGTTTATACTACCTAGACAAGTATGTACACAGGAAAGAAGAGCTTTCCTTTTAAAAAGTGAATACACATCTCTCTACACAAGTGGTTCTCTCATAAAAAATCCAGTTCACAGAAAGGCTTGGGAACCAAAAGCTTAATCATAAAAGGATTTCCAGAGGAAAAAAGCAAAGAATATGTAATTTCCAATTATATTTTTCTAAATCGTAATTTACAGATGCATCAGCTCAGATCCAAGCTCCTCTTGGATCCTAACATTAGAGGTAAAAACTGGGGAAAATTTTCTAGAAGACACAAAATTAGGATGTACTAAGAAGTGTCTGAAGAGAATCAATTCCAGCTTCCACAAAATACTTAAAACTAAGAGCTAGAACTTCCCCTAGCCTACCAGCAGAGCAGGTCACTTGTTAATCTGGACTGTATAGATGAACTTCAGAGGGTCTATGAACCCCTTGAAATTACACTCACAATTCTGTGCTTATGGAATGAGAAATTTCCTGAAGTCAATCTATAGCTATCAGCTGATTCATAAAAGGATCCAAGAACCAAAAAAGATTAAGAGCTGCTCCTCTATCTGAGCAACACAAGTAAGACAGCAACTGATGACCCACAGCTATTTAATACACAGCAAAAATGTGGACAGCTTTCACAGCCTCAAAAGACATTCAAAAGATAAACAACAAACATGTAAATATATTTAAATTTGTTTTTACTAAAAACAAATATTTTTACTGGAAGCTAACAGATCAAATCAAATACCTTTAGGAAAATCTAAAGCAATGTTTAAATATTCCTTCCTGCCTAAAACCTAAGAGGATTTTCTGATCTACCATGCTACAAATTTCTACAAGAATGCACCTCTATAGAAGGAAATGCAGCCTAAGCCCTTTGTAAAGAACTCCACAGCAATAATATTACTAATCAAATCTATTGCTTTTATTGTTTTTAAGTAAGTGGTGGTATATGTCATCTTTTTAAATGTTTCTTTTGGGAAGATCTTATAGAAAATGGCACCCTGAAACTTTCAGCTCTATGTCCCAAAAATTATCTTTCAACAATCTGATGAAGTTTCTTAAAGAAACTCTTAAAAATGAAGATAATATACCTGGCCTAAATCAAAACAATCTGAAAAATGGATGTGTCCCAGTGGAAAGACTCAAGTCTTTTCAAGTTTATCAGAAATGCCACTATACACCACTGTACTATAAGTCGAGGAGGATGGATATCCAAAGGTATCATTTGTTGACAGTTCCTGATGGTCTCAGGTATATCCTATAATCACTGGTTACTATGCATCATTTCTTGTAGATAAATGGTATTCATGTGATAAGCTGCCATCCAACTTGGATGTCTCTGAGCATTCCAATAATATGAATGAGAAGCGGCAGCATAATATTCTTGCCATGCCCTGTAGTAAGCTCTCCAGTACTCCTCATAATCCTGATAGGTATCAGAAAAACTCAGACGTATTTCCCTATGACAGTCATACCAATCATCTTCCTGGGCTTCAGTCTGCAATCTGAAGGAAGACCGCCTGGGTAGGTTTCTCCGGCTCTGCTTAGCTCTCTGGCTAGCCCCCTCTTTAAGTCTTGTCTTCATCTGGATTCCAGGTGATTCTTGATATTTCTCTGGATTGGGGGTGTCACTTCCATTTGGTGGTTGTTCCAAAGAAATACGATCATCCACAGGCGTAGATTCAGAGTCTTTCAGCTGATTATCAGAAGAGCCTTCCAAGTATGACTTATTTCCTTTGCTCTGGGAAGAGGTTCTTGAGCTGTAAGAATCACTGTCACTCTCAGAGTCTCCAGATTGGCTACTACTTGCCAACACAGGGACTCTCTGTTCAATAACTTTATTTCTCACAAAACCATTTTGAGGATTCACAGTCTGATCCCCAGGGCCTGTGTAGTGCCTGATGATTTCCACAGGTTTCTCTAACCCCTCTTTAATATAATGTTCATAATCCTCTACCAATTCAGCAAAAGTCAACGTGTATGGCTGATGGATTTTAAAGGAAGACAGACAAGGAATCTGGGGGAGTGACACAGGTAAAGCTTCTTTGACCTGGTGCTGACTGTTGGTGGAGTTTTCAACGGGAGTCTGAACAGAATTCTTCATTTGCTCTTCGGATTGCCTGTCACAGCCCAGTTCTTTTGGTGACGTTGCTTTTTCTATGATTCCACATTCTGAGTGGCTTTTCACAGGAAGCTTTTGTTTGGTATTATTTTTTGATTTGACTGATAGTCCAGATACAGAATTATTTCTAGAGGAAGCCATGTGGTCACCATGAGCTTTCTGAATTTGAAGGGTTCTCTCTATTTTCTGAATTTGCTTTTTTAAGGGTTGGTTAGGTACACTTGCTATACCATATGTATGCACAGCAGCTTTAACTTCCACATCCCAATCCACACATTCTTCCATCAGACCAGAAGGAATGGGATCTACATAAAAAGGAAGAAAAATGTATTAAAATTCTCAAGCTACTCTAGACCACTGTTTTCTGAATGATTTCATAAAGTTTTCTATGATCAAATACATTTAAGAAACAATATGCAAATATACTAAGATGTTTAATAGATATAACATTTTTAAAGACTGAAGCAATCCTGTAATAAAGAAACCTGCCTAAGAAATATGTAAGACCCATCCCATACTCACAAGCACTATCTCCCCTCACTCTCACTAGAAAAAGAGCTTACTCTAGGAGTAATGTACAAGCCTGCAACAATTCTCCCATCTTTTCTCTCCTCCCTCTCCACAGCCCCTCCCCTTTATCTCAATACTTCTGACAGCAAAACAAGATATTAGAAAATGGATTGTGCTCCCCAAAGCTTATCAACTAGGAAATAATACAACTGCAACTCTGTACACCCAACTAAATCTGTCACCCAATATTCCAACAGGGAGAAATCACTGCCCTTAACAATAAAGAGAAAACCTCTATAGGGGAAAAAACTAGATGACTATGAAAAGATCTGTGACTATGAAAATCAGAAATGACATTTCTAATTTTTAAAAAATTTGCTGGCTTCAACCCTCTAAATTTTCTATTCCATCCAGGTGTGACAATTTGCTTCCCACACTCAGACCTTTCAAAGTGTGATCAATTTTTGTCTTAGGCAGACAAGATATATCAAGCCCCTGCTTTACAAAGATCTTGCCTGTTGTTGCTATTTATGCTCCATGTTATCTATAAATCCCACAGGTCTGGATACTTCAATGAAGTCTCTTGATCCTTTGCTGAACAGATTCTATGATTAAAACTCTCATTCCTACTCAGTTGATATCCCTTGCTTGCCTAGTCCTATAATACAGGCCAATTTCCCTCCTAGTTCTGCCCCAGGAAACTCATCTGAACATCTGTTGTTACACAAGTTCCCAGTCCAATACAGACCTAACAGCATGAATATCATTTTCTCATGATTTCAGGGCCCTATTAACATTACATAAAGATCCAAATATATCATTTTCCAGTATCCAAAGGCAATTTTTATCACTAGATGCTATGATATTGAATCCTACAAGAAGTCTTAACCCTCTTCTACCAATTTTCAATTTTTTTCCCATATCAGACTACGAATAGACTTATACACAGAAAGAACTGACAGTTTTAGAACTGACATAGAGCCTAAAGACCATTTACTCTAAAGTACTTTGCAAATCAGGACTCTAAGCTTACAGCAATTACAGAGATTTGTAAAAGATCATAAAATGAGTTATTACTAACCCGATCTACTAGAATACATAGAACTCCCAGATCTGTGCTTAATCTAGCTCTGTAAAATAATTAAATATAAAGTCGGTAAAATACTCAATTATATTTATTCAATAACTACATATCCTATATTCTGCAAAGTCATGTATATACTATATGTGTATTTTTCTTTTTTTTTTTTGAGACTGAGTCTCGCACTTTCGCCCAGGCTGGAGTGCAATGGCGGATCTTGGCTCACTGCAAGCTCCACCTCCCAGGTTCATGCCATTCTCCGGCCTCAGCCTTCCAAGTAGCTGGGACTACAGACACCCACCACCATGCCCGGCTAATTTTCTGTATTTTTTTTTAGTAGAGACAGGGTTTCACTGTGTTAGCCAGGATGGTCTTGATCTCCTGACCTCGTCATCCGCCCGCCTCAGCCTCCCAAAGTGCTGGCATTACAGGCGTGACCTATATGTGTATTTTTCTATATAGACATACATCTATATATGAATAGACACTATTTATAGTGCACATTTTCTGTATAACATGCACGTCAAAAATGCCATATTTCCACTCAAGGGTTTTTTAGAATTTTTTGTTTTTAAGAGATCATTACTAGTTTTAAACATGCGTTGTTTCCAAGAGGGCACTTAAAAAGAAGCAGAACAAATGACTGAACTGAAATCAAAAGAAAACATTTCACTCCAATTTTTCAAAATAGTATTCAAATTAAAGATGCTGTTCTTTCCACATGGTGACAAAGGAGAATATGGCAAGAATTACCTTCACAACAATTTAAGAGGTAAAATATCCCCCCTTGTATCAAAGAATAAAATCAAATTGCAAAGCCACTAACTAATAAAATAGAGCTAACATAGCTCTCATTTTTCTTTCTTTTTTTTTTTTTTGAGACGGAGTTTCACTCTTGTTGCCCAGGTTGGAGTGCAATGGCTTGATTTCAGCTCACTGCAACCTCCACCTCCTGGGTTCAAGCGATTCTCCTGCCTCAGCCTCCCAAGTAGTTGGGATTACAGGCACCTGCCACCACGCCCAGCTAATTTTTGTATTTTTAGTAGAGAAGAGGTTTCACCACATTGACCAGGCTCGTCTTGAACTCCTGACCTCATGTGATCCACCTGTCCTGGCCTCCCAAAGTGCTGGGATTACAGGCGTGAGCCACTGCGCCTAGCCAGCTCTCATTTTTCATGTGCCAGTGGTTAGCTTGCACTCCTCTCCGTGCTACTTACTAGCTGTAACACCTTTACTTACCCTCTCTATGTCTAAATATCCTCATCTACAAAACAATTGCACACACCTCATAGGAGTGTGGTGAGAAGTAAATGAGTTAACGTACATACAGGACTGGGAACAGTACCCAGCACATCATAAGCACTCTGTTAGCTATTATTATCATTTTTATTATGCTTATCACCACTATAATTATTTTGAAATAATGAAACAGATGAAATGTACCTGGTAAAGGGAGAAGGTTGATATTACATTTCTGGGCAATTCTCATCATCATATTTTCTTCCTCTCCCCGGCAACAGTAGGTCACTGTCAGCCCCAATGTACCTAAAAGCAGAGAGAATGTTAGGTAGTAAATCATTTTCACAAAAATAATATTCAAAGCCCACCTGTCACATTATAGATCCCTCCCCTTAAAGAAAGCACTCAAACTTTTTTTTTTTTTTTTACCAAAACGGCCAGCTCTCCCAATCCGATGCATGTATGTCTCCCAATCCAATGGTACATCCAGATTTACAACCAGATTCACCTTCTCAGCATCAATCCCACGAGAAGTCTTGAATTGAAGAAGATAGCAATTATTTGTTTGCATTAACTATACAGCATGGATACCAATGCATATTATATTCTTCCAGTACAGTCAAGAGACAAATTAAGAACTGAATACTGAGGAGCAGAGGAAAAGGAAATTCATTCCTAATGACTAATTTCAAGGACAAAGATAAACATATTAAAGACATTTTTAAGAAAGTATTTTCCTCAGCACTGGAAAGATAATTATCTTCTGGTATTCTTGTTAGATACGCCTACATAAAATAATATATGAAATCTGTACATCTGATAATAGAACATATGTCAAGATGGATTAGTCACCCAAACTGAATAGGAAATTTACCAAATCTGTGGAAATGAGGACTCTGCAATGAAAGTGCTTCAGTTTAGCCATAGCATCAAGACGCTGATTCTGATTCATATTGCCTAAAAGGACCCCAAAAGAAAGTCACATAAAAACAACTAAGCTAATACATATTTATCCAATCCACAAAAAGTAAAAAGCATAACACCCAGTCTTAACACTTTTAATACACCAACCACAGTTAATTCTGTCCTTCTGTGCAAATCTAGGTTAAGATCCAAAGTTAAAATCTTTTAAACTATGGTTTAGGCAATCAACTTGAAATTCAAAAATCAATCCTAAATAGTGATCAGGCCATGCCTGAATATATAACATTCTATTTGCAAAGTTACATATGAAGTATAACTAGCAATTCTTAGGAAAATAAAAATGCTTTAATCAGCTGTTTATAATTTGGTGTTAAAGTGTGATCTATAGTTTAAGTATTGGTTCATTAGAAAATAGTCTCCCCAGTATCTCGTGATATACCATAACTAAACAAGCTCATGCCAACAGGTTAAAAATTAAGCTGACACCAAACAAAACTCTAAAAAGGATCTCACTGATCAAAAAATCCTTCGACTCTTTCATTCTTATTATGCCAGCAGTAATCATTTAACTTTGCAGCAAGAACTCAATCACTTTTGCCTTCCACAAAACCATAAAACAGTCAATTCAGTTAGCAATCTCCAGCATTTTAACAATTATTAAAAAAAAAAATTCTAAAGAAAAAATATTTTTATCTTAACACAATACAGACAAACTTGGTTTTATAGAATTAAGTTATATGTGGCTATAAGAGAGATTCTAATAAAATTGTCTTTCTGAACACTAGTTTTCTAACTTTTTACTATATACCAAGTTACTCCTTAAAAATAGAATATTGACATATCAAATTCCAATGAAAAATAAGCCTGAAAATTCCTTTACTCTAAAAGATACAAGATAATTTCACACTCTCAAGACAACTCATAAAGTGGTATTTTTTCCTCCTGACTTTGGAGGCTTCAAGTCAGTATACTAAATAAAGATTAAAGTAAGAGATGAACTTACCTGAAATGCACTCAGCAGGAAAGCCTTTAGAAGAAAGGATATCAGCCAAATGTTGTGCTCTATGAAATATAACATAAATGGTTACAAATTTACAAATATTGCCCCATGACTATCCTTTTATTTCACAAGTTCCCCAGATGACCTTTTAAGTTACATTACCTGCTGTGCAAATTAGAAAAGACTAAAGCTTGATTAAATGGAATTCTGCTGAACAGTTCCTGTAAATGCTGAGTCTTTTCCTCAAAAACCTTATGTGCCAAAGGGTATGAATTGACAACTTTGTAATACTGCTTCAAACCTACAAAGAAGAGCTATCAGTTAAAACAAATATATATGCTAATGGTAACCATGAAACAGCAAGACAAAACTAGGCAAGGGAAAGCTCCAGCATATCACAAATAAACCAATAATATAAGTACCTAAAAGCTGTACACACCTATGAGACTTGGATCACTGGAATTCAGTCTTACAAAAGTGGGATCTCTCATGTACTTTGTCAAAGCATTAGCCAAAAATTCGGGATAAGTAGCTGATACTGCCAGCATCTGTTTACTGGCAGGCAAGGAAGAATAAATCCAACTGCAAAATAAAAACAGATACCATGTAAATTATTCAAACAATAATCACCACTTGGAAAAGCTAAAGATAGATACTTCGGAACACTGTTTTAATAGTCAAGTTAGTTATTTTTCTTACTTTATTTGCTCCTGGAAGCTGCCTTCTTCTAAAAGCTTATCTGCTTCATCAAGAATAAAGAGGCGTATACTGCCTGGGTTCAAGTAGTCAAGTTCTATGAGTTGCTTAATTCTGCCTAATTAAAAAAAAAAAATTGAAATATTTATGATGTACCAAATTTGTGTAAATCTCAGCCAATATTGTTACTCTACTTATTACTTACAGGTTGTTCTGCTGAATTTCCTGATTCAACTCTCATTATGCATGTACACACTAAACCACAAATTAGAAATCTGGAGCTCTGATCTTGACTAAACTCATTGTTTTCCCCTCACGTTTCATCACCAGTAAATAAACACCATTTCTATCAAAAGACCTAAAGCACTGAATGCAAGATGCTGATTCTGAGTGATTCGCAACCAAATATAATAGAGAAGCCAAAGAATAATCCCAATCCATGGCTTAGAAGGGCCTCCTGAAAGTCACTGCATTTCTCCTCTTCTCAAAAGCCTATCCCATGTCTTCTCAAACATACTTAGGAATGGAGATTTCATAAATTCCACTGGTAAACCAGTCATGTACCTAAATCTCACTGGTCTAATGCTCTTCATTTCTTTTTTTTTTTTTTTTTTTTTTGAGATGGAGTCTCGCTCTGTCACCCAGGCTGGAGTGCAGTGGCGCGATCTCGGCTCACTGCAAGCTCCGCCTCCCGGGTTCACGCCATTCTCCTGCCTCAGCCTCCCGAGTAGCTGGGACTACAGGCGCCCGCTACCACGCCCGGCTAATTTTTTGTATTTTTAGTAGAGACGGGGTTTCACCATGTTAGCCAGGATGGTCTCGATCTCCTGACCTCGTGATCCGCCCGCCTCGGCCTCCCAAAGTGCTGGGATTACAGGCGTGAGCCACCGCGCCCGGCCTGCTCTTCATTTCTAATCAAAATAATTATCACAGTTATCAAAGACTCCCATATATCTTTATTGTTATATTAAAAGTGTGTAGTTCCTTAAAAGCCCTGGTTACCAACAGGCATTGTTATCTTACCAGGAGATCCAACAGCAATATGACACTTTTTAAGTCTGGTTTTGTCTTGTGATAATGGGGTCCCTCCAATAAAGACATGACACTCTAAGCCTTCCATTTTTATTCCAATGGCTGTAATAACAGAATGTATCTGTACAGCAATTTCTCTTGTAGGAGCCAAGATCAAAATCTAAAAAAAAACCATAAATTACACCTTTGAGTCAGAGGAATAAATACATAGGGGACTGGTATATTCATTACATGACACACTATATTTCATTTAAATGATCATTTCAAATGAGTTTTTATTGATAAGGTAAGGTACAGTTATCCCTTGGTATCCACAGGGGATTGGTTCCAGGAAGCCCCCAAATACCAAAACTGGCAGATGCTCAAGTCTGTTATATAAAATTGCATATATCTGTATATTACCTGTGTACATCCTCCCACATATTTTAAACCATCTCTAGATTATTTATAATACCTAATACAATTTAAATGCTATGTAAATGGTTACACCGTATTTTTGTTTATATCTTTTGATTGTTGTATTATTTTTTATTGTTCCTCCATCCTGCCCTGAGTATTTTGATCCACAGTTGGCTGAATCAGCTGATACAAAACCTGAAGACAGGGAGGGCTGACTGTATTCCATTCATTCATTCATTCATTCAACAAATATTAAGTAAGAACCTACTCTGTGCTAGGCAACATACTAGTTGCCGGGGAATCAACAGTTAACAGTACAAAGTCTTTGCCCTCATGGTACTTTCATTCTTGGATAAGAATATATACAGTAAACAAAAATAAGTAATGACAGGTAATAAAAAGTATCATAAAAAAATCAAACAAGGAAAAAAGGAGTCATTTTAAATGAGGTGATCATGAAACCTCCTCAAAGGAGGTACTTTGAGCAGAGACCTACGTGAATGGCATAGAGTAGAGCTGGCTATATGACCCCTGGGGAAGCGTTTTCACCAAGAGGAAACAGCAAATGGAAAGGCCATAAGATGGCAGTGTTCTTGGTGTATTTGAGGAAGAAAAAGAAGGCCCACATGACAGAATTCAGGGGAAAGTAAAGGAGGTCAGAGATCTACCTCCAGGGACTAGATCACAAAAGACCTTGAGAGTCATGGTAAAAACTTTGCAATGTAACTACTGGAGGAGGAGAAAACAAAACTTTGTGCTCTTAACTACAAGAAAAAAAAATTGATTTAAAAAAAAAAAAAAAAAAAGGACTAGGAGAAAACATGCCAAAACTGTTAATAGCAGTTTCTCTCTAGGTAGTAAGATTACAGATTTTGTTTTCTGGTACGTCCTAATTTTTCTGAATTTTCCCTATTTCTAAAAATGAATATGTATTACTTTGATACACACACAGAGAATAATGTAATTTTCATAATCCAAAGATCTGAAATTAAAAATATGAATTTGCCGGGCATGGTGGCTCACACTTGTGATCCCAGCATGTTGGGAGGCTGAGGCAGGTGGATTACCTGAGGTCAGGAGTTTGAGACCAGCCTGGCCGACATGGCGAAACACCGTCTCTACTAAAAATACAAAAAAATTAGCCGGGCGTGTGGTGTGCACACTTGTAATCCCAGCTACTCGGGAGGCTGAGGCAGGAGAATCACTTGAACCTGGGAGGCAGAGGTTGCAGTGAGCCAAGATTGTGCCACTGACTCCAGCCTGGGCAACAGAGTGAGACTCGGTCTCAAAAAAAAATGAGTTGATGAAACTTTTCCAGGATTTCAGCATTTTATCTGCTGCCAAATTGTCAGAAGCCAAAATCTCAAATACATCTTAGTCTACAATTAGACTAACTCAGGTTCTTGGGAAGTAGGAGGATTTCCAATGTGCAACATCACCTAGGATTTGGTAGACATAAGATGGACTCAAAAAGCTTCCCAGGTGATGAACATGGATATCTGGGTTAAAAACCACTGTTGAAGATTCATCATCAGATATACCAATGCCTGAGAACTTGAAATACAGTCTGCCATAACAACTAAACTACCAAGTAAGGCTATGAGAATCACATCTAATTCATCTTTGAATCCCCAATGCCTGGCACACTGTTTATACGTAATACGGACTCAACAAACCTTTGTTGGAGAAATGATCCCCAAACTCAAATTTCCTGCTAATTTGGGTAAGGCAATCTTAGAAACACTCTAAGACAACCTGGAAGATGGGAGATCAATATGATACATTTACAGAGCTTTAAGAACCACCTGCATACCGGCTGTGGTGGCTCATGCCTGTAATCCCAGTACTTTGGGAGGCAAAGGTGGGAGGATTGCTTGAACCCAGGAGTTCAAGGCTGGTCTGTGCAACACTGGAGACCCCATCTCTACAAAAAATACAAGAACTAGCCAGGTGTGGTGGCACACACCTGTAGTCCCAAATACTTAGGAAGATGGGTGGGAGGATCACTGGAGCCCAGAAGTTCAAGGTTGCAGTGAGCAATGATCCGCCACTGCACTCCAGCCTAGGTGACAAAGCGACACCGTCTCAAAAAAAAAAAACAAACTCTGCAGTTACCAACAATAGCCAGAGCACTACATTACCATGAATCAAGTCAAATGTTAAGTCTCACATTAATCTAGTCAGTAAGTAAAAGAAGAATCCCTGTCTGTATTACCAAGTAGTGACAAAATTGACATATATGGTAGCTTTATTCTATTTAAATAAGGTACGCATAGAAAATTCCAAATTTCGCCACCACCACCACTTAACTCAATCATTCATCAAATTCACTTCCAGCTCTGAGGAGCTACTGGTATTTCATCTGACCTGTGGTAAAGTCCACAAAACACATCCTCCTCTGGTCCTCTCAGCTAACTCACCTGGGTACTTAAGTTTTCAAGAACAAGAGAGTCCAAAGCTATGGTGGAGAACACACAGGTTTTCCCGGTGCCAGATTTAGCTTGAACAATTAAATCTGCGAAGGAAAAAAACAATTATCACTAGCCAGTACTCACTGAAGCAACTTAGGGGCTAACATGGAATCAGAGAACTAGAAGGGTCTCCTGAGATTCCCCTAGTTGGCACCTTCATTTTTAGTTGATTCTCAAAAACGTATGAGAACACGCCTAGTCCCTGAACGTTTACCGTTTATCTTCTCAAACTTAGAACCATTTGTCAGTGCTTAAAAAAAGGTCTTAACTATCCTCAAGTTCAATAGTGCACGTTAGTTTTACAAATAAGTTAACTGAGCGTAGCGCCTAGCCCCCGGCAGGGCCCTGCTCCGGGGGCCGACCGAGGGCTCTTCCTGAGCTGCGGCGCGGGCCTGGCCGCCGCCGCCCGTCGGTCCCCCTTCTCCCACCCCACCCCCCGACCTATCCCGGGCCCCCGCTCTCACCGAGCCCGCAGCGCCCCAACGGGATGGCCTTGAGCTGCACCGGCGAGGGCCTCTCGAAGCCGGCCGCCCGCAGCCCCTCCAGCACCGGCCGCGAAAGCAGCAGTGACTCGAAGTCGGCCGGCTCCGCCAACAGCACATCCCCCGTGCGGGTCCGCGGGCTGCTGAGATCCTGAGCGGTCCGCAGGATCCTCACAGGCCCGGGTGTTGGCTCTGGGGCCGGGACCTGCACGGCCACATGCTCAGCCGGCATAGCAGTCGCCACTGCTGCTAAGGCTCCCGAGGCTTCAAATGCCGCCGCCATGGTAGCCGCGCCGTCAGATCTCGCGGTGCTTAAGGGGAGGCGGGGATCTTGGGAGCGAGAAGAAGAAAAACTTTATTGGCAGTTTTCCCGCGAAGACACTAACACGCCCGGCCTGGAAGTGGAAGAAAGGGACGGGAGTCGGAGGCTGAGAGACTGCCCAGACACACAAAAAATGTGGCCTGAGGAAAGCCCCAAGAGGGAGGAGAGGAAAGATGAGGCAACTGGTGAGTCGCTGCCTGTGGCCTGCAGAGGGCGCCGCGGGCCTGCGGTGGGGGCACCGCCCCGCCTCTCGGCCCTCTTCTGGGCGGAGCCGCCCAGCCGTGCCCCCGGCGCCACCGCCCTCTCGCCGTTCTTTGTGATGCGCCCGGTGCGTCACGCCCCCGTCTCGTGCTTCCGTTTTCCGTTCCGCTGGCCTGTCTCGCTTCGCGGCCACCTCTTCCCCAACGCTACCCGCTCCGTACCCTGACTCGCTGCTCCTCTGTGCTGGCAGAGAGCGCGCAGAACGTAGCTGGACCCAAGGGTTTATTTACCACATTGGCTGGTGTGTCCATCTGCTGTGCAACCACATTTATCTCCGGTGAGATAAACCCCATTTATCTCCTAGCAAGTCCCTGGCGCACAGTGAGCTCTGATAAAAGTACGTTGAATTGGAACCTGGAACTGGACTAACAGCTCCCAAGTTCGTATCTCCGCCTCAGATCTCCTTTTAAACTCTAGACGTGTGCATCCATCTGCCTCCATGCATCCGCCTCCATGCATCCGCCTCCGCATCCGCCTCCATGCATCCGCCTCCGCAGCACCTCCCTTGGGATGCCTAATAGACTCTCAAATGTTACATGCCTTCTGTATTGCTCCTTCCCCCATCATTTCATGCGTAGGCAGCTAGCAGTCTCTGCCACTTTTCCTTGCTGTGGTCTTCTGCTCAAATATCAGCTTTTCAAAGAGGTCTTGAACACCCTAAGACAGCTCTGTCATCCTCTCTGCTCCCTGGCCTTTCCCAGCACTCTCTTGTTTTGCTTTATTTTTTCTTTATGATACTTATACCTACCTGAAATTATATGTCTTCTGCCTGTCTCCCACACTCTATGAGGACAAGAACCTATTCTGTCTTGTTCTCCTCTGCATCCCTAGTGGGAAAAACAATCTGACACATAGGAAATGTTCAATATTTATCAAATGATTGAGCTCCTATAACAAACTCTTAGTCATCATGCCAAATTTAAATATTTCTGGACCTCAGCCATATTCATAATTCCAAATTTAGTTGTGTGGGGTGGCTCGCACCTGTGATTCCAGCTTCTTGGGAGGCTGAGGCGGGAGGATTGCTTGAGGCCAGGAGTTGCCAGCCTGGGCAACATGCAGAAACCCTGTCTCAAATTCTTAAAAAGTAAACAAATTTTTAAAAATACAAAGAATACCAAACTTAAATATATTCTGCAACCAAGCCCAACTTTGTCCATAGATTATAATGCTGGTCATTGTCCCTACCCCCTTGACACACACACAGTGATGGTCTAGATTCCATATGATATAGGAGGGGCTTTGACATGGTAATCCCATTGGAAGGTGGTCCTGAAGGTTTATTTTGCCTGGAAATGTACAAAACATTGAGAAAATGTCAACTATCCGTTTGAAGGAATGGAGACTGATGGTGGAGATGGCACTAAAGGTCCCAGCCTTCCTCTTAGTGCCCTCACCTCTTTTATCTGCCTAATCCCCAGACCACAAACCTGGGAATTATTCTTGACTCCTTTGCCACTTTCTAACAATTTACCAAGCACAAGTAATTTTGCCTCCAAATATTTCACCCATTCTTCTTCAGTCTCCGTAGAATCTGCCCTATATTTTAGATCCCTTTATCATCCTAACTCGCAAAAACCTCCTGAATGGTTTCTCTGGCCAGAGTTTCTTCTCTATCCCAGCCATGTACCCCACAGGTGCTGGAGTGATCTTTCTTAAGTGGATATCTTAAGCTGTTTGGGTCCAGCTCCAGATCCTGCTCCTTTTGATCCTGCTCCTTTTGATACCCTTTTTTATTCCCCACCCCAGGGTCCCACATCACACTATAAATAATTCCAGTCTGGCTCTTATGTTGTATTTGCTTGGTTACTTGTATGTGCCTCACATTAAATAAACTGTGAGCTTCTCAAGGACAGTAATTTTGTCATCCTAGGCCCTCCAGGCCAGCACCAAGCACCTGGTAGACCCAATAAACATTGAATGGCTGACACCTTCTTGCTCAAAAATCTCTTCTGGGTCTCCATGCACATAGCAGCGGTTCTGTAGAACTCACACCAATCACTGCTGAAGAACCACAGGATTATCCCAAGAAAAGCAAAAAGACTACATTTCCAGAAAACATTTATAGTTTTATAGGCATTCTGTTACTGCATTTGTTGTTTTTGATGTTTTACAGACACAAATATTGCAGTAATGTTATTGGGAACCATGGTGAATAACACAAATTTTTTTTCTCACTAGTCAAAAGTTATAACAGTGTTGTTGACCATAATTTTTAGTGCTATAAAGATCTCTTGCACAAAAGCAAGAAATCATTTAATAACTAGGTAAGGTGTGAGCATAACACATACAGAAATGGGCTTGATTGTGTCTGTCTCCCAGCCTCCCCCGGGATAAATAACAGTGGGATCCCTGTCTCTTCTCTGGCAGAGCAGCCCATCTACCTCCTCCAACCAGACCCAACTAGCCCAGATGCTTAATTCTCCATGACTTGTAACACCTCAATACCTTTGTATTTGCTGTTCCATCTACCTGGAGAGCCTTTCCAGGGAGCTAGAGGAGGGAGAGATTCCTATGAACTGAAAAGGTGAGAGTGACACTTAGACTCAGAATGGGTGTTAAGATTCAAATGATCTCATCCAATCATTTTGCACTGGAGGCTTCTGAACCCAGAGGAAAAGAAAACAGGCCAGGCGCGGTGGCTCACGCCTGTGATCCCAGCACTTTGGGAGGCCGAGGTGGGCGGATCACAAGGTCAGGAGATCAAGACCATCCTGGCTAACATGGTGAAACCCTGTCTCTACTAGAAAAAAAATACAAAAAGTTAGCCGGGCGTGGTGGTGGGCACCTGTAGTCCCAGCTACTCGGTAGGCTGAGGTAGGAGAATGGCGTGAACCCGGGAAGCAGAGCTTGCAGTGAGCCGAGATCACACCACTGCACTCTAGCCTGGGCAACAGAGCGAGACTCCGTCTCAAAAGAAAAAAAAAAAAGAAAAAGAAAACAGTATAAAGGAAGGCATACTGTAAGGTGGCCCACCCTGGGTGTGAGGATCGGTGGGGGAATGTGGAAAGAAGGGAAGAAAACTTAAGATTTTAAAGCCACTTTTTCTCATTTGACCCTCAAAGCAACACAAGGTAGGCAATATTATTATTTGCATTCAATCTACAAAACATCTCTAATCATTCAACAAAAATTTTCTGAACACCTAGTATAAACCAGCCAAGTGCTAGAGATACAAAAATGGAACAAAGTAAACAGAGCCTCTGCACTTGGGGAGACAGATGCACACAAACAGGTATCCTCATTTCCTGTATAAAGTGCAGGGTGCTACTGAAGTCAAGGAGGTAACCAGATGTGGGGAGCCAAGAAAGACTTAGCCATCAAGATTAGGTTTGATTGAAAGTAAGGCCCCAAAATAGGAGCTTACCTCCCCAAGATAGAAGTTCATTTTGCCCTTGTAGAGAATTCTGGAAGCAGGACTGATAAACAGCCCTGATCCACAAAGATCCCAATCACCCAGGCTTCTGCCTTGGTCCCCAAACAGTTGCTGTAGTTCCAGTCATCACGTTTGCATTGCAGCCAGCAGGAAGGAGGAAGACTCAAAATAGAAAGTAGAAATGGTAATGGTCATCATGCCAGCAGTCCTTTTAAGAAATGTTCTCAAAAGCTGCCACACTATCTGGCATTTCTTGGAAAGAACTTAGCCATAAAGTTATACCTTCTTGCAAAAAAAAAAAAAAAATCTGGGAAATGTCATTTTTCTGGACAATCACGTGCCCAGCTGTACACTGATTTGAGAGGAGGTCCATTACTATAGAGGAAGGGGGAAAGGACATTGGAGGCAACTAACAGTCTCTGCCACATCTTCCTAGCATTAGTGAGAGCTACAGTAAGTCTGAAAAATGAATCAAAGTTGGCCTTGTGACAGAGGAGGGGAAAACGGAGGTCTGGAGGTGAGGACCACCATAGCACATTCTAAAAGAGCTTAGAATGCAAATGGGACAGTAAGCTTTGATGAGCAGGAGAGTGAAGTGTAGGCCAGGTTGGTGTCTGGACTTTATCCTAAAAGCCTTCTACATGTCAGATGCCGAAGGAGATGCTGCCCTCAAGTAACTCCTCAGAAGAAGATTAGTAATCTGCTCAAAGTCACAGAGCTCATAATTGGGATTGGAACTCAGATCTATTTGACAGCAAAGTCTAGGCTCTTTCTATCCTCTGTCCTAAAAGAGTTGACAGCCCAGCTGGGGAAATGATCAAGCATGAAATATGCAAGTAGCACAAGCTGGTGTAAAATCATATGCAGTACTGACATTTTTTCAGGGCCTTAGTTGTTCAAAGTGTGGCTGTCGTGGGAGAGAGTGAGAACTTCTGAGAAACTGAGGAAAACAGCTTTTGGTATTCAAAGAGCAATAGCTTTCTTCTCTATGTCCTTCTCCTCCACACCCCAAATCAAAGTTGCTTCAAGTATGTATGGAAGTATGAGAGAACAACTGCACATACAAGATCATTGTTTACCTAATTCCTGGAGTCCAGCACTTCTGCCAAGACAGCAGCACCAGGAGACAAAGCTCAAGTCCTGTGAAGCAGTGGGGGCTGATACCCTGAGCTTATCCTGAATAAGGCGTTCATCAGGCAGTGGGAGTGGAAAGAGAGCTCACCAGGCAGACAAGTCTCAGAAAGATATTCTAGGCACAGAGAACAGTTTGTGTAGAGGCGTGGAAGCATGAAAGCCATAGTTGTTTAGGGAAGTTAAGTCTTTTACTGTGAGTAGAGGCAGGTATGGCAGAAATGACCTGGACATGAGGATGCAGAGATATACTGGCCCTATATTAAGGAGCACCTCATCCATTATGCTCTTCCAAAGGGGGGTAGTGTTATTTAGCAGTAAAGAGAAATACAGCTGGAAATGTAACTTGGGGCTTGGGTAGTGGCAAAGCCGAGCAGTTTGGATCTTAACTTGCAGACTTTGGAGCATCACCTAGGTTTGGGATCTAATATGAGGCAAGTAATGGAAAGGCCCACAACACACACTGTTTCTTAGATCTAGCAGTTCCTAGGACTTTAGGTGTTGGTACACTGCTTTCCAAGTGCCAGTGCCACCCCTATGTACATGCTGCTTATCCAGCAAAGCACAACTAGCTTATGCTTCCTAGTTGCTTTGCCTAGCCACGGGTACTTTCATTGTTATATTCTTGAGCCATCTGTTCAGTGAACTGGCACCATCTATAAACTTATGTTGTATCAAGTTTATCAAGAAACAACTTCTGCCCTTCTAGATAGAATGTATTATTTCATGACCCTGCTCAATCCTAGCTGGCTACCTCCCAACGTGGAAAATACCCATTTTTACATGTGTCTCATGGCTTATGGGGTGACTAGCCTCAGGAATTAGGAAAGAGGGAGAACTAGCAAAAGCCTGAGCCCATGCCCACTGCACAGCCACCCCCCACCATGGGGATTGCCTGACTGGCTTTGGAAGAGAACCCCAGGTGATCCTCCCTCAGGCTTCAGACCAGATTCCTCTCTGCACAAGGCCCACATTGATTAATTGTCCCATTTAACACCACTGCCTCAGTCTTTAGGGAGGAAGGTGGCGTGTTTGCTCTTCTTTCGAGAAAGGGGCCCAATTTATTCTTGTCCAGGCAGCATAATAAATAACCTGCCCCTTTTGGCAGGGAGTTTATTAGAGACTGATGGGACATTTAACAATAACTGGGGGCCTATGATTTATTAGGGAGGTTCATGGCATCTCTGAAGACGGAATGTGGAATTTAATTGATAAAGCGGCTGTCAGCAGCAATGAGATGCACTCAATAGAATATGCATTTGAGGGATCCTCTTTGGAGCTGTCAGGAAGGGTTTCTGCTAATCATATTCAGCTCCTGTGGATGGTGGTGTCTGCTGGATATCTGGGTGAGAGACAAATGGCAGGGAGGGGAACTCTGAATGGGGCTCAGGGAGGGGTACACCTGTCAGTTGCCTGCTGACCGATGGAAGAATGTGACACAAAGGAGCAAAAAGAAAAAGAATTTCTATCACCCTAAGTAAGGGCTTCCCTTGAAGAGGCCTTTGTCTCTTCTCTGAGCTGATTAGGAGAACAAGAGGTGCTGAGCACCCACTTCCTGAAAAGAGAGGGAAATGAAAGGGTTAAATGACAACAAAAGAGATTTGTTCTGGAATTTTGAACTGTCTGCACCAGAGACTCCCCTGCCTTGGCTCCCTAGCACGCGCGCGCGCGCACACACACACACACACACACACACCCCAACACACACAGCATAGTTACCTCACACCCACACAGCTGCCCCTGAACCCCTGGCTCAGGTGGCATCTCCTCTTGTCACTGCAGCTTCCACACCAAGAACAGAGCCACAGAAGCTCAGATGGATGGGGCCTCGCCTTCCTGTTGTTGTGGTTGTCTCCCAGCTCCGGAGACCCCAGAATCCAGGCCGAGAACCTGGAAATAAATGCTCGTGGTCTGGAGTACATAGAGCATGCAGCTATCTTACTTCTCTACCCACCCTCCACCCCAGTTTCCTGACAATAAGGGAGACTGGTTTTATCTCTGTGGGGCCATCAGTGATGGCACAGCTCTGTCCTCAGGCAGCCTTGAGCCTTTGCAAGGCAGCTTCGCTCACATTTTCTATTCCCTCCACCCTTTGGGCTGTTACTCAGCCTTAAACAAGGCCATGTAAGGTATGGAGAGGGGCTTTCTCAGGCCAGAGCCTGTTTCCCTCCTTTGATCCTCCCGCATCTATTCTTAGGTCCCAAGAGATTGGTCTGCCTCCTTGTTCCCTCCAGGGAGTGAAAGGGAAGGGGGAGGCAATAGCCAGGAAAGAAGAAGTAATTGTCACTGTCTAATCTGAGCCTCGGTGGTGACACTGAGGGACCTCTGAGCAGGATGGATACAGCAACTGGGTTGATTAAATCAAACCTCTCCCAGAACCTTGTTAAATTAAACTGACAGGCCCAGAACAGATGAGGGAGAGCAGCAAGATCATCGCATCAGGTCAGGGGGAGGGGAGGCAAGGGTAGGATTGGTAAGAAGATCAGACAGAAGCAGAGCATCAGCCTGCCCTTTTTCTTATTTGCTGACTATAGATAGGAGGTGAGATTTATGGATGTGAGATGCTTAAGTACCTGTCTGAGCACAGACTGTAGAAACTGACACAGAAGCAAACTGCTGCCTCCCAGTAGGCCTGGCAAATTCCTTTGGCAGGCAAGCCACATTTAGAACCGTGCTCTCGACATTTCAAAGGGCCTTTGCATACTTTACCTTCACAAGAAGGTAGCAGTGGGATTATCTGTCCCACTTTACAGTTAGAGAAACTGAGGCATTAGAGATTACAGGGCCAATCTAGAGCCAGCCCAAGAACCCATATTTCCTGCCCTGGCACACACTGCCTCCAACATTATGCCAGATGGCAGAATTTCCTAGGACTTAGTCCCTGGAGTGCCATCTTTTCTTCCACCCACTAGAAATGAAAACCACACAGCTTGCTTCATGGGCCGTCAGGAAAATGCTAATTCGCAACTAGCCTAGCGCAGCCCACCTGCAAGCACATGGCTCACTTACAAGGTCACAAGGCCATTGTAACATCTTCATATTACTCTCCCACGTGCCCAAGCCCTTCCAAGTCATTTCTACTCTACCTAATTACATTTCATGGAACAGGGAGAGGTGGGAGAGATATTGTTAGCAACACCAGAAACAGCAATAGTAGAAGGATAACACTGATACCCTGGTGGCTTCCTCACCTGTCACCCAGTTCTTCACCTGCCAAAGCTAATTTTCCACTCACCAGTGGGTGAGAGCTCATTTCAGACTGTCTGAACCACACACACACACACACACTCACACACATATATGGATACACATTGTGAATAATGCCTCACCCAGGATGTCCTTGTTCTATTTCAGATGCCTTCAATGTTGTGTTTATTGACACATCCACCCCTTTCCCATTTCTTTTTCAATAGGGAGGATACTGGGATGAGGATGCTTGTAATGTGGTGCACACTGATTACCAGAGCACAGCTGAGATACTGTTGGGTCCTGTCTCCTCCCAAAGCACACATCACATCCCAGGGTGCACACCAGTAAATGATCAGATTCTGGACATGGGGAGCCAAGGACAGGGGAAGGCAGAGAGAGGAGCAGAATTGCAACCACTGTCGTCATGAAGGAAGCTAGGTGAGAGAGCTGGCACAAGGTGGCAACATTTGCATGAAGAGGACAAACAACTGGAAATACCACCAGGGGGCGTGTGTAGCTGTAACACACCAGTCATGCTCTTTCCCTACAGTTACCAGGCGGGGTTTGGTCACTATGCATAACCTGAGAAAGATAGACAAACAGCAGACAGATAGATAGGTTGGGGGTGCTTAGATAGACAAATATCACCAGCCTCCTAAGCTCATCCTGGTGTTGTGATTGGCCACACCAAAACGTAACATCTCCAGTCTATCTGATATCATTGAACAGGTCTCCTCTAAGGCAAGGAGTTGGATTCCCCTAGAACACCTGCCAAAGTGCAGTGGAAGGGAAGGAGGTCTTGCCTGGGGGCAGTGGTCACTGGGCCTGGGTTTCTGTGCTGATTCTGCCCTTAGCAACCTGGGTGACCTAGGGCAGGTCACTTAACATTTCTGCGCTACACTTTTCTGACTTGTAAAATCACATGCTTGGGTGGCAGATGCAGACTGTTAGTAATTTTTAAACTTTAGAGATCACGGAGGAGAAAACTGAGATCCAAAGAAGTTAAATTACTTGTCCAAAGCCACTTGATGTGGGAGTGGAATGACCGAGAGGATGTGGATTCTGGAACCAGAGCCAGTTCCACATGATGGTTCCAGCACACCCCTCACACTGCCCTCTGGTGATCTACTGTCTCCTCATCTCTTCCTCCTCTGCAGAATGGAGGAATAGCAGCACCTACCTCCCAAGGTTTTGGAAGAATAAATGAGTACCTGACACAAGGAAAGCCTCCAATATATGTTAGACTAGGCCTATTTTTAGTGATGAACCAGAGGCTCATACCCACAAATCTTTTCTTCCAGTCTTTCTGTGAGGCCACATGCCCTGATGAAGGTCCTTTTCAGCTCCCAAATTCTATGATTCTAAGTCAGAAAGATTAAGATGCAAGTTATTTCCAAAACCCTCCAGGCAGAAACACAAAAGACTATTTGAGAGATTCATTATTCACTCTCTATTGCCTCAGTCACTTTCTATGGATGATGATTCATGGAGAATAATCAACAGCAGAGAAGATCTGTTCAATGCTAGGAGAGAAGGCAGTAAAGCCGAAACTCCTTCGCGTGTTCAGTTCCTATTCTCCAGTATGCATCTTCACTTGTTAAGCGGCGGCAGCATTTCTTGGCCTCGCTGCCTTTCTTCTCTGGGAATTTGAGGTCTTCTCTTGGTATAGACTGTTGCTAGTGCAGTCACTGCCCACCCGGCACCACTCCTCAAAATGCCAGGGAGAAGGTCCTGCCTCTCTGGCCAAGCAAAAGCCCGCACAGAAGCAGCTGTCACCAGTGGCACTGGCTCTTCTCAGGGTGTCCAGGCTGAAATGTTTAGCATGCCCAAGGTTGATGTCTAATCACAGCTACGAGAATTCTCTGGCTCCTGAAAAACAACAGAAGAGACTTAAGAGCCAGTCTGGTGGAAGCAAACATGCAGACAGCCAAACCTGAGATGTGACCTCTTTTTCTCCTCACCCCATGGTCTCAGGAGGAGAAGCAGGTGGCTTTTCTTTCCCTCTTGCTAATATGTCTCTCCCTGGCAAGCTGCCAACCACTGGTCCTTGCTTACAGCTAGCTAGTGGAGATGGCCAAGTGGTATGTGATAAAATGAGCCTTTGCTCTGAGTTCCAGGCCATGGTAAGGTTACAGGGCAGCCAGCACTGGGCCTCTGGAGTATCAGATGTTACAGAATGTCCCAGGAGAGTCCTGGGTATGAGCCATTTTCTTTCCTGGTACAGTTTGCATCCACCATCATTAGTTTGCACAAATACCATATTTCCCTTAGGTGTGCCCTGGCATTCTTCACGTGTTCTTCGTAGTTCAAAAATATTTGCTTTTCCTGGCCCAACACGGTGGCTCACGCCTGTAATCCCAGCACTTCGGGAGGCTGAGGTGAGCAGATTGCTTGAGCTCAGGAGTTCAAGACCAACCTGGGCAACATGGCAAAACCCTGTCTCCACAAAAAAAACCATATATATATATACTGGGCATGGTGGCATGTGCCTGTAGTCCCAGCTGCTTTGGCGGCTTAGGTGGGAGGATCACCTGAGCCAAGGGAGCTCAAGGGTGCAGTGAGCCGTGATCACACCACTGCACTCCACCTGGTTGACAGAGTGAGACCCTGTCTCAAAAAAAAAAAAAAAAAAAAATATATATATATATATATATATATATATAATATCTCTGTGTGTGTGTGTGTGTGTGTGTGTGTATATTTGCTTGCCTTTCCAGTAAATGTTTGCAAAATGGAAATACTTGCTTCCCAAGTAGCAATGAGATCTTTGCTTAGGCACCATAAGCACCAAGCCCATAGCTCCAAATTATTCCATATAGAAGTGAGTATCAGCCCACAGACTACCTGTTCATTATTTGGACAAATCTAATTTTGCACTTGAAAACTGTTCAGATGAGATAGCCTGGGAGCCATTCATACATGAAGTTTACTCAAAATACCATATTGCTATTTCTTCTTCTATCACCTTCCTTCAGTCCCTCTCTAAAAAGTTTCAGCAACTCTGTAACTGATAGCCTGATCTTGAAGCCCAGTGACTTTATAAAGAAGTAAAGGTTGTGAGAGTGGTGGTCTAAGTTAGCACTATGGGTAAAAGCACGAGGCGGGCAGATCACGAGGTCAGGAGTTTGAGACCAGTCTGGCCAATATGGTGAAACCCCGTCTCTACTAAAAATACAAAAATTAGCTGGGCGTGGTGGCGCACACCTGTAGTCTGCACACATGTAGTCCCAGCTACTCAGGAGGCTGAGGCAGGAGAATCGCTTGAACCCAGGAAGCGGAGGTTGCAGTGAGCTGAGATCATGCCACTTACTCCAGCTTGGGCGACAGAGCGGGACTCTGTCTCAAAAAAAAAAAAAAAGAGTGATGGCAATTCTGTGGATGTGGAACATCAGAACTCACTTCCTCAGTGGCTTTCATCATTTCAATAGTCCACCTTAGGGCACATCCCTCCTGCTTTCTGAAGAGCAGAATAGCTGAATGAGTGCTGTGCTGAAAACTGGGAGACCACATTCCGTCACCATACAGACCAACCTTTTTGGGTTGAGTTGCTCCATCTGTAAGAGAATGACAACCTTTGTTTGAAGACACCCAAAGTTCATGGACCTTTTTATGACTGCAGTCTTTGATTCCTCCACCCAGTCCAAAGGGTTTTTTTAATTTTTAATTAAAACCCGAAGTGATTATTTCTTTTGGAACTGAGAGGGTTCCCCAACACACAGGCCACTTCATCCTCTCAGCTGTCCCTCCTGGTATTGGAATTACAAGGGTCAGAGGAGCCCAGTCCTGTGTCTAAGGTGGACAAAGGAAGATGTCATGAAAGCTAGGAGTTGGATGCTTTCAAGAATAGCTGGGCCTCAGTCCAGTTCCTCCCCTACCATCCCAATGTGTTCCCACACAGACACGTACACAGTCTCTGCTCAGCACCTCTGGGCCAGCCTGTCAGGCAAGGTCCTCTCCCTAGAGAGAAACAGTTCCGCAGTGATATCTGAACACATTCCAACAGCATGTGTTTATCTCTAGGGTCAGCCTTTCCTGTTGATGATCAGGCAGCATGTGGTGGGTGATGGGATTGGGGTAATAGTTGTTGGCAGCCACAGTCGGGGGCAAGGAATGAGGGCACTGGGGATAGGGCCCCTGCCCTTGGGAGGGTGATGTTATGATGAGGTTTCCAGACTGGTATGTGACCACATATCTCTCTCCTTGCACCAGGATGTGCTGTCCAGCTCTCCTGTTGCCAGTAGAGATGAGAAGCTGGATACTGCCTCACTCGGGTATGTCTTCCAGAGCTGGCTAGGACCTGGTGGATAGGGACCTCCAGGTGGGTGCCATAGGATCTGGAGCCAGGAGAATGGTGGTGTTTCCATTATTTAATATAGGATCTGAGCTCCCTTGGGACACAACTGGTTCTGCCTCTTCATTTGAGCTCATTGATAGGTGCCAGGAGCTTCAGGCTCTGGCAGTGGGACAAAGGGGGCCACCTTCCCTGGCTAGGTTAGGCAGTCAAGTCCCAAGAGTTGACAGCACTGGATACAGTTTCCAGGAGCTGCACCCTCTCTGTCAGGTAAAGTACCGACCACTGGAGGGCAAATGGCTACGTACCTTCTGAGGGTTCCACCCCAGGTCTGAACAGCATTAAGAAGGTATGTTCACAACCAATCCCAAGACCTTTGATTTCTTTATTATTTATTTTCGAATGAGATAACCTCATCCTTCCTCCAGGCTGAGTTTCGGAGGGGGGTGGGTGGAAGGGAGGAGGCTGAGCCATCTGATTCCTCTTCAGCAGAAATGAATCACGTCCCCCAGCCCCCATCCCCAGCCCAGAAATATTTATCCATGTTTATATAACCATGGCAACAGGCTTTATTCTCATCACTTAAATCCTTTTTTAAAAAGAAAAAGCAGAAGGCAGCTATTTTTCCTACTTTTGCCACCTGCCTGCTCTGCCCAGATGAGAGTTACCTCTTCAGCAACAAGGCAAGAGAGAGACTGCCCCCCAACACACACACACTCCTGGGGTAACGTTGGCCTTCTCAGAAGCAAGGGAATACGTAAGTTGCAATGGCCCAGCACCATGAAAGGACTTCAGAGTTAGACAGTAATTGTCCTCCAAAGTCTTGTGGGAACCACACAGTGATACCACCTCAGACTTGTCTAAAACTTCTCTTTTGAGCTCTGCACTGGTATTATGATTATCAATTTGTTTTCTTGCTATCTCTCTCTACCTGAAAATGGATGGAATGTGAGCTGGCTTTGCTAACAATACATTCTTCATCTGTAAGATGGGGTAAACATTCCCCTGCTCCTGACTACTTCACAGTTAGTTTTCAGAAGAGAGTTATTTTTTTGAGACGGAGTCTCGCTTTGTCACCCAGGCTACAGTGCAGTGGCGCGATTTCGGCTCACTGAAACCTCCGCCTCCCGGTTCAGGCGATTCTACTGCCTCAGCCTCCTGAGTGGCTGGGATTACAGATGCCCGCCACCGCACCAGGCTAATTTGTGTATTTTTAGTAGAGACGGGTTTTCACCATATTAGCCAGGCTGGTCTCAAACTCCTGACCTCGTGATCTGCCCACCTCGGCCTCCCAAAGTCCTGGGATTACAGGCATGAGTCACTGCGCCCAGCCCAGAAGAGAGTTTTGTAAGGAGTATAAAGTATTAGACTCACAAAGGTTTAAACCCATAAGCAGGGGAAACTGATGCCCAGTAAAAGGAAAGCATTTGTGCAAGGTCATACTCTGTTGTCAGCAGCACAGAAGACCCAACCGCCCAGTCCTAGGTTCTTGCCAAGAGATCAGCCCACTTCTTTTGGATTTTCAACCTTAGCCTCCCAACTTCCAAGTGGATTCCAGTCCATGAAGTCTCAGAGATGGAGAAAACTGGGGCTTAAGCTTGACCCTAAAGACTATTTCACCAGGCCAGGCACGGTGGCTCATGCCTGTAATCCCAGCACTTTGGGAGGCCGAGGCAGGCGGATCACCTGAGTTCAGGAGTTTGAGACCAGCCTGGCCAACATGGTGAAACCCCGTCTCTACTAAAAATACAAAAATTAGCCAGGCGTGATGGCATGCGCCTGTAATCCCAGCTACTCAGGAGGCTGAGGCACGAAAATCGCTTGAACCTGGGAGGTAGAGGTTGCAGTGAGCCAAGATCACACCACTGCACTCCAGCCTGGGAGTGAGGCTGTCTCAAAAAACAAAAACAAAACAAAAACACTATTTCAGCCACAGATCCACAAATGTTTACTCAGAGTTTCTTACATCTGACTACCGTGCTGGAGACTGGAGATGGAGCAAAGCCAGGCCCTTCAAGTTGGGGAACCCTTTTGTGGTGTTTGTCCCCATTGAAGTCCCCCTCTGTGGACTATATGTCAATGCTGGGTCCTTTCTATCCCAGTCCCATAGTATTCAACTACAGAACTTCTTCAGCTGGACTGGAAACCACAGCTGTGTCCTTGGGGGCAGCTCTCACTCTGAACATCTGGTGGGTCCCATAGAAAGGGATCTCTTGGAGAATTTCTGCCCACAGCTGCAGAAAAGGCAGGAGGGCCAATACTGCTCAGACTGGTAGGACCAGAGTTGCCTGGGCTTGGCCAGCGGTCACCGACCAAGTTCAGCCCATATTGTGCCTCTTTTTTCTTTTCTCTATCCATTGGCTACAGCTGCCCCAGCTTCGCCCAGAGGGACACTTGGGGCTAGGCTGAAAGGTGTAGGCAAGGGCTATTGTGTAATTGAGGACCTGGGGTTGTTAAGTGGAGGCCATTCAACTGGACTCTGCAAACTCTTCTAAAGATTAATTCTGTTTCTCTCTCTCACCCTCCCTCTCTTCCCCTCCATCTCTGTCCCTCCTCCCTCCCCGCGCCATGTCTCTGTGTCTCTCTGTATCTATCTCTCTCCTCTTCCTCTCCCCTGTCTTTTTTTTTTTTTTTTTTTTTTTTTTTTTTTTTTTTTTTTTTTTTTTAAACGGAGTTTCTCTCTTGTTGCCCAGGCTAAAGTGCAATGGCCCGATCTCGGCTCACTGCAACCTCCGCCTCACGCTTTCAAGCGATTCTCCTTCCTCAGCCTCCGGAGTAGCTGGGATTACAGGCATAGGCCACCACGCCCAGCTAATTTTGTATTTTTAGTGGAGACGGGGTTTCTCCATGTTGGTCAGGCTGGTCTCGAACTCCTGAACTCAAGTGATCCACCCGTCTCGGCCTCTCAAAGTGCTGGGATTACAGGCGTGCGCCACCCGCGCATCTTTCAATAGTTAGCATATCTGGCACTTTTGGCTGCCACGGACGGACCGATGGCGGCGCCGGCACCGTTCGTGCCTTCTCTGGTGTTCTTACAGTTGTCCCACTCAGAGACCTCTAATCCTGCCTGGGGCAAACTTTTCCCCGTTAATTACCTTTTAACAACACGTCGCTAATTGCTTAATTACTCTCCGTGCTCTCCGCCACCGTCCCCGGCTGTCCCGGCCGGGCGCGGCGTCTCCGCGCTGGGAGGGAGCAGCGCTGGCGGGCGCGGAGCCCGGCGTCCAGGGCTGGGCTGGGAGGAGCACCCCCCACCGGTCTGCGGAGCCCATCGGCCTATCGAGCCTATTGGCCGCAACTCCATCCTCCAGGGCCTGGCTGGCGCTCGCCCGGCTCCTTTTGAATAACAAAGGAGCGTCCCGGCCTTAGAGCGCTTCGCCAAAGGCGAGAGCGTCAGCTAGGTTGACTGACGCCGAGCTCTGGGGAGAGAAAGGCTTGTTCCCTGCCCACCCCACTGAAGGCCCCAGGGAAAGCAGCCCGACCCCCTTACCCCGTTTCATGTTTTCATAAAAATCATTGTCTGAAATTACCGTGCTTACCGTGTGTGTGTGTGTGTTTACCTGTTTATCTTGTCTCCCCTTCTCTCCCATGTAAGTTCTTGAGAGCAGGGACCTCGCCTGTCATACTCAGTATCCCCAGCCCTACAGCCTTGCCAGGGGCGCAGCCGACCCTCGGCGGCTTTGTGTGACAGGCGTGAACCGGCCAAGCGGCGGCGTCTCTGCTCCGCCCGCGAGGGCAGGGCTGCGAGGATTTCACTCTAGGAGTGAGGCGGGAGCCACCTTCCCAGGGTCCTCTTCGGGGAGAAAAGAGCTTCTGAGGGACTTCTGGGGATGGGAGCGGAGTGGGTGGGGGTGTTTCCCTTCCTGATCGGAGTTTGGGAAAAGGGACTGACACTATGGCACTCTGCCTGTTACTGAGACCGCTACCCAGTCCCTCCCCGTAAAACTGTGCTCTCCCTTTATGACCACACGAGGGTCACGTGCTTCGTTGGGGGCCGCGGTACAGCCTGGAGTCACGATGCCCTCCGCCGCGCTGGCCGGGACCAGGTGTGTCCTCGCCAGCCCCAGTGGCTGCGCCCGGGTCCTGTGCAAACACTGCGGTAGGGTCCGCCTCGGCCGCCCAGCCCGGCCTCCCGGCCGCCCTGCCCATTGGCTGAAGACAGCCCCCCTGAATTCTCATTGGCTGTCCCACTTTTCCCTCCACCCCCAGCACCGACCGCGCGCGGCTAGCCGCTGGGGAAGCGACTCTGAGTCCCGGGCTCGGAGCGCAGGCTCAGCTCCGCGCTGCGAGCGCTACGGGCGCAGGGGCGGGGAGCCGGCCCGGAGCGCAGTTTCCAGTGGGGCCGGGGTTTCACCCGGGCCCTCTCTGTTTGAACCGAACCCGACAAATGGGCGCATGACGATGGAGAGCAGGGAAATGGACTGCTATCTCCGTCGCCTCAAACAGGAGCTGGTAAGAGCGAAGCTGGCGCCGGGGCAGGGAGGGCTGCTCCGCCCCGACGGGCACCTGGTCTCCGCCCCGGCCCCCGGGGAGCCGGGACGTAAGCAGGGCGGAGGAGGGCCAGGGAAGAGAGGAGAGGACGCGGGCCCGCAGGCAGAGGGCAGGGCTTGTCCTCAGGAAAGGGGACCACGAAGAAACTTTGAGCAAAGATTTGTGATGAGACAAGAACAAGTGACAGAGAGACAGAGGGAGCAAGCCAGCCAGGCTGAAATGTGACACAGAGAACCCCAGAGAGAAGATAGGGCACGCCCAGAGACGGCCAGGCACACGGACGCAGTGGGGCCCCCGCGCCGCCGACGCGGAAAGCGCGAGAGCGAAGGCCTGGGGAGCGGGACGCGGGCGCCTGGGTGCGGGGCTGCGCGGGGCGACCTGGAGCGCGGGGAGGAGGAGGGTGCTGGGTCCTGATCCCTGCGCGGGCACGAGGTCAGCGGGACTGCTCGCTCGAGGGAAGCGGGTACCACCCTGGGCCCCCAGCTCTGCCGGGCTTGGCAGAGCTGGCGCGGCTGCGGGGGCAGGCTTGGCCGGCTGTCTGCCTGGGCTTGTCTGCCAGCAGGGAGGGGGCTGGCAGCTGGAAAGGCGGGGGAGGGCCCTGCGCTGGAGGAGGGGCTCTGCCTGGCAAATCGAGAGCGGGAGCTGCGGAGGCCCAGCCAGATGTCAGGTCTGGGCTTGGGGAGTGCGCAGGGAGCGTTCGGAGGCCCCGCGGTACGGGGAGGGGGAGAAGTAGCTCAGTCTGGGGGGGTGGAAATCACCGAAGTCGGGGGAGTGGTGTTCGCTAAAGCTATGTTAGGGAGAGCCAGGTTGATTCTCACTGGCTTCATATACCACTGCCCCCGCCCCCACGCCACCTGCCACCTTTCTTATTCCTTCACCCACCGGAATTCAGGCAAATGTTATGCACATACAGCCCCATCTCTGCTTTGCCCATCTCTCCTTCCACTAGGCTCTCTGTTGTGTCTTTGCCCTCGTCTCTTTTTGTCTCTTTTAGTTTGTCTCTCTTGGAGTCGACTCTTCTCAGTCTCACTTTTCTGCTCTCCTCTTTCTTCTTACTTTACAGAGCCAGGGGCACTCAGGCCACACAACAGCAGGCCTGGATCTAGAAAGGGCCAGCTTATGGCTCTCCAGATTCTGTGACAGCGTTTCCCACTGCTGCCTGCAAAGGCTACACTCTTCCTGCTTGGGAAGGAACTTGGCAGTGTGTTAGGGGCCAGCTCTGGGGGTAGGGGGCAGAGTTTGAAACTGCAGGTGTTCTCACTGATGCTTCCTGACCAAGTAACCCTGCCACTCTTCCTGTCAGTCCTACTCCAGGGTCAGCCTGCTCACATCAACGATCATTTCTCTCTCTAGTCCTCCCTCCTGGAGCCCTTTCTGTGGTGACACTCAGATGCAAAAGTCACTGACTCAGAGATAAATTTCTTGAGAGACAGGAGTATTCATTGCTTTTCTTCTGAACTTACGCCATGTCCCTTCCCATAGTCGTTTGCACATGCTTCTCATGCCAGATTGGGATGGCTGGCCCCAGCCCACACGTACACAATTCTCATTTTTTTCCATTTATGTGTGCAGTACCAGAAAGAAAGCTCAAGGTCATCACAGATAATGTCTGAGGTCCAAGACCCATGCAGAGAAAAGAATCTAATGGAATCCTCCTTTTTGTGCTTCGAATTGGGGACTACACCACCCACCTCAGGTTCTGCCTTAATGGAGGGTTTGTGGGTGTTCCTGGCATGGGCTCGAATTTTTAAATCCTACTGATTTGCATTTTTTATAGCAGTCTAGGTGGGAGGTGGTGAGGGGAGGAAGACAGAGACTACGAGTGCCAGGAGAATAAAAAAGGCAAATAGGAATCTGCACTGAGCTGAGCTTCACATCTTGATTTGCACCCTCTCCTGCCAAGGACTTGAGCCCCCAATGCCTGAGAGGAGGAAAGGGAGAAGCTGAAGTCACGGAGTGCCCCATTAGCTTTCATTTGGCCCTTTGTCTGAGCAGCTTCAGCCTTTGACTCTCTTGGAGAGGAAGCCGAATGCCTGGCCTGGATCCCAGAATGACACTCAGATGGGAGAGCTCTGCACTACCCCCCATGGTGCTCCACCCCCTCCCCAATGCCAGCCTGCTCAGAGACGAGACAGAGCAGAAGGACAGACAGAGCTAGTAGAGTGTCACTCACTCCCTGACACCTCAGTTCAGTGCTTAGGTAGCTGGGCCAAATCTCAGTGCCTTAGTATCCCCAACAGTAGCAAAGGGGAAAGTAGAGCTGAGTTAGTCCAGGGTTAGCCCTTTGGCTGCCTTGCCCAGGGACAGTAGGGACTGAATTCAGTGCAGCTTGCTTGTGGCTGGGATAGAAGTGTGTTGACTTAATACCCTAGGTCTGCAATGGGGTGGGAAAGGAATACAGTTGGTTTCTGTCATGAGCTAGGGAGCTTTTGCACTGCAGATGGCCCATCCCAGGCAGGATCTCCCTTGCCACCCAGGAAGACATTGTGTTGCCTGGCGCTGCCCTTAGTTTGTGTTTACACAGGCATGGCCTCCTGTAATACTGGTCAAGTTCTATATTCATTTATTTCAGTAAATTTCTTTCAAGAATCACACATTCTGCAGACACTGTGGGATAAACCTGCTGGAAAACAAAACATTAACAGGTTGTGAAATTATCTTTGTCAAGGGTGTTTTGTGCTCCCCTCCTGCATCCTACCCCTGTCCTTGGCCCAGAAAATCTAGGCAAGAAGAGTGTGTTTCTGAAAACCAAAGTAGTGGAACTTCCCAATTCCCTGAAGCAGAAAATTTCATTGTAACAGGTGAGCGCTGGGAGAAGGCTGAGGGTTTGGGGATCCTGACTCAATTAGTTGATAAGTAGAGAGCTGACCCTTTCCTTCTGCCTGGAAAGGGAAGGGGATCGGGTTTCAAGGATGAAATGTGGCAGGAGAAGTAGCAGCAGCTGACACACTTCTTCATTAGAATGAGGGGTTGGGGCTGCAACAGCTCAGCAGGGAACACATCTCTTTTCTCCCTCCAGCCGCCAAAGAGGGGCCCTGCCTGAACACAGGCCTTGGGACCAGCTGTTCCGTACGCACAGCTCCCTTGTGGGCTGCCAATAAGTGGGGGTAGACACAGGCACACAGAGGAGGCAGATGTACGATGCTCACAGGGCATCCCTCGTGAGTTCAGATCAGTGTAGAACAAATAGAATGCGTAAAGGCTGAGTGATCAGAGCTCATGAAGTACAGCCAGGCTGGGAAGGCTTCCTGGAGGAGGGAGAGGTTGCAGGAAGCCATCTCTGGGAATGTCTGTCCTAGCTGAGGCATGGGGAAGCAGTTCTCTAGCTTTTAGTGGCCACAAGTTCAGGGGGTTCTGGCAAATGGGTAAGGACCAGGGTCTGAAGGCAAAATAAGGAGAAGAAAAGTAGGAGATGGAGAAGATACAGTAGGAACAGCCTTCAGATCTTGGGGCAAAAAGGCAAATTTCCTGAGGCAGAAAAAAGCTTTTGCAAAGGATCTCATAATGCCTCTTCTTTGATGTTTAACGCTGGGGAAAGATGACTATGTGACTAGTTAAGCAATGTGGTCAATGGGAAGAATGCATAGTATAAGATTTGGGGTCAGGCCAACTTCAGTTCAAATCCTGGCTCTGTATGACCTTAACATATTACTTAACCTCATTGTGCCTTGGTTTTCTCATCTCTAAAATGGGGGTTTTAAAATACCTACTCTATACGGCTACTGTGAAGATTAAATGACAATTTAAGTGCCTCGCCAACTATTTGTCTTTCACACATAGCACAGTGTCAGATGTGTCATATCGTAGGCACTTGGTAAACTGTTGATGATGGTTTGATCAGACTGTTTTGCGTAAGAGTCATTCATACATAGAACATGTTATTGAGTTCATACTGTGTTTAGGGCATTTACTGGGCACTGGCACTATTGTTACAAACCAACAGACACAGATCCTGTCTTCAGGGAACACACGGTTTAATAGAAGATATAATAATGATATTAATTGATGTTAACATTGATATGCCAGACATATAATTTATGATGTCATTTAATTGCCAAAACAACACTAAGAAGTTTTACTTTCATTATTCTCATTTTATGAATGAGTCAATAAAGACATGGGAAGGCTAAGTCACTTGGCCAAAGTCATAGAGCTGGTAAGTGGAGGAGCCAGGATTCAAACCCCGCCAGTCTGATTGCAGAGCTTATGTTCTCAACCAGTACCTGTATGCAGACCTCTGGGGCAGAAATAGAGGAGTTGTGCTATATAACAAGCACGGGTTCAGTGCTCTGAGAGAGGGAAGTAAACTCCAGCTGGGAGATTGGAGAAAGCTTCATGTCATGGAAGAGGTAGCATTTGAACTAGACTTTGAGGGATAAATAGGGACACGCACAGCAGAAGAAGAGCAATCCAGGCAGATAATGAAACAACATGAGCAAAATGTACAGAAGCTGAAGTGGTGGGGATGTCTGAAGACCAGCTGGAGTTTGCCTAGAGCATAGGGTAAAATGCAGAGAAAGAGTGGGCAACAGTGCTGAAAGAGCTGTCGTGGACACACGCTGGATGTCATGCTAAAGAGTCTGGCCTGTTCTGTATGCATTGGAGAGCAGCCCTGGGATCCAGAAGGTGATATGGGGTAGAGGTGGAGGTGGAGGGAGGGAGGAAATTGAGGCAGGAGGATGAGTTAGAAGGTTATTACAAGAGTCAGGCAAGAGACACTGAAGGCCTGAACCAGAAAGGAAAAAAAAAGAAGGTAACTTCTTGAGGTCCCTTGGATGTTCGAGGAAGTTGATTGACTGCAACGGAGAGAAGTTAAAGGTGGTCAGAGGGAAGAGGGCTTGCGGAGACTAAGAGGCAATCTCCGGGAAGAGGCAGCATTGGAATCCCCTCTCCATCTGTCTGCCCCTTGCCTAAGCAGACCCCCATAGATGGTTGTGTTGGGAAAGCGGGCCCATCCATTTCACAGCCCTCACTTCCTCCTTTCTTTACCCTCCTCCCTCCTACAGCTCTTGGCACAGTTTCCGCTTTACCTTCCTGTTGAGAGTTCCAGCCAAGTGTGAGGGGCTGTGAAGGTCCCTATTCACTGAGCTGGAGAATGGGCCACTTGGCAAAAGCAGGGCTTTTCCCATTTCCGGCCCTCAGCCTCCTCCTAGCTTCCCCAGGGGCTGAAAGGAACTTTGTGGGGATCTTGTGAGTAATGGGGTGGGGGAAGTGAGGCAGGGCACACAGCCAGGCTCATGGGCAAAGCTGGAGCCTGTATCAAAGGATTCTGGCTGAGCTGGGAGAGGGCGTGAGATGGATGGAAGGAGGGCACAGCTGCGGGATCAGTCGGGGCCCAGGGGAGGGTTTGGGAAGGGAGCCGAGGATGCTGGCGTCACATTTTCCCATCCCTGCTCCTCCCTCACCACAAAGAGCCCCAAGAGGGCCCAGGGGGAGGGTGCTGTCCATGGCCAGCTGACCCCACACAACCTCTGTGGGGCTCAGGGCTGGAAGTCCAGGATGGTGGGATCTGGTTCCCAACTGCATCTTCCCCTCCAGCCCCAGGCAGGCAGTTCCTCTTCCCTCTTCAGATGACTCAGTGAAAGGGAGGCCTCGGAGTCCCTCAAAAGGATGACTTCACGTTCTTCCTCCCCATCTGGTGGTAACTGCCCTTTGCACTTCCTGCTGGTTGCCCTGGTTTCTTCTCACAACAATCCCAGGAGGCTAAGAGGTCAGGGGTTATGATGACATGGAAAGCTCGTTGGCCTGGAGTATGAAAGCCAGCCTTGGGGTCCCAGGCCTCTCACTAATAAGCCTCAGGACCCCAGGGACCACTGGTGGTGCTCAGGATGATGGAGGCGATACTCCAGGAAAGCTTTCAGTTTAAGATGTGTGTTGATAGGTGCCATCTGTCTATGGCAAGTGTAAACACTTCACACAAGTTCCCTCATAAGTACACTATTTACATAAACAGATAGGAGATGTGTTCATGGAGACGAGGTCCTATGTAGATATGGTGAAAATCATGAAGGAGGTCTGGGGAGGAATGCTGGGAAACACTGAGGGAGAAGATGGACCTCCCAGCCCCTGGTTACCTAATCCATTACTTGGGGATATCTCCACCTACCTGGCCAGCCCCTCAGAGTTTAGCCGTGGGGATCAGGCCGTGCAGAGGAAAGGGCTAGTGCTGACACCAGGAGTTGTCGTCTGAGATTCAGAACCCCGGGCACAAAAAGTGGGCGATTTTGCCCAGTGTCATGTGGCCGAGTAAGTCAGGTCTCCAGATGAGTGTGGGGCCCTTCACAAACACCAGGAGGGCACCTGTGGCACTACAGCTCTAATACAGTGAGGAACCCAGGGGATGGTTTAAACTGCAGCCATGGAGACTGAAGTTTGACATGCAGACTTCCAGAGACGCTGAGGGTGGGAGAGGGACTGTGGGGTGGTATGGAGGCAACAAGCAGGTGAGAAGACCTTTCCTGGCTTTTCACAGGAGGGATTCCCACAATCTTCATTGGAATATGGTTATTAAGGGTTTTACCTTTGATGGTGGAGCAGGTTAGTTCTGTGTGTGTGTGTGTGTGTGTGTGTGTGTGTGTAACAGAGAGAGAGACTAGGAGTGGGTTAGAAAGAGGTGGCTCTTGCTCAAACTAATCAGGACCAGGTCGACCTTCTTGTGAATTCTCTCAGCTGACCCCTGAGAGCAAGCTTGTTCTGAGGAAGAACCTGAGGCTCCAAGACAGTAAGAGGCTCCGGAGGAACTCCGCACCCTGCAGCCTGGAGATGGGTTTAGAGCTACTCATGTCTGCTCGGGATTTTGTCTATCTGAGCTGGCCCCTCTCCTTTCCTCTACCTCCCTTACTGCCCCCTTTTCTTCCCCTTTTGGTCCTGAGGCAAGGGAAGCCCGGGGACCTGAGAGGATCCCAAGCTCTGGAAGAAGAAGGCATATCCCAAGCTCGGCCTCTGACTCTTCTTCCTTGGGTGATGGCATCCCCTGGGGTCAGTCTGGAAAGGCTGTTTTGCTGGCTCCTCTCTTAGTCAAGAACCAGCTAACGCTCCTGCCCCACCACTGTCCTGGCCCTCCCAGGTTCCCACAACTCCTCCTTCGCTTCTCATCCCTCTCCCAGCTGCCTTCTTGCCCTTCAGTGTCGGCACCCTGGATGTGGCTGGGCTGACTGAACGTGGCTGGGAGTGGGCAGGAGGGTGCCAAGACTTCCCTTCCTTCCCTCCCCAGCCCCTGCATGGGGCAGGAGTGGGGAGGGAAAAAACAGGACCTTCTCCTTGTGCTTCTCCTTGATTAGACCAGATATAAGGAATGGAACCCTGTCATTACTATGTGCTAAGTTTCACCAAGGAAGAAATGTTGTGAAAGTACATGGGAAGTCTTAAACTAACAGCCAGAATTCACCTAATGCTTTCTTGGTTTCATGCAGAGATACACATTACCTCACCTAATCTGCACAATAGCTGTATGAGGCAGGAACTGTTATTCCCATTTTAAAGAGTGGAGAAATTTGGCTGGGCGCGGCAGCTTACGCCTGTTAGCCGAGCACTTTGGGAGGCTGATGTGGGAGGATGGCTTGAGTCCAGGAGTTCGAGACCAGCCTAGGCAACATGGTGAAACCCCATCTCTACAAAAATACAAAAAAGTTAGCTGGGCATGCTGACCTGTGCCTGTAGTCCCAGCTACTTGGGAGGCTGAGGTGGGAGGATTGCTTGAACCCAGGAGGCGGAGGTTGTGGTGAGCTGAGATCATGCCATTATACTCCAGCCTGGGCAACACAGCAAGACTGTGTCTCAAAAAAAAAAAAGCATGGAGAAATTGAAAAACAGAATGTAAATAACTTGCCCAGGTCACACAGCTACTAATGGCAGAACTGAGATTTGAACTTTGTTCCATTGTCTCCAGAAACCAAATTATTAACCAATGCAGAATATTATTTTGCAGATGGGTGCAGTTTCAGCACTTGCTTACTTACATAGGGCCTCTGTTTTATGGGCAGCTTGAATTCATGCATACCCACACATTCATTCTCACTGGAAAACTGTGCAAAATGTCAGCATTATTTCTTCTGGATTTTTCCACACTGGAAGAGATTGAATGGAGTCATTTCATTCCTCCCTCTACCTCCGACCTGGGCTGGGTTTAGCCTTCTGGAAGGAAGCCTGCCAGTTTGGACTCCTTGCCTCTGGGTGAAACGAAACCTTGGGAAGCAGCCCTGCTTCTTTCTCCCTGTGTAGTGAGTTACCGTCTGAGGGTAGCAAGCAGCCTGGAGGGTGATCTGGGGTGGTCAGTGATATTCAATATGTGTTTTATGGGTATGTAGCAAGTGCCAGGTGCTAGCGAGGTTCTGGGGTGACATACTGATGTATAGATCTCAGCCCCTGTCCTCAAGGAGTAGATACTCAATACATATTTCACAAGGGACTGAGCATTTAAATGCATAGAGGACATGAGGTGAGTGCATAAGTGGCAGGACTACAGGGAAGAGTATATTAAATATCACAGAAGATTTCTAACAGGAGCATGGGGGGTACGTCTCAGGGAGTAGGGATATTCCTGGAACTGAAAGTTGGAATTCTGTCCTGGAGGATCTTGACTGCATGACCAAATAGTTTGGATTTGAGTCTGGGCATTGGAGAGCCACGGAGATGACAGGAGGTGTGTGCTGGGAAGACTGATCAGGTGCTCACGTGTCTGGCGGTTCGGAAGCTGTCTAGGAGGCTTCTGCAGCATTCCTGAGGGTGGAAGGAAAGATATGCGACATTTGTGGGAGGAAAAATCCAACATGAGTAAGTTGGGCAGGAGCAGGGGTAGTTGAATGGAGAAGCCAAAAATGACTGAGGCTCTAGTTGGGAAGACAAGGAAAGTGGCACTGGAGGAAGTGGGAGAATAGGGAAGACAGAGGGAGAAGCAGTTTGCAAGGGAGGCACTGAGTTTGGTCTGGGGCTTAGAGTCTCCTCTGACTCTGCTCCAGGTCTTAGCAGCTGTAGCTGAGTGCTTCCAAAAGGAAGGGGTCAGTAGAGTAGAAGCAAAGAGGCCAGAGAGAGGGGCTGTCAACAACATGTGCATCTGTCCCACAGGCTCCTTGTCCCTTGTTGCTCCTGCCACTGCCCCCCATTCAACTGGTGAAAACTCTGGCAAATCCCAGGGCTGTCAGGGCCTGGAACCACCATTTCTTCTTGCCTGTCTTGGGGAAAGTGCACAGAGCGTGGGCAATCTCCACGCCCCAGCAAAGGCCTCCTTGCCCTCAAGGGCAGTCAGTCCTCCACTGTCCTTTAGTGCTGCTTCTGCTGGCTCATTGAGAGCCTGGCTGGAATCTCCCATCCCCCCCAGGGCCAGGGTTGGCAGGGGGAGGATTTGACCCAGAAGCCTGAGAGGGTCAGCTGCAGCCCAGCCCTGCAGAGCCTCTGTGCCTGCCCTTCGGATCCCTCCACCTTCTGGGTTTAGCCCTGTGCATTAAGACAAGCCTGGGAGGTAAGATGATCCCACGGGTCTCTGGGGGGCTTAAGAAACACATGGTCCCTGCATATGAGGTTTGCTGTTGGTAACTTGATCAGGAGCTGGGGAGGGAGCTGGCAGGACCAAGGCAGCTTGGGCCCAGGAACTGGGAACCTTGTGAATGTTATCAGACACAGCCCCCACCCCGCCCCGCTGCAGCCTCCAAATTAGGCCCTCACCCAAGTCAATCTCTCAGCACCTTCCAGCTGGCAGCCGGGACTCAGGCCTTAGACACCCACAAAGGGGCTGGGAGAATTGGCCCCCAGCATCTCACTATGGCTTGGCCGGGGCGGCAGAGCCAACTGGGCTAAGAAGGCAGGAAGAGTGTTGAAGCCAAGTCTGAGAACAGCTGAGAGAGGACAGGTGTTTGGGAGGGAGAGGCAGGCTGAGAAGCGCTGGGTTTTCAGCAAACAGGAGTTTCCTGGCCTCCTTGTCTCCCTTCTGACCAGTCAGATATGAACAGCAATTGCAGGAAACCCCAGGCCTACCCTTTCTCTTGGGGAATCTGAGCTCTTCCTTTTCCACTAATGCCCTTTTCAGCCCTTCTTCACTGTCCTGTAGAGGACAGAGTAGCCTTAAAGTCCAGCTCTGGGTGCAGGCAGCACACACCTGTGGTCCCAGCTACTCAGGAGGCTAAGGCCAGAGGACTACTTGAGGCCAGGAGTTAGAGGCTGCCGTCCACTATGATTGTGTCTGAGAATAGTCACCACTGTGCTCCAGCCCAGCAAACAGCAAGACCCTGTTTGAAAAAAAAAAAAAAAAGCCTAGCTCCACTGCCCACTGCCCAGCCATCTCGAGTCTCGAGGTAGTACAGGAGGTTTGGGCATTCCTTATCTGAAATGCTTAGGGCCAGAAGTGTTTTGGATTTTGGATTTTCGAATATTTGTATATATACAATAAGATATCTTAGGGATGGGACCCAAGTCTAAACATGAAATTTATGTTTCATATACATCTTATACATACAACCCAAAGATAATTTTATACAATATTTTAAATAATTTTGTGCATAAAAGAGTTTTGACTGTGTTTTGGCTTCCGCTTGTCACATGAGGTCAGGGTAGAATTTTCCACTTTTGGTCACGTTGTGGCTCAAAAAGCTTTGGATTTTGGAGCATTTTGGCTTTCAGATTTTTGGAGTAGGGATGCTCAACCTGTATTTGGTAGTTAGGACTATGGCATCTGGAGTGGGACAGTACCGTGTTTGAGTCCCAGCTCTATGACCTGTGTGACGTTACGTAAGTTACTTCACCCCTTCCAGCTTACTCGTTTGTTAAAATGAGAAAATAGCAACCTCATACGGTCTATATAAAGATGAAATGAGATGAAGCACATAGAGTCCTTAGCACAATTCCTGTTACAAAGCAGATTCTCATATTGTTTTTTCCGCCATCATCACTGTCATCATTTCAGGGAGGCCCAGGGAGGAAGAGCGCTCAGACTCAAAAAAGGATGAGGATGGGCACTACAGCTTTGTGCACTTCAAGCTGATCTCAGCCCCACCTCTTACTATCTTATCTTGGGCAAATTACCTGTGAAATGGGAACAGTAATAGTCACTACCTCATAGGGTAGTTGGGGAGATGAAATGTCTGTGTGTGTGTGTGTGTGTGTGTGTGTGTGTGTGTATGGGGTGGGGGAGCCTTCTCAGGACAGTGCCTGCCTTAGCTAGTTAGCTACCATTATTATTTCCTTTACCCAGCACTGATCTGCACTGCACTAGGCTATAGAGAGATGGGGCTGGTGGCAGGCTGGATGACCCTGGAAGTGTATGTTTGGGTGGGGGACCTAAGTTCAGGGCTGGGAGAGGCACTGCTGCCCACTGTGGCTCATAGGCCCCATGCTTTCTCTCTCCCCTGCAGATGTCCATGAAGGAGGTGGGTGATGGCTTACAGGATCAGATGAACTGCATGATGGGTGCACTGCAAGAACTGAAGCTCCTCCAGGTGCAGACAGCACTGGAACAGCTGGAGATCTCTGGAGGGGGTCCTGTGCCAGGCAGCCCTGAAGGTCCCAGGACCCAGTGCGAGCACCCTTGTTGGGAGGGTGGCAGAGGTCCTGCCAGGCCCACAGTCTGTTCCCCCTCCAGTCAACCTTCTCTTGGCAGCAGCACCAAGTTTCCATCCCATAGGAGTGTCTGTGGAAGGGATTTAGCCCCCTTGCCCAGGACACAGCCACATCAAAGCTGTGCTCAGCAGGGGCCAGAGCGAGTGGAACCGGATGACTGGACCTCCACGTTGATGTCCCGGGGCCGGAATCGACAGCCTCTGGTGTTAGGGGACAACGTTTTTGCAGACCTGGTGGGCAATTGGCTAGACTTGCCAGAACTGGAGAAGGGTGGGGAGAAGGGTGAGACTGGGGGGGCACGTGAACCCAAAGGAGAGAAAGGCCAGCCCCAGGAGCTGGGCCGCAGGTTCGCCCTGACAGCAAACATCTTTAAGAAGTTCTTGCGTAGTGTGCGGCCTGACCGTGACCGGCTGCTGAAGGAGAAGCCAGGCTGGGTGACACCCATGGTCCCTGAGTCCCGAACCGGCCGCTCACAGAAGGTCAAGAAGCGGAGCCTTTCCAAGGGCTCTGGACATTTCCCCTTCCCAGGCACCGGGGAGCACAGGCGAGGGGAGAATCCCCCCACAAGCTGCCCCAAGGCCCTGGAGCACTCACCCTCAGGATTTGATATTAACACAGCTGTTTGGGTCTGAATCCTAGAGACAGAAAGTTGACTGAGCCTGAAAGGGCCAGGTCCCAGTGCTGGGCCCCTGGGGAGGAGGGAGGGTGGGCGGTATGGCTCTCGAAAGCCCAACTCCAAGTTCCTTTCCCCCAGAAAGCGGGGAGAAGCCAGAGTTCTTGGCTCAGGACTGAAGGGAAGGTGGTTGGGAGAGGCTGTCTTGGGGGCTAGCTGGTGGAGGAGGTAAGAGTAGCTGGAGAGTGAGCTGTGCGTGTGTGTGTGTGTGTGTGCATGTGTGTGTCTGTCTGGCATGCATGCACTCACTTTGGGGCTGGAGGTGACAGTAGGTGAGGGCAGAGGAGGAGATCAGAAAATCCCTCTGACATCTCCACTGCCCCCAAAGACCTCCGTTGAACATTCTGTATGGAAAAGAGCCCTGGAGCATCAGGTTCCCCAGATAGGCCCCCAAATAAAGACCTGTCTATGGCTCTCCCAACCTTCTGTCAGCTTCTTTGGCAAGACATTGCTCCAGGCACAGGGACTGAACCCCAGGCCTCCTGGGACTGGAGCAGCAGTGAGGCAAAACCCGACCTGCTAGCCCTTTCTGCCTTGGAGGTTTCAGTCCATACCTGGACTCTGAGAAAATGAGCTGAATAAGGAGTACAGTGTGTAAGGAGCAGCCAGGGAAGCCCTAGACACTCCCCGCGTCTCCCCCATGCACAGGGGAAGGATGTTGACATAGCACTGGGCTGTTTGAATGCCTTTTCATCTCCATGGTCTCATTTGAAAGTGAGCGAGGCAGGCAGGCATGATCCCATTTTCCAGATAAGGAAACAAGCCTAGATATGCTACATGTCCAGGAACAACTGCAGCCAGGAGGCAGAACAGCCTAGGTCTAACTGCAGAGTAGAAGCTGGACCCTGGAGTTACCAACACTCCTCCCCAACAGTTCTTAGCACCCCGCAGGCTGGGCGCTGTGGCTCACGCCTGTAATCCCAGCACTTTGGGAGGGCAAGGCAGGCGGATTACCTGGGGTCAGGAGTTCATGACCAGCCTGGCCAACATGGTGAAACCCCGTCTCTACTAAAAAAATACGTAAAAATTAGCCAGGCGTGGTGGCACACGCCTGTAAACCCAGCTACTTGGGAGGCTGAGGCAGGAGAATTGCTTGAGCCCGGGAGAGGGAGGTTGCAGTGAGGCGAGATCATGCCACTGCACTCCAGCCTGGCTGACAGAGCAAGACTCCCCTGTCTCAAAAAAAATAAAAAAAAACAGTTCGTAGGGCCCCATACCCCACAACCCCTGTCTCCTGCACTTAACTCCCACCTGGGTCAGAGAACAGCCAATTCACCAGTGAGGTAGAAGTGAACCCAGAAGAAATAGCCACTTGATTTTAAAATTCCCAGCTCCATTCCGTGGCCTTCTCCCCACTAGACACAGCAGTCCCAGGCCTCCTGTTCCCTCCTCACCTAGAGGCAGCCGGGACGGAGGGGGAAGGGCCAGGCAGCAGCTCAGCTCCGGCTTCTCTAAAGCCACTCTGGGCACGTGGCCCAGGAGGGCCACCTAGTGATCCAGGCCCCCCCCCAGGACTGCCCTGGGAAGCCACTGTCCCTCCCACTCCAGTAGGGAACACTCACTGGCTGGGAAAAGACAATGTGGATCTTCTTTTGGGCTGACCAAGCCAGGAGGGCACACCCTCCCACTGCCCCTCTCTGCCTCCCACTGATTGTCCCTCAGCCTGATGGGGTGTGACAGCTGCAATTAGAGGCAGGATTCCTTCCCACCCTCAAAGCATTAATAGCCAGTTGGAGAGGCAAAATAGTAAGAAAAGGCTCTTCTGCTTGCTTCCTGGATCCCTGGGGAGAGTGGAGAGAGGGGCAGAGCTCAAGATGGGATTATGGGGGCGCAGCCGCGGTGGTTAGGGTCACTCTCAAATCCTACCCAGTCAAATGGTAAGATGTTTCATTTTTGGTGGGGGAGCTGCAGGAGGGAGGAAGGCGCTCATGCTTTTTGGGTTTTGTTGAGCACTCACTGTCTGTCAGGTAATGTGCACATCTCTCAAACTTAGAAGGACCCTAGAAGGCATTGTTCTCCAGACACATCTATGGAGGTTATTAGGGGGCGTGTAAACTGCCCCGATTAGGCTGCTAGCAAAGGAAAGGACAGAGATTTGAACAGAGGGTTGGGTTATCTGGCTCCAAAACCCCTGTCCTTTTCTTGCTATTTCTCTACCTGGAGTTTGCCAACTGAGCAAGCCCACTCTGGTGGAGCCAGCCACTGCAAATCCTTTGTGTCTTCCCAGAGAATACCAACATTTCAGTTTTGAGTGAGGGAACGTTGGCTCTGACTGCCTTTGGAGGTGGAGATGGTGGAGGTGGTGGTGGTGGTGGTGGTAGTGGTGGTGTGTGTGTGTGTGTGTGTGTGTGTGTGTGTGTGCCTGCGCGTGCTAAGAAACTGCATGTTAAGATTCCACCTACTGAATCATGAGCGGAGGAAGTCGTGGGACACTGGCTGGTGGAGAAGCCATCTAGCATATTATTCAAGATGACACCAGCTCCAAGTCTGGAATGAGTCTGTGGGAAACCAAGGTACTTCTTGGACATTCACCTATAACTCACGTGTTTCGTGGACTGGTCACAGTGGTTCGGATAAATTGAACAGAACTTTATGAACACCTCCCAGCACCAGGTGTTGTTATAGAAACTAAGAACAGAGCAATGAGAAGGACCCAACTCCTGCTCTCAAATGGATGCAGTGGAAAATAAGCAGACTTTGAACCATTGGTTAGTCAGAAGAGACTTGGGAGACTGAAAACTTGTTTCAACTTGGGCCAGAACAAAAAATTAGGAAGCAACACTTGCTGCCAACATGATTTACAAGTGCCAGCACCTTCACCTCTGTTACTTCCTTCTCACTACACACTGAAAGCAGTTGCTCTTGTTTTACATGGACAGGCTCAGAGAAGTTAAGCAACTTGTCCAAGGTCACACAGTAGTGGAATTGAGATTGAATCAGTTCCAACTGACTTGCAATCTTGTGCTTTTCAGACGATCCCACTAATTGTCCATATCTGTTCCAAAGCCAAATCAAGAGGAACAAGAGCAAAATCTGTCCTCTCATATTATTCATGGTCCTGCGTGGATCATAAATGGCATGCTGACTGTCTGATGGAGACTTACTTTTCCCTTCCCCCTGGACACCTGCCATGGCAATGACAGAGGCTGTATTTTACTGAAGTGGAGGGAAGAGGTGAATGCAAATGCCTAGGGCCTAAGTATACAGGAAGGTGTAGGGAGAGGTAAGCAGTGTGTATGTGGAGGAGATAGCAGACGTAAGCAGAGAGAAATCAGAGAGCTTAGTTCTTCCTCTGGGGCGCACTTTGTGGTTAATTAGGACATGCAAATGAGCTAGAAGCTCATTTAATATCCTCCCTGACATGTAGCCCCACCCCACCCTGCCCCACTTCCCTGGCAGGTACAAGGGCCACCTGATTGGCCCAGGTATCTGTGGAAGGTTCCACCTGCTTCTTTGTGGCCCAGGGAACAGAAAAGAGTCCCTGCTGGGCATGCTAGTGGGGCCGGCCTGGTCTCCCTCCTCCCTTTCTCTTCCCAACCTTTCAGACTTGGGACCTCTCTTTTCCCTCTCCCTCAGACACTTCCCTTGTGCCCCGCCCCTCAGGGTGATCTCTGAACCCAAACTTGCCCCAAAGAAGGTTGCTCTGTCCTCTCCACATCCCCATCTCCTCCCTAGGGCCTTGTTGGGGAGAGGCTCCTCCATCTTTCCCAAGTCACACCATCGTTTCCTACGTGGTCTGGACAAGAGCAAGAGCACACCTTGTCCCCACCTTCTCCAGAGCAGCCAGAACCCACCTCAGGTGCCTTCCCCATCCGGTGCAGTTAAGGCACTTCTGCCAGCACCATGGTATGAGCACTAGACTTGGAGTTAAGATTTGAGAGCCCCCTCTGTCACTGTGGAAGCTTGAGCATGTTGCTTGATCTCTCTGAACCTTGTGTTTCTCATCTGTGAAAGGTGATAATGTGGGGCTGCTGTGAGATTTAAAGGACATAATGCACCTACGGTCCAAGCACTGCCTGGAATACAGCAGAAGCTCAGCAGATACTGGACAACCCATCCCCTTAGTAGAGGCACTAACCATGTGACCCAAGGCAAAAGTGCTTAAGAAAAAGTGCTTTCTCTGAGCGTTGGTCTCTTCTTCTGTCGAAACATTTATATTGATTTAATATCTCACAGGATTGTAGCAAGGGTCAGAGAAGACAATAGGTGACATGTTTTTGTACACTGTATACTAGCCACCCAGATGGGCTGTTATTTGCTAAATGGCAAATTTACACTGTTCCCCAAAGGATGACATGCACTGGGGAGGCGGGGGGTGTGGAGGTGGAGAAAGGCTGAGCTTGGAGAAAAGGTGCTTGAGGACCCCACTGCCTAAGGACCTGCTCTAGGAAACATTCCCACTCCCTACACCCTAGCTGCCCCTCACAGTCAACCCTTAAGGACCTCAAATTCTTGGCAAGGGGTAAAGAGTTGAAAGTGCCAAGTCCTAGTGGTTTTGAGAAGCCTCTGGTCTGCTCTTTCTGCTCTGTAAAGTCTTAGTTGCCAGAGTCCCCTATAGCCCCCACATCGCTCCCTTCCTCCTGCCCTCCGGCCACCCTGGAAACTAATGGCCTAAAGGTGCTGTGGCTGTCCTCCTAAAATCCATTCCCTCCTGATGGGGTGGAGGAATCTGTGAAGCCCACCTTCAGGAGAGGTCTCGGGGCTCGGGCTGGTGCTGCCAGAGAAAGGGTGACTGAACCAGAAAGGCCTAGGGGAAAGCAGCTCAAACTGCAGCCATCCCCTTAGTACGATTACTAGGATGTCCCTTGCCTTCCTTTTGCCTCCTCCACCCAACCCCTAAAATAAACAGTATGATGAAACCTCTCTTCCAGATTCCCTCTGAATTTGACAGAGGACGTACTTCCTGGCTCTCTACCCTTCAGTGAGTCCTGACCTATCACTCTGTCCACCCCCTCCAAGCCCCAGATCTACATACCCCAGTTCCGGAGCACACATGCACATGCACGGGCGCCCCAATGAAGTCGGCCTTGCCAATGTCCCGGAAACAAAGTCCTTGAATTCTTACACTCTTCTCTCCCACTGGAGTCCTCCTCGTCCCCGCCACCACACACACACACACACACACACACACACACACACACACACACACACACACACACACTATCCCCTGAAAATGCCTCTGTGTTCCTGGTCAGAGAGGACACTGAGGAGCAGTGTGTCCCTGAACACAGTTTGGGGCAATACTTATTTGACAAGGGGGCCATGACAATCACCATATGCTTTCCCTTTTCCTTGCATCTTTGAGGAGAAAGAGCAGAATTCTATGCCTGGCTTCAGGCCACGGCTGCGCACAGTCCCCGGCTTCCACTCACAGAACCTATTCACCTATATGCCCCTCTGGGCATGTCCTTCAAGATGACTGGCCCTTTACAGGGACATACCAGAAACACTGCCAAAAACCAGCTCCTGTGAGCTCTACACCCCCACCCAATCTTGTTCCCAACTCGCCTCCACCCACCATGACCTGGCTCTGGGCTGTCTGCCTTGTCCCTTTTTGAGTCTTCTCCACTCTGAATGTGATGATCCCAGTTTCCTTCAACTGGCCAGGGAAGGGTGTCTCAGGAGCCCATCTGAGGCTGCCTGGGGACTGCTGGTTTGCAGGGGAAGCTGTCCTCATCCAAAAGAAGAATCAAGTTTTGTTTTCCTGTGGTTCCCTTGCTCTCCCCCGGCCTCACCTCGAGCTTCCACTTGGGCCCTTTCCCATGCTTCTACTTGAGCCCCGCCTGCCTCACCGTCTGCCTCACCGCCACCTCCTGCTCAGAGTCTGAAGGACAGAGGAGTGAATGCAGGATCTGTCTGCGAGATCCTGTCACTTCATCCTGTCTCCTGTCTTCCCTGGTGTCTAGCCCAGTCCTGCCCAATTAGATCCCACCCAGTTTACCCTCCAAGGTGATGGGTTGAGTGTGCCAAGCTTGGGTTCTTTCCATGCCACTAGGTCTTTGCATATGCTGTTTCCTGAGGAATCTAGTTCCCCCACTGCCAGTACTTGTTATGTAAGTTACTTCTGTGCATGTTTATCTTCCTCTCTACATTGTTGCACCTCCTGGGTGGCAAATACTCCTTACTCATTTCCGTACCTCTAGTACTGAGCACTGGGTTCCCGGGTGACCTCCACTCCTCAAAGTGAGCCCTGGGCTGAGCCCATCTCCTGCTTCAGGGAAGACCAGCAGTCAAGGCCTCCTTAGCTGCCTCCTAAAGCCCATTTTTCACTCTTGTCCTCAGCCCGTTCTCCAGAAGAGGGGGAGCTGTGGCCAGAGTCACTTTCAAGAGAGCAGGAAAACTCTCTGTCCCCAGCACCCTCTCCAAGCTGTTGGGCAGTCTCCTTTGTCCCTGGCCTGGTGCTCTGGCTTCTCCACCCTAGCCTCCCAGGCCAATTCTATTTTAATGTAGGCCGTCTGGTGAGCCTTAGTCCTCACCCCTCCCACTTGGCTCCCTGTCCCCATTGTCATGCTCTTATTGGCTATCCAGAACCCAGGCCCTTCAGATGATCACAGGCAATTCCCACGTCTACTCAATCCCAAGTGGGTCCCAATTTCCATTCCAGAGGAAGTCACCTTTACCCTATCCTCCACGTTTTTCCCTTTCTTCCTCGATCCCTTTCCACTCGTCTTCCTGGCTGGGTTCATCTCCTTGTCCTCTTTGGCAACAACATCTGGTCCCAGTTTTACCCTACCCAAAGATTTTTTCTAATTTGCTATGCTGGTGGCCCCACTAGGGACATTGAGTCTGCTACATTCTCCTCCCATCATTGTGATTATGGAGGGAGGGGCAGGGCAGGGCAGTGGGAAAGGAAGTTGAGAGTTGGGTGTTCAGCGCCTTCCCTGCCTCCGGCTCCACTACTGGCCACACTCCAGGCATTGTCTCCCTACCAGGGATTGAGCTGCCAGTAAGGCAGCAGCAGTATAGTCATTTGTGTAGAAGAGGTAGGAAAGGGGGGGGGTGGGGGATGGGCAGATAGGCATTAAAAAAGAAGCAAATGGAGTAACTGAACTGAAATCCCTGCATAGCCTCAGCTCCCTGAGCAGAGGTGCCAAAGTTAGTATCATCACACAGATCACCTCCATGTCCTGGCCCAGGGCCTCCCCTTGCACTCCCACACCACGCAACTGGCTTAGGGAGCTGAGTTATCCTAGTAAGCAATGGGCCAGATTGACTTAAGCAGGTGTTAGAATCCCTGCTCTGACGTTCCAAGCATCTGTTAAGTCAATTCATATTCCAGAAAATAAAATTCATATCCCAGTTAGACTTTATGTCAGTGATTTCAAGGGCCCAAATAATTCCAAAGCTTCTGACCTGGGCTTCAGGACCCTGCTGGGAGTATAAGGATCAAACATCTCTTTCTCCATGCACATGTATCCCCTCTCCAAGGAAGACAGGCAGGTCCCAGTGCCTAGTCTCACTATTCCAAATCCTACTTTCCAAACTGAGGAGGCTGCATGCTTAGAGTTCCCTTGATCCTGGTGGCTGCGTTGAACTCCCCAACCTGTGCAACTGGAGACATTAGTGATGCTAAGGGCAAGGATGACAGCGGCTAGAGAAGTGTGGCCCGTGCCCTTCGTCTCACCCACAAGAGGTCTGATGATGGGACCCTGGTGGGAACATTGGCGGCTAACAGATGGGGGTGGATAAGGAACAGTCCCCACTAAGCCTTCTCAATATGATATGGTAGATCACTAGGATGGGACAGAGGGGCTGCTGTCTCATGCTGTTCATGAAGTAGGAGTAGAGAGGAAAACTGGGAGGATACCAACAGTCTGCCTGCCAGGTAGGAGCTACGTCCTCTGCTAAAGAGTCTGAGAAGAGCAGAATCATGGCAAGTGAAGCACAGGAATACAGGGCGAGAAAAAGAGATTATTCTCTTCTTTAACATCTTTGAGGGCCAAACAATGAATGCTGGTTCCCTTCTAAATGGAACATTTGTCTGGGAGTCATGGCCTTAGAGGTTATCTTCATTAAAGAAAGGGGGGAAAGGAAGTGAGAAATGAAGAGAGGACCATCAGAATTCATAAGAGAGTAACCCTTACAACTGTGATTTTCATGCTACTCAGGTCTGAAATTTCTCCATCCCTGTCCTCACCAAGTCTCACTGAGGTGGTTCCTATGCCCTAGATATTTAATTCAACCTACTAGATAGTTAACTTCTTGTTTCAAGGCCAGCCATGACATGGCCCCAATGTATTCTTCCAGCCTATTCCTTCCACATTTCCCAACACTAAATGGAACTAGATAACTTCTTGTTCATTTCCGTTTTCTGCACTTGCTTTTTCCGGAAATCTGTCTATAATATTCTTCCTTACTCTCACCTGTTGAAAATCCCACCTTTTTTTTTTTTTTTTTGAGACAGAGTCTTAAACTATTGCCCGGGCTGGAGTGCAATGGCATAATCTTAGCTCACTGCAACCTCCGCCTCCCGGGTTCAGGCGATTCTCTCCTGCCTCAGCCTCCCGAGTAGCTGGGATTACAGGCGCCCGCCACCACGCCTGGCTTATTTTGTATTTTTTAGTAGAGACGGGGTTTCACTATGTTGGCCAGGCTGGTCTTGAACTCCTGACCCTGTGATCCACCCACCTCAGCCTCCCAAAGTGCTGGGATTATAGGAGTGAACCACCGTGCCCAGCCAATCCCACCCTTTCTTAAAGGCCTACTTCAAACGCCCCTCTGAGGAACTTCAAATCTCCCAGAATGGAAAGCATCTGTCCCGTCTCATACTACTTTCCTTCTTTGAGACCTTCTCTATACCTATATACCATTTTCCCTCCTGCAACTATGCCCACCTACACTCCTGAGTCAGCTTCTTTACTTTTATACTAGACTCCACCCATTTAGCTTACTGTTTTCCTTCTCAGTGGGTCATCCCCCTTAGCTCAGAAACATGCACTGTTTCACCCATCTTAATAGGGTAATGCATGCTTGATGTCTCCAATGTTTTTCTTCGCATTTTTTCCTGTGTCTACTCCAGACAATGTCCCCAAACATTCCACAGTCCATCAAAGTCACCAGTGCCCTCCATGTTTTTCTCTAATTCCTCTCCATCTCTCAACCTCTTGATAGAATTCCTCAGGAACCTCTTTTCTATCTACACTCAACCCTACTGATCCTCCATAGTTTCATGTTTTAAAATACTGAATGTCCTCTCCAGACTGCTTCTGCTGAATTCGACTCGTATCCAACTGCCTACTATAAATCTCTAGAATGTGACACACTTCTTACACATAGTAGGTTCAAAATGGAACTCCTGCCCATTCCTCATTCTCCTTCCAATCTGCTCCTGTCATAATCTTGATTATTGGCCCAAATCTTGGATTCTTCCTTGTTCCCTCTCTATTATACTCTTATGTGTCAGTAAATCCTGTTGGCTCCACTTGCAAAATACACCTAGAATATAGCCACTCCACTGCTACCACTATGGTCCAAATCACTGTCCCTCACATGATTCCGTGTTCTAAGTGGTATCAGCCTTCATGTTTGTCCTCATACGGGCTATTCTCAGCTCAACGGAGCACTCCTGATGGCATATTATGGTTGAGGAGTCTGATCACATTATACCCTCTGCTGAAATCCTTTCCGTGGACTCAACACAGAGTAAATGCTGTGGGAAATTTCCCCCTACTCAATCCCATTACCTCTCTTTTACTACTCTTCTCCCACTTGCTCACTCTGCTCCACCCATACTGACCTCCTTGCCAGTCTTCAACACACCAGGCACATGTCCACCTCATGGCATTGGCACAGACCCTTTCCCCAAGGAATGGAAAATCCTCCTTTCCCCCAGGCAGTTGCATGGGCTGCTCACTTTGAACACTTACTCGAGTATCAACTTCAATGAGATATTAACCCACTACCACCACCTCTGCCCAGTACTCTTGCCCCTTTACACGGCTTAATTCTTCTTCAAAGCACTCATCATTACACAAGTTATCTTTTACCATTTTCTAAAGATAAAAACTCCACGAGGAAAGGGATCTGAGTCTGTACTGTTCACTGTTGTTTCCGCGGCATGCAGATCAGCACTTGCCATACAGTAGAAGTGCAATGAATATTTGTTGGTAGGCCCCTAAGGATCATGTCCTGTTCTGATTTGCATGTCCTACAACATTCAGCACAAAAATTTGAACATGGTAAGCTTTAAAAAAATTCATTGAAAACAACAGCTCAAAATAAGAGTCACACCACTGTTTAAAATGGGAAGGTTTATTAAGGTTTTTCCTCAAGAGGAACAGCCAATCTCTTGCTTCTTGAGAGAAGCAATTAGTGGGAAATGTATGTCACACCTTGGGCCCAGAACCACAGGAGGCCGCTTCTCAGCATGCCCAACGAACATACATCATCCCCAATTCCCATTTAAAGCTCATTAATGTCTACAAAACAGAATCCACGTTGCCTTCCCAGAAAACAGAACTAGGAACCCAGTCAAAGCCTCCAGCTGTTCTCAACAAGAATATTTAAGCAAGACAGGGCAATAAATGGACTGCACATTCAACAAACCCATGATGAAACTGCAGTAAAATCCAGGATCAAAGAAATGTCTGGACTACATTTTCAAGAATAACTTACAGTTTTTACATTTTGGGGAACATAAATACTAAAAGCTGGGTAGTTAGACCGCCTCAAAGCTCACATTTATTTCCCTCTCGGCAAGATGAGCTCTTTCCAGACCCTGGACAAGAATCCAAACCACTCTGCCCTTTTAAGCCTGGAGCTGATTCAAGAGGGGATATTTTAACACATATTTAGCACCTTAAATAAGTACAAAATCCAAATTCTTAAAAAGGTTATTTTACAAATTATTTTCCTCCTCCAAATACCTGACAATTTCTTCACACTTTGGTTTCAACACACATACAATTTATAAGAGTATATTTTATGTTTTCTAGCATTCTGCTGTGATTGCTTGCAAAGGAAAATACCAAGGTATTCCTTATTTCTCTTTCTGTCCCTCAGTGCCTAAGACAAAACTGAGGCACATAAACTGACAAATACATGTGTATCTACAAGGGTAATGGGGCAAAATATTTTAAACTGGCCATGTCCAGGAAATGTAGAATGTCTTATTACTATTCTTCTATGGAGAAAAATGTTCCAAGCCTGTTTTAATAAAGTTGGTAATAAAGATCATTATTTTCTATAAGTATTAACTTTTCCAAGTACATTATAACCTCAAAGAAGAAGAATATTTCAGTGAGGAGTAAATGGTGGCCATTTATGATGGCAAATCAAGGTGCCAAACACAGATTAGTTCAGAGTTGTAGGGAGAAGAGAGTAACACACCAACATCCATATTTTGCCAAAAGTTCTTAAGATAATTACCCATGCAGCTGCAGTTCAGAAAACTAGGGTGTTATTCATATCTTTGATGAACTGTAGTATCTTCCCTGCCCAATTAGATTGTAAACTCTTGAGAGAATGTCTCTATGCCTTTTTGTGAACCACACAGTGTTTATGTACTAGGACTTAAATAGTTACTTCAATGCTTATGAAAGTATTAACCGGGCCAGGCGCGGTGGCTCACGCCTGTAATCCCAGCACTTTGGGAGGCTGAGGGGGGGGCGGATCACGAAGTCAGGAGTTCAAGACCAGCCTCGCCAACATGATGAAACCCCGTCTCTACTAAAAATACAAAAATTAGCTGGGCGTGGTGGCGGGTGCCTGTAATCCCAGCTACTTGGAAGACTGAGGCACAACTGTTTGAACCCGGGAGGCAGAGGTTGCAGTGAGCGGAGACTGAGCCATTGCACTCTAGCCTGGGCGACAGGGCGAGACTCCATCTCAAAAAAAAAAAAAGTATTAACCGATGTTGAAGCTCCCCCTGGTGGAGGGTAAGATTACAGCTGGATTGTGTATTTACTGTTAATTTCTAAAAGTAGACTGTTCAGGGATACCACCAAGCCATTAGAGCAAACTATGAACTATGGCATGAAGCCTCCTTAAATTCTGTGTCACTCATATAACCAAACCAAAGTCATTATACTTTAAATAGCCACACATACTAATATGAAATCAGTTTCTAGATATTTATCATTTGACATTCACACAATATCCTAGAAACTCTTGATTTTTCAGCTATAAAAATACATTTATTTTCAGGTACCCTTCCCTTTGGAACCAAGACTAAGGAGTTCACATTAGGACAATATAAAAACACACCTATCTCACTTTCTAACAGGATACTTTTCATCCTGCTCAGCAACCACAGATTTCCTTGCACATCTGACTTCAGCTGGTCCTGCTCTGCATATCACTGTGTGCCAGAAAGGCGTTTTTCTTGACAGTTCCACCTTTAACCCAAGTGGACTGTATAAGATGTGACAAAGGAATCTAATAACTATCATCTTTCTCCACCACATTCTAAAATAGAATAGACTGAGTTTATGCTACTAGTCAAGCAGACTGAGACTTGGAGTCTTATTAAATGACTTCTATTTAATCTGTTAAATAACTACACAATAGATGTGACAAGGTAGTATTTAGAAAGTTTTACTGGTTGATGAGATGTCTGTCTATGATCTTAAGTTTAAAGGTATGTTTGAGGGGTGTTTTAAAGCAGAATGACTTTAGAGGACCTTAAAATAAAAGATGCCACCCTGACCTGACAACTGGCCCTAATACTTCATTCAAGTTCGCTATAGTTTTGGCCCCTCAATCCCAGACATATGCATAATTGGATAAGTAGAAGGGAAGTGTAAGGTAACTAAGTTTATTCGAAACTAAAACAAAAACACAAACAAAAAAAATTTCCATTTTTTTAAAAACAATACTTTAACATTTTCTCAGGTTGGTCAAAGCTTAACATTTGAAACCTGATTTTAAAATTTCAGTTTAGTAAGTGACAGGCTGACCACATGCCTGGAAAATCTCAGCAAGGCATGAACACTTCTTCATACCTAGTTGCAAAGAGACAGTATCTAGAGATCCCTGAGCAATGACTTAGACTTTCTAGGACTGGTCTGTCTCCTCCTTAATATTTGAGGACAAGGCACAGGGTTTTCTAAGCTTGTTTCTTTCCTTTTCCAGAACTTAATTGGCTAACAAGCTTTTTGTTCTACCTCTCTTTATAGAGACTACATAAGTAGTATCACCCTGGGTCCATGTCTTACTTAAGCCCTATCTTTTGTAAAGAGGAAAATAACTGGGAAGGAAAAGAAAAAGCACCACTATATAGGAAGCTACAATTTTAACTTAGCAATCTCTTCCATATTACTACTACCATACTATTTCATAAGTAGTTTAAGCAAAAGTAACACATTCCTTTTATGTGTTTTAACTTTCTCTCACTTCTCTCAAATTCTTCAATCTATTATAAAGCAAGTTTGAAATTTTTCACATAACACTTCATTGGTGGACTCACACCCAACAAATTAACAATGCAAAAGGATTCCCTTGATGAAATTACAAGCTGTGGAAGATCTGAAATAGTAAAAGTTAAACCCTGATACAGTATTAAACTTATCTTTTTACATATAAAAATAATATACAGTGGGATATTCAATAAGATACAATCTTTAAGATCAAGAGAGAATATACAAAACTATTCTATGTTGTCTGATGTATTTTACTGTATAGTAGGAATAAATATATTTAGAACAGAAAGTGCGAGGTCTGTTCCTAGAGAAATCACCAGTTACTTAGTATAGTTTAAAGCCAGTGTTCTGCAGATACTAGGCAGAAAGGAGCTACTGTCGCATTTAAAACAATGTGGTCATTATAAAATAAACGCTTTAATCTATAAACAATAACAAAAACACACAAACCAAATGAAAATGTACTAAAATTTAATCATCCATAAAAGCTGTAATTTAATCTGACAGTAAAACACAAGAAGCAATATTAGAGTTGGTTTAGTATATTATATATTTTAGCTTTGAAAGCCATAGAAATCAGTTATCCCAGTTTTTTTCCTATAAAAGACCCATTTTTCCAAAGCATTATGCACAATTTTAATTAGAATATAATGACAGATGATATTCCATAATTTTTTAAATATAAAATGAAGTCAATGACTCAAAAAAGTTATCTGCTGCAATGAGTTTGAGGGGACATTTCATAATCAGTATCATTACAGATATAAAGTATAATGGTTCAACTTTTTAGTGCTTGATAGGGAGGATCATGATAAAAAGATCAATATGAAATCATTTGATTATAGTAGCAATATCTAACATTTGAAATGCATCCATGCTCTTTTGTATAATCATATTAGAGTCAAGTATATTTTCACATCTGTTATAACTGCTATTGCAAAGGAGAAATACTATTGTCTTATTTTCCAAGAGATATACACAGAGCAATTTTTTTCTCCAGGGAACTTGTGCAAACCAATATAAGATCTAAATTCTTCACATAATATATAAAACAGGAGAAGCCTCTTCAGATTTTTTATTTTTGAAGTCTGGAATGCTGGCACTTTCCAATTAGGCAACAGTTCTTCATTCCTGTAATCTAAGACATTGGATACAGATATACATATATGTATGGTTAATCTCTTGATGTCAGAAAATGGTACTAAACAAGCAGGTATTCAATAAAATAAAAAAATAATGATTTTAGCTGATCATAACTTGAGAACTAAATTATGCTAAACAGCTACAGTAACAGTGCTATTTTAAATTCCCTTTAAAAATGTTTTAAAAAATCAAAAATAGAAGTTTACAAGAGGAGTCTATAACTGATCAACTTGAATTATCCTCAGTTATACTTAGTTATACTCAATTATAGTGTTTCCCATTACATCTGACAATCCTGTCTGTACAAAGGAAGACAATGATATTTTTATTCTATCTCATTACCATCTTATTTTTACTTTCCTTTTTTACTGAAGGACACACCTGCCTCCATAAACTTTCCATAAGATATTCTTTATTCAAGCATTTTATGATTATATATTAGAATTACCATTTCTAATACAGGTTAAGGCAAGGGATGATACAGAAAGAGCTAATCCCCATAGTCAAGAGCAGAAGAATCAAAGTTAGTCTTATTGTCAACAGACAAGAATCAGGTAAAATAATCCACATGATGAATTTCTCTCAGATGTCTTTAAAACTGGGACATATAAAAAGGAGATTAACATGATTCAATACAATTTTGCCTAAAGGCTATGGACTAGATAAGGTGGCCTCAGAGTTCATGTACTCTTACTAAAAACGTTTATAATTTCTATTTAAATCTATCCTGTATCTCAGTACTTTTAAAAGTACAGGAACAACATGGCACTTCAAATCTACAATCACACTAAAATGTATGCAAAGCAGTCTGATTGCTAAGTCACCTATTATTTGGTATTATCAAACATCCACAGAGATCTTGGATGACTTATTAAGTAAACTTTATCACACATCAGAGTCTAAGAATTTATGCAAGCAAGACTAAAGTCTTATTCCAGATCTAGGTCAAGATTTATCTTCTCTAAGGTAAAACTCACAAGGGACTGTCACATTGTTGGGTGTGTATAAATGAATTTTAAAAATCGTAATAGGCCAGGAGATGGCACCTTTTCCTTTAACATAAGCTAAAAGGATATTTTGTGAGAACTGGAAATTAAATTAGGGCCAGCCATGGTAATGAGCTGTCAATAAGCCAGTCAACTATAACAGAGTTAAATAATATAGTATTTAAGAACTGGAACTGGAGTCTTCATTTTCTCTATCTTTGCACCTTTACCTAAACAAATACATACACCAGTAATCTTAATAATCACTTTCAGGGAACTGATGATTTAAAGTTATAGAATCAAGGCCAGGCGCGGTGGCTCACGCCTGTAATCCCAGCACTTTGGGAGGTCGAGGCAGGTGGATCGGATCACCTGAGGTCAGGAGTTTGAGACCAGCCAGGCCAATGTGATGAAACCTTGTCTCTACTAAAAATACAAAAATTAGCCAGGCATGGTGGTGCACACCTGAAGTCCCAGCTACTCAGGAGGTTGAGGCAGGAGAATAGCTTGAACCCAGGGAGGCAGAGGTTGCAGTGAGCAGAGTGTGCCACTGTACTCCAGCCTGGGTGACAAGGCGAGACTCCGTCTCAAAAAAAAGAAAAAAAGTTATTGAATTAAGATTTCATTAAAAGCCTAAAGCAAACATTAGCCAGATGCTGTCTTTCCTAAATCTGACTACCAGAGATAATCCCTAGGCCCTTTTCTCCTTTCTGCCCATTTTTCCTCTATGTACCTTCATTTAAAAAAGGAACTACAATTACTCAGGTGTTTCCCTTAATAGAGAGATTCATATCTCTAAGGAAGCACACAGTAGTTAATTGGGAGCTCTTAAGGGATAATCTACTAAATAGACCAAGAGACTTACAAGAGTTAGTGTAACCAACTTTCCAGTGGGACCAGTTTACTCCAACTGGAGACCAAGTTTAGTAATAATCATGTAATAAGCACCAAATTATGTAATAAATCCACTCCATGAAAATAATCTTTTATGGTATTATTTATAGAACTGATTAAGTAGAAACCTTCAGGGGATTTAAATACAATACAAATTAAAGAAAAAAGTCCCCATAGATCCTGGTTTCTCACTTGAGAGTCAGCTTAAATGCTGTCATAAATTTCTTTCCAATGGGGTCACTTAGTGGAAACTAAAATGGTAAAGTCAACTAATACTTAGAAGCCCAAATAGAAAACCTTTATTTGAAAGAAGTTGACTCATACCAGAGAGGGAAATAACTACCAAAATTACACTGATACACCACCACACATCTCCTGGAATGGGTCAAGTTAAGAAGACTGACAATATCAATTTTGGGGAGAATGTAGAACTCAAAAACCGTTGCAGGGTGTGTAAACTGGTACAGCCACTTTGAAAAACTTTTTAGCAGTATCTACTAAAGCTGTCCATATGTATAGTATATGATCTGGCCATTCCATTCTTAGATATATACCCAACAGAAATGCATGTACATGTGCACAAAGACATATAGGAATGTGCACAGAATTATTCATACTAATTCCCCCAAAGAAAGAACTTAAATGAACACCAACAGAAGAATACATAAACATACTGCCAGTACTGTCATGCAATAAAAATGAACTACTGATACATTTAACATAAATAATTCTCAAAAACATATTTTGGAGTGCAAGAAGCCAGACACAGGAAATACACTACGTTTTTGTTTATGTAAAGTTCAAAGAGAGGCAAAACTAATCCATGGAGTTAGAAATCAGGGCAGAGTTTTAATTTAATTTGGGGAAGGGTGACTCTTGTTGTTATATACGGGTATGTCACTTTGGGATAATTCACCAAATGTGCACTTAAACTTTTTCAGAGCAACTACTGTTTCACTTCAATTAAGAATGAATTTGGGAGTCATCTAGGAAGGCGTTCTATTCATTCAACTACTATTTTTTAAAACCCAACTCTGTATCAAGCACTGGGGACACAGTGGCAAGAAAAAACAGAAATGGTCCCTGCTGTCAGAGAGCTTAGAATCTCAAGGGGAGAGGGCAAGTTATCCAACAGATGACGTACCTACAAGTTATATATCACATTTACAAGTTACAGAAGCTTAGAAATACCATAACAGATGAAATGGGAAGTAGCTAAAGTCTGGAAAAAGCCAAAATAGGAGCATGAGAAAGGCACTTGTTCTGCTTTTAGCATCTTACCTGGCTCAGAGCTGCTGCTGACTATGGGCCTAGAGCAGCAGACATGATTTCTTTTTAGGCTTCTTCTTTTCCACTGGTGTTTTCCTATTTATCTGTCTGACCAGGTCATAAAATATCTAAGTAAAAACAAGAAAAAAAGTACTTACTCCACCAGTTTTTGAGACTTTGTTCCACAAAACAATTCTGGTAAGTACTATTCTGGTCTTAGATCTGCATTCTGCTTCTTTCTTTTAAAGTCAGGTTTGTTAGAAGGCTCTGCTGACTTTCAATCAGGGTAGAAAGCAGGACTTACCTATTTATAATGAAGGAAATGCCCTTGCTCCTAGATATTCGACATCAAATCAAGAAAAAGAACTGGTAGTGAAAAATAGTGAAAACTCCAAACCAACGGAAAAGTTGCAAAAATAGTACCAACAACTTCGGTTCTATTCTTCCCAGATTCACCAATTAGTAACATTTTGCCACTTTTACTACACATACATACACACACACGTGCACACACACACACTTTCTGAATCATCTGAGAGTAGACCTTAACTATTAAGTCCTTTAACAGTTAAGTTGTTCCTAAGAACAAGGATATTCTCTTACATAAACACGTTATAGTTATTGCACTTGAGACATTTAAGGATTGACACATTATTTTGTATAACTACAGAGCAAATTCCAATTTTGTCAACTGCCCCAATAATGTACTTTATAGTAACTTTCCCCTCCAAGGACAGGATCCATTCAGGATCACACATTGCAGTTTATTTCCTCTCACTTTAGTTTTTAAAAATCTGGAACAGTTCTTTGGCCTTTGCCTTTCAGGACATTGTCATTTCTGAAAAATAAAGGCTAGTAACTTCCCTTGATTTGGGTTTATCTGAGGTTTTCTCGTGATTAGATTCAGGTTATATACATTTTTGTCTAAAATAGGACAAAAGAGATACTGTCTCCCTTTCAAGGTATCACATGCGGAGGCGCATGATTTTTGTTTGCCTTTTTTTGATGTTAATTTTGGTTAAACGTAAAAAGTAGAAAAAGTCTGCTAATCCTTGATTTGAAATAACAAATATTTGTGGTTTTTAGTTTGTTTGTTTTGTTTTGAGACAGAGTCTTGCTCTGTCACGCAGGCTGGAGTGCAGTGGTGCAATCAGCTCACTGCAACTTCCACTTCCCAGGCTCAAGTGATCCTTCCATCTCAGCCTCCCGAACGGCTGGGAGCTACAGCGTGCACCACGACACCCAGCTAATTTTTGTATTTTTCGTACAGACAAGGGTTTTGCAATGTTGTCCAGGCTGGTCTCAAACATCTGAGGTCAAGTGATCTGGCTGCCTCAGCCTCCCAAAGTGCTAAGATTTTAGGTGTGAGCCACTGTGCCCAGCCCAAATAATGTTTGTTAATACATCTTGTGGATTCATTTTTGGATGAAAAGTGCAAAGTATCAAAGACAAAAATACAATGCTACTTATCTCATAAAAGCAGACTATTTTAATTCTGATGCCAAAGTATTAAAACATGAAACAGATAAGCTTTGCTATGAAATACAACACTTACTAATGATTTGGAATAAAAACAAATATCACAGAAGTCCCTTATTGATACTAATCTGGAATAAATAATTCTTTGCAGTATATTAAAAAATGGACTGGCTTTAAGGAGCATTACAGGGACAACTGGTAAAATCTGAATATATACCAAACACAGACTGTGTCATCAATTTTTAGGATTCTAATCATTGTGCTGTGGTTGTGTAAGACAATGTCTTTGATCTGAGGATACATACACTAAAATATTTAGGGGTAAAGAAGTGTAATTTCTGTAAACAAGTGGCAAAATTTTAATAATGGGTGAATCTGATGAAGGGTAAACAAATTCTTCTTTATTGTTCTTACATCATTTGAGTACATTTTAAGAGTAAAATATTTTTAAATTATCGGTCTACATGTATTTTAAGATAGATGGCAAATAATTGTATTTCTTTAAAATGATAATTACCTATTTCCTTTTTTAAATGGTCCAGACTACAAGACTAAATTAACCGTTAAAAAAAAACCTGAATGATTTATCCAAAAGCTACAAAAGTGACTCATTTAAATTCTTTTCTTTCTGCTCCATTCTTCCCACTCCCATCCTCTTCAAATCATTTAACTCTCTGTCATCTTATTTCTAAAGAAAGTCTGAAAACAGAATTTATAAACAAAATTGTAGTTTCTGTTTTACAACTCCGAAGTCCAAGTTGTTTCAAAACTCTGAAAACTTCAAGAACTCAATGTGCTTAAGCCACAAATGAGTTTTCATTAGTTCCCTATACTCAATGCATAAGCTATAAGATAAAAAAATAATAAAAGTAAACTAAAACAGTAAGTTAATAAAAATTACAAGTAGTTTCTATTTCAGTTTCTTCATACTAGCCAGTTTCTGGTTTCTGGTACTATATAGAAAGGTAACTAATGCTTGTAGTATTATTCTAAATTATTTCTTTGGAAAACATTGCCTACCTCACAGCAGCAGATGGTTCAGTGATGAGGGCAAGTTCGAACTATAATATTTGGTTAGAAATGCTGAAAGGCCCCAGCCTAGGTTCTTCCTCATCTCTCTGAACTATAGAAAAATCTAAAGGGAACACAGAATAGAGTTTCTCAATCCCTCTCCCATTCCTAAATTGGGTTGTCTTGATTCCAATTACTATTCCAGCCTCAGCAAAGAACAATTAATTCTTGATTAAGACTACTGTGATTCTGGCATAGCCATATACTACTTTAAGAACGTTGCAAAGTGGTGTGAATAAGAGTTTTTGAAAAATTATATATATATATATATGAATGAATTAGGGGGCTCTTTAGCCAAGCAGTATGTCCTGGTGTCTGTTTTCAAATTTAAGGCCAAGAGGTGAATTTTTGAAAGTATCTCTCTATACTTCAGGCATTCAAAACTCACAAAAAAATTTACAAGGCAAAAGTTGTGTGAGGAACTATTAACTACCAAAGAAATCCTGTAGCTGGATTATTGGGTTATAAAGAGAAAAATATTAAAAGAAACTCAAATTATCTGCTCCATTCTCCCCACTCTCAAGAACTGAGCATAAAGTTTGTATGTTTTCCAAAAAGTAAAGATTCTTGAGATGGCTAATGCATTTCATTTTATGGTTTTTCTATGTTTGTTTTTATAAACCCTCGTTTATAAACTCTCTGCTTTAACAAGACTGCTATGAAAAAGTATCTCTGCTGCATTGGAAACTAATCCAGAGGAAGTTTAATAGCATGTAGGTTCTCACAAACATGTAGTGTACTGTCCTCTGGCTCCCAAAGGGAGAAGTCCTATGCACTGGACTCAGGCCCAACCCAGCCCCACCGGAGCCTGGAGTCTGATGAACTTGGTTGGTGGGTCCCATGGAGGTAAGGACAAGGACAGCAAGGAACCACATCCCGTAAGGCCAATTATCTTGTAGATAGTGACCTCATGTCACTGTTCTGCTAGCCAAACATATTCACAATTTCTAACAAATTCTTTATCAAAATCACTTTTTTTCTTTAATTATTGCTGAAAGACTTGTTCCCCCAGTAGGATGCAAACTTCTTCAGGGCAGGAATAGTGTCTGTCTGAGTGACTGTTACCTGAGGGCCTGACACAGTGCCAGACACACAATAGTCAATAAATATTTGCTGAATAAATACAATTTATAAATTTCTTGTTTTTATGTACTTGTTAAAAATGGTTTCACATAAAAAAACAAGCTTTGGCATTCTTGATTATCTGTAAAATACAGAAGTTGAAGCAAGCTTAATTTTTTTTTACCTGCCAGGTGTTTAAAGTAACCTGGTCATTTTTAAAAGTCAAATAGTCTATAAGCATAATATTAGTCAAGAAAAAGTGGCCAGCAGAACCACAGGCCAGAGAGAATAGCAAAAACAGAGGACTCATAACTTAACCCACTCTCACTCTCACCTATGTAGTTAAGTGATCTGAATTCTGACTGATTACCTGTAATGCTACAAATGGCAAAAGCAACGGCAGGAAAGAAGCCCACTCTGTTGTTTTTATTTTTTTAAAAGGCTTATGTTAAGGTTAACAAAAGCAAGGGAACTATTTAAGGTTGACTGGTGGGGACAGTTGGAAATTGCTCTAAATTTTTAGGGGCCCAGTAAACTAGTAAACTGTTGGCCCTTTACACCCAGGCATGCAGCTTATTTGCTAAGTATTCTTGTCCACAGCTGTTTTCAAGATAGTGGAGTGCTTAACCCAGTGACCCCACCCCCATGCCCCACACAAAAGCCTTGTGCATCAGCTGTATCAGGCCTAAAGGACTGAGTGAATTCCAGGTACATGTCCATACCCACACAGATTACCCACTTATGAGTCATGCACCAAAGGTGAGGTAAGACTCAGAACACAATTCTGTGATATCCATAAAAACATATTATTTTCCAACTTGACTTTACAACCTATTTATATACATTTGGGTAAATAATTATTACAATATAAGGTGATGTAACAATTTTTACACACCACTTTATCGCATATCACTTAGAGGCTTAGCAGGATTTTACACACATTCTTCAATTTTAGCTTCCTCTTTTACAATAAGGTAAATTTAAGTATCCTCATACAGCCATCAAAGTGACCTTATGCAAGCTAAAAAATATAGTTTCCAGGAATTACTTAGTGTTTCCTATAAAATTATGGAATCAAGATTGCTTAAAAGATAAAAATTTTTTCTTAAAAGTCTGGCTGTTAACTTAAAGCAAACTAAAAAGGCACTTGTTTGTGCTGCCCAGCAGTTGTAGGTTACCTCATTAACATTGATCTTTGACTTTGCAGAAGATTCTAAAAAGGCACAGTTACACCACTGTCTTGCTAAATTCTGGCCCTGCTCTTTGCCAACTACTCGCTCATCTTCCAGGTCACATTTATTGCCAACCAAAATCATTGGAACCTGTGGGAAGAAAAAAACGTAAAATGAACAATAACATACTCATTACTTAGCCTTTTAAAAAAATAAATAAGCAATTATCTGCCACCAACTGAAATGCATTAGTTGGGACCGCAAGCTTCATCAAATACTAACGAAAAGTATATGTTGAGGGGAAGAGGCGAAGGAAGAAGGAAGAGACAAAAAAAAAAAAAAAATGGAAGAGATCCTACTACATAGATATGCCAAATTATTTTAAGAATATAATCCTGGCCAGGCACAATGGTTCATGCCTGTAATCCCAGGGAGGCTGAGGTAGGAGGACTGCTTGAGCTCAGGAGCCTGAGACAAGCCTGGGTAACATAGTGAGACCTGGTCTCTACTAAAAAATTCAAAAACAATCAGCCAGGCAGGGTGGCACACACCTGTAGTCCCAACTACTCAGGGGGTTGAGGTGGGAAGATCACTTGAGCCCGGGAGGTAGACTGTGATGTGTGAATTATACCAATGGAATTTTAGAAATAAAAACACACCACTATGGATCTTAATAATGTTCTTTGAACACTGTTTCTGACACAACCATCACCTTTCAAAGCTCAACTCAGGTCCCACTTCTATGAAGTATTCTTTGGCTCCTCTTTTTCCTCTACTGCACTTTTTAACCTATAGCACAATGAGTACTTTATCACATATGTCCTCATTTTCTAAACATCTCACCACATAATTTTGAGGTTAATTTTGAAAGTTAAATTTTTTTCTTTTGGTCACAGGGGCTCTTTCAGGCATGTGGTAGATAGCTTCCAAATCCTCTACTAATAGAGAAAACAGGCACTTTTTTATTTGGCCACAGAGAGATGGCATAACATCTTACAGAGAGAAAAAATACTTACATCTTCCGTGTCCTTAACCCGTAAAATCTGTTCCCTCAGGTCCTGTAAGTCGTTAAACGTGGACTGAGCTGTAATAGAATATACTAGTGCAAAACCTTGGCCGTTCTTCATATACAAATCCCTCATTGCTGTAAATTGCTCCTATGATTTAAAAAATATGCAATTATAAATATATAAATTTCTTGAATGTATACTGCAACAATTTAAAACAGCATAATTACAAGTGAGTAACATTTTTTATTACTTGCTATCCTGACAGAAAACAAGACATAACACAAGTTTCTAGCAACTGAGGTGACTAGAAACAATGACAGTAAACTAGAATTAAAAAGGAATTCTTAACCACTTTAATTTGCTTTTGTGTGATTTAGAGCTGTATATAATTTTTTAGAAACAGATCTTTTGATCCTAAATAATTTTATTTGCAAATTTATGACACAACTACTGCCCAAGTGCTAACAATCTGAGGTATAAGCCCAATACTAAACTATGACTTCATCATCCAGAATCAATATCTCTACTGGCAGATTTTATCATCTTTCTTTTTCTATTCCCATGGCATAGCAATATTTTTATCATCTTGACAGTCAATAAACTCTTTATAAGAGCTTGTTAATGGTCAGGGGCAATGACTCACACCTGTAATACCAACACTTTGGAAGGCCAAGGCAGGTGTATCACCCCAGGTCAGGAGTTCAAGACTAGCCTGGCCAACACAGTGAAACCCTGCCTCTACTAAAAATACAACATTAGCCGGGCGTAGTGGTGCACACCTGTAGTCCCAGCTACTTGGTGGAAGAAGAATCACTTGAACCCGGGAGGTGGAGGTTGCAGTGAGCCAACATCGCACCACTGCACTCAAGCCTGGGCAACAAGAGTGAAACTCTGTCTCGGAAAAAAAAAAAAAAGAGCTTGTTCATGTATTTTCATTTTCCCCCTCATTCCAAACCTTTAGAAAAGATGTGAGAATAGTGCAATGACTATCTATCCCCTTTAGTTAAATTTACTAATGGTTAACATTTAGTTACTGAGCTTTAGTCATGCCAAATTAAAATTACTTAATTTTAAACTTCCTTTTATTTGGTGACAATCATTACTTTATGTTGTAACTATGGAGGTTAATATAAGACAAAATCTTCTTTTAGAAAAGTTTTGGTATTATATATATATATTACTTAAAAAGCACATATGGCAGAATATTAAAAATGTGTATGTCTTGGGTCTTTATATTAAATAACTATACAGTTTGGATCTTTTTACCTCTGGATGCATTAAACGTAAAAGATAAATCCACAAAGTTTCTTAAGCTTGTTGTGCCTTGGCTTCCTTGTTCCCCATGACCACTACCTCTATTTTGTCTACTACATCTAAAATAGTTCTGGTTGTTCTACCCTGGCTGATGTACTCTTTCTTGTATTCCAGGGAGTTAGCTATGCTACCACTCAGCCATTTCCCCAGCTTCAAATTCGTCTAAGGTGTGCCACAGGAACATGGCTGAGCTTCCTATACTGCTGCCAGTGTATTTTCTGGGAAAGATGTAAAAACTGGAAGTTTCCTGGATTTTTCATTGATAAAGTTTGCATATTCCAGAATTGCACCACTATGGTAACCAATTAAATTCTGCCACTGTCCAAATGTTTATATAATAAATGAGTTTACTTACAAATGTTAAGTGCTACAAATACTAGCAACACTATTTCTATGATGTTCTCTAGAGATCATGGTCTCTGCTTCTTATTAAATCAAAAGAATAAACATACAGGCAACCTGAGTTCTGAAAATCCAGTTTAAGAAAAGTCCTTACAGAACTGCTGTGGTTGGTGTTCCCTCCTATTGAGAATGCCAACCTCCTTCTTAAGGACATTCTACAAGTTTCATCCATTCACAACAAATATCCACTGACATAGTTGTAGCCCTATGGATATGTTAGTGATCATGAGAGGCAAAAATTTCTGCCCTGGAGGAGTATACATGGAGACAGACAAAAATCAAGTATGCAAGATGGTAATAAATGTTATAGAGAAAAGTAAAGGTTGGGAGTTTATTTTGAGGGTAGGAATATAAAGTTATATTTTAAAAGACTATGCTCAGGGAAGGCCTCACGGGTAACATTTGAGCAACCATGTGAGGGAGGTGAGGGAATAAGCTCTATGGTTATGTGGAGGAAGACTACCCCAAGCACAGGAAAGAGCAAATGCAAAGGCCCCAAAGGGAAACATGTCTAAAGTGTATGAGAAGCTGTAAGGAGGCTGGATTCATTGAAACATTGTTACCTAGTGGGTGAGTATAGCAGTGGGGGCCAGAGAAGGGACAAAGAGAGAGGATTCTCATTTGGACCTTTCAGGGAAATGTAATAAAGACCTGGGCTTTTACTCTGAGTTTAATGCATAATTTAAGCTGAGGAAAACATGATCTGACTTACATTTAAATGGAATTATGATGGTTACTGTGTGGAGAACAATCTGAAGGGGGTGAAGAAGAGAAGCAGGGAGATCAGTTTTGAGGTTATTGAAATAATCCAGCTGAGAGATGACAACTGTTTAGACCAAGATAGTGTCATTAGATTCTAGTGGTGGTAGCTGAGTTCTGGGTAAGTTTTTAAGGTAAAGCCAGTAGGGTTTTCTGAGAGTTTGGATGTACACATAATATAACAAAAAATACAGTCAAGGACGACTCCATGGTTTCAGGCATAACCAACTAAAAAGGTACTATTTACTGAGATGGGAAAGACTGGAAAGACCCAGGTCAGGGAAAGGTTATCAGGAGTTCAGTTTGGACATGTTATATTTGAGATGCTTATAAGACATACAAAAAGAGATATTGAAGAGGCAGTTAGATATAAGAGCTCGAAGTTCAGAAAAGAAATGAGAGATAGGGATATTGTTTGGATGTTTGTCACCTCCAAACCTTATGCTGAAATGTAATCCCCAGTGTTGGAGGTGAGGCCTGTGGGAGGTATTTGGGTCATGGAGGTGGATCCCTCATGAATAGCTTGGTGCTATCCTCACAATTATGAGTTCTCGTGAGATCTGGTTGTTTAAAAGTGTGTGGCATCTCCCGCTCACTCTTTGCTCTTGCCATGTAAAACACCTACTCCTCTTTGCCTTTCACTATGATTGTAAGCTTCCTGAGGTGTTCACCAGAAGCAGATGCTGGAGCTATGCTTGTATAGCCTGCAGAACCATGAGCCAATTAAACCTCTTTTCTTCATAAATTATCCAGCCTCAGGTATTTCTTTACAATAATGCAAACGGCCTAATACAGACAGGGTTACAAAGTTAGTATTTATCAGCATACAGATTGTATTTAAAACCAAGCAACTACAAGATCTCCAAAGCAGTGTTGTTAGGAAAGAGAAGTGCAAGTATTGAACCCTGAGGTCCTCCAACATTAAGAGGTAGGGGAGATAAAGAGGAATTAGGAAAGGAGACTTAGGAGTAACCAATGAGACAGAGGAAATCAGGCAAGTATTGTTTCTTGGAAGCCAAATGAATAAAGGTTTTACATTAGAAAGCAATGATAAACTGAGTCAAAGGCTGCTGAAAAGTCAAGGGAGTTGAGGATATATTCAAGAGAATTATAAATGATGGACCGTGGACCTGAAGCTATATGCAGAGGGGGTTGAAGATATAAGGGATAATAAAAAGATGTTAGGATAAATGGACTACAGGTTGTAACGAAGTTGAAGGGCACTAAAGGAAATGAGATGGCCTGGGTGCAGTGGCTCACACCTGTTATCCCAGCACTTTGGGAGGCCAAAGACAGGAGGATCCCTTGAGTCCAGTTCAAGACCAGCTTGGACAATATAGTGAGACCCTGTCTCTACAAAAAATTAAAAAAAAAAAAAAGCTAGGTGTGGTGGTATGCACCTGCAGTAGCACCAGCTCCTCAGGAGGTTATGGTGGGAGGATTTCTTGACCCTGGGAGGTTGAAGCTGCAGTGATCTGTGTTCACACCACTGCACTCCAGCCTGGGTGACAGAGAGAGACCCTGTTTCAAAAAAAAAAAAAAAAGAGGAAGTGAGATGGATAAAGAAAAAAGTAGTGAGTAATGGAGGATAAGATGCTTGGAAATTAGATTAGAGAGGTATTATACTTATTGGTAATCACATAGCCTAGAGTAAAACCATGGTATGAATGCCTTAAAGGTAGGATGGACATCAAGGAAATGACAGGCCAAGCCAGGGTAGTAAATCATTTATAATATCCATATAGATTCTATATGGATAGTAAAATCACTAAGAATTCTGATTGAATCAGTGTATGTGAAAGAGAGAAAGCAAAAATCTTCAAAGTGTAAGGAGTGATTTTGAGACAAGATTATGCAGCTGTTTGTAAGGTTTTATGCAAGGTACTGGGGACACAAACAAGCAAATAGGCCTTATAACACAGCGTGTTGAGTGCTAGATGGGAGACAGACACGATATTGGATAGCACAAAGTAAAGATCTCTGTGATAGAGAACTTCCTTCTTACAATCTGGACAGAGAAAGAAGAATGCCCGTACACTGTGGATGTGATTTAAAAAAAAAAAAAGCAGAAAGTATTCATTTTAGCTATTAGGGTCTCTGGAAACAAAGGGGAATTCTGCTGATTCAGAAGCTAAAAACATTAGAGAGCAGGAGGGTGGGAGAGGGAGAGATAGCTTGATTCAGCTGATAGAAAATGTAGTTTCAGAAGGTCTTTACCAGAAGCTTGTTGTGAGGGCAAAGGTCCCTGATAAGAGTTAAGCCATTTTCCCAAAAAAGAATGGAAAAATACAGTATAATTAGTACTATATTGTTGTATAAAATCACTCCAATTTGCTTACATGCTTTTTTGAACTATCTGAAATGTTTCCATCATTTATAAAAATTATAGTGGAAAACTTTGTGCTGAATTTTAAACAACTTATCACATTTAAAAATGCCAGCCAGGTGCCATGGCTCACACCTATAATCCCAGCACTTTCAGAAGCAGAGCCAGGAAGAACACTTGAGGTCAGGAGTTCGAGATTAGCCTGGGCAACACAGCGAAACCACCTCTACAAAAAAAATTTTTTTATTAGCTGGGGGTGGTGGTACGTGCCTTTAATTCTAGCTACCCAGGAGGCTGAGGCAGGAAGACTGTTTGAGCCCAGGAGACTGCGGTGAACTATGATTGCACCACTACACCCTAGCCTAGGTGACAGAGCAAGACCTCGTCTCTTAAGCAAAACAAAAAACGAACCCATCCATTTTAAAGCTAAGAATTGCCTAATGTGTCAAGTCTATGTGCATGGAGAAAAATAAACAAAGAAAAGCAAAGATTGCTTAATGTATGTATTTTATGTGGCAGTATAACTGGAAACCATCAGTTATTAATAAAAATTATAAAGGTGATGGTATTAATGAAGAAGAATAAAAGCAAATACACAATTCCATACTGTGTAACAGACATTATGCCTAATGATTTATAATTATTAACTCATTTGCTTATCACAAACACCTTATGATGTACTAACATCATTATACTCATTTAAAGATTAGAAAAAGGAGGCTCAAAATAATTCTAAATCTTCTGAGGAAGATTTTTGCCTTCCTCAGAAAACATGTATCTGTCACCAGCCCCTTGAGATGTCAAAATGCTAGTGAAAAGAAAAAATTATAAAAATTAATGACTATGGTGCCAAGAGACAAGGTCTTATTTAAACCCATAGAAATACAAATATTAACTAAAGCTCTAAATTTAAAATAAATTTTAAAAAATCACTGACAGCATAATCCTTACCTCAATGTAGGAAGAAACCCAACACACAGATTATTACAGGTGAACTTTGTGATATGTGAGCATGAACTACATCAGAGTTGATTTCATATACTTAAGAATCCCTATGTTCAGAGAATTTCTTCTTAATCAGAATGATTACTTTTACTCAGAATTATCTGGATGACAAAACCTACTCAGATGACAAAACCTGCTCACAAATTAAAATCTATCAAAAAAAGAGAAAACATCCTTACTGTCCCTGCAGTATCCAGGATTTCGAGCATACACTGTTGGCAATCGACTTCAACTTGCTGTGGGGGCAAAAAAAAAAAAAAGGTTAAAGAGTAACATCAAAATCTCATTCTGTTTTCTTCCCACCTCTTCCATCAAAGTAACTATTAACAAATACAAAGCCTGTCTCCAGCAGTATGCTGTAATGGCTGGGGGTAAACTTGGTACCACAATAAAGAACAGCGGTCTCAAGTACAGTCTATTCATATTACAGAAGCCAAGATGGTTAATGCTGAGTTTAGATATTTTCTGACCTCTGTAACGATTCTTATTTGTTATTAGAAAAGGCAAAAGTCATATTTTGAAATTTAAGGAAAACTTCAACGAACAAGTATAGTTCTAACAGAAAAAAAAGTACATATGTGTATTTATATTATCTCCAAAGAAAACAAAGTACAAAAATATTAAATGGCTCAAAATGCGCACAACATTTTGGGGTAAAGAAAATCTTGCCAACTTACCATGTTCAAGTTGTTAAAATTTTACTAAAATATGCAGAAAATTAAATACACAGTAAAATCTGAGTTTAAGACATAAAAGAAACACAGGAGTACTAAAATAAACAGCAATGAGCTAAAACAGTGCCTCAAGAAAAAGGCACTTTTCTAGAAAAGCTCTATGTGAAAGGTGAAATTTTATACACTGAGTTCTATTTACCCATTGGTCTTATAAAAGAAAAGAAGGTTGGTCTAATGAAAGTATCAACTATCAACTGTGTGGAAAACTGTTTTAATAAAGAAGGGATTAAGAAAAGTTAGTCCCTTAGAATTTTAGGTACAGATCTTGCTTTGCAGTTAAAGCTTTAACTAGCAACTTACTTTGGGGAAATTTCAGTAGAGCAACACTGTCTTCTAAAAATAAATGTGCTAACCTAAAGACTATTTTAAACTCTGCTTCTGTGTCAGATCAGACATTGATGAGGGGCACCACTGGTCAGACCACAAACTCATCCACCCCACCACTTATGGGACAAGTGTGATAATCTGCAAAATTTGTAACTGGGAATGTTCAGTGAATAATCAATTAGGACTATAGTTTCTTGATGTATCTAGAGCATAATTCTGTTTCCAATTTGAAGACAATGAAACTGCTCTACTAGTAGTCCTTCATGAACTAACAAATTAATTCAACAAAAGTTACAGCACTATTAAAGGTAAATTCTAAAAATGTCTTCAAAAGCAATCCTTTCCTATTAAAGTTTAATCTTTTTAAAAAATATTCTTGGCTACTAGCCTTTTATAACCTCCACCCCACCCAATATATTTGACATAGAAAATACTGAAAATTTTCCACAACTCTGGCTGGTCTTCTACAGAATATTTTTTGTCAAGACCAAGTACCTAATTTTTTTTCCCTTTTAAATAGACTTTATTAGAGCAGTTTTAGTTTCACAGCAAAACTGAGGGGAAGGTGCAGAGATTTCCCACATACTCCTTGCCACCACAAATGCATAGCCTCACCCCACCATCAACATCCTGCACCAGAGTGGTACATTTGTTACAACTGATGAACCCACATGAACACATCGTTATCACCAAGAGTCCACAGTTTACATTAGGATTTTCTTTTGGCATGGTACATTCTATGGGTTTTGACAAATGTATGGCATATAACCCAATTATAGTATTACACAGACTCTAATTTTTTGGTAGTCTAAAGATATCTTTAAACTTATAAAACTAAACAAAAATAAAAATGTTCAGTCACTGGATAACTTCAAGCATAAAGGTGGTCTTAATTGTTGGTAACAAAAGAGTAAGTTGAAAACACACCTACTATTTATATGCAATTTTTTCATATGTGGCAACATTCCCCACCAGGAAAATGTCCACATTAAGGAACAAGTCACTAATCAGTAACAGAACATAGAGCTCTGAATATCAAAGTAGTATTCTGTTAAGAAATGTTCTGTCTTGATGAAACTTTTAAAAACAGATGCACAATATTTGTATTATTTCTCAAAACTATTTTCAAAAAGCAAATCTACAGATCAAATTTTAACATCATAAGGAACTACTTGTAAGCATGTGTGTACAAGTTTCACATTTTACCTTTCTGTAGGAATCTTCTATCGTTGGGTCATATTTTTCAACAAAAATTCCCTGAACAAACTGAACTGTCTGGGGGAAAAAAAAAGAGAAATATTAAAAAATTAAAGGAAAACTCCTTTGAATGTTACTTAACCTACAAATTATAATGATTAATTGAAATTATGTGAAAATTCTGGGTAAACACGTAAATGTAAAGTATATTATTAATTCTTTCAATATAAGGATACATCCATAACTAAGAGTACATTTATTATGAAAGGAGGTAGTCATGTTAAAAACTGTCATCAATACTGATAATACACTGTTAATTACATTAAGTCTTAATATACAAGGATACAAATAACATATCTGAACTAATTAAAACATGAAAAATTATCAATATTTAAACTCCTATTGCCCCTTTATATATCTATAGTAACTTTTATCCCATGCCCTCTGCCCTTAATGGAGTGACAAAGGTTCTAATTTTTTTTTAAACACAGGGTCTTTGCTATGTTGCCTGGGCTGGCCTTGAACTCCTGAACTCAAGAGATCCTCCCGCCTCAGCCTCCCAGGTAGCTGGACCTCAAGCAGCATCTTGTAAATTTGTTAAAGCCTTTCTAAATTGTGGTGGAAAAGAGAAAGGGAAATTTAAACTTACTGAATGTCTATTATGTTCCAGACATTAAGCTAGTCACTTTTAATTTATAACCACATTCAAATTTCACATTTGTCCCAGAAATAGTTATTCTTCCTATTTGCCAGCTGAGATTCAAACATACATCTTCCTGATTCCAAAGCCTTACTTTTTCCATTGGAAAATATTGCCCATTCATCTTTTTCAGATATTATCAACTTTTAAAGGCATCCAAAAGCACATACTAGAAAATACGTATTTATCATTCAGTAAGTGAAAAAAGTACAGAAGACGGTTTTAAGATATTTCCTAGGTAACTTTAAAACAGGGTCTGGTACATTATTGCCTAAAAAGCAAGGGTAAGAATGTGGACTGAGGTCATCTACACTTAAATTACTCAGAGGAATATTTGATATACTATTTTAGCTTGAGCTAAAGAGATTAACTCAAATATAGTAAACAAACTTCTTTCTCCTACTAAGCTTCTATTATTCAAAGGCAACTCAAGATATAATCACACCAAAAACCTTAATCATGATTTTTATCAAGGATTTAATCACCTCATCTTCTAAGTACGACACATAATTTAAATATACAAAGCAGTCTACGCTGGATGCAGTGGCTCATGCTGTACTCCTAGCACTTTAGGAGGCCAAGGCAGGAGGATTGCTTGAGCTCAGGAATTTGAAACCAACCTGGGCAACATAGTGAGACTGTCTCTACAAAAAATTTAAAAATTTAACCAGGTGTGGTGGCATGCACCTGTAGTCCCAGCTACTTGGGTAGCTAAGGTGGGAGGATTGCTTAAGTGTAGGAGGTTGAAGATGCAGTGAGCCATGATCACGCCACTGCACTCCAGGGCAAGATGCTGATTCAAGATTTAAAAAAAAAAAAAAGGCAGTCTAATACAGCTTCCTAATATGCTTTAGGCTAGAGCAGAGAGTCTCAAAATATGGTCCAAGGCAGAGGCTCCCTAAGGTCAAACTATCTTCCTAACAATACTAAGATGTATTCTAAGAGGTACTCTTCTTCTTCTCTCATAAGTTTACAGTGGAATCTTCCAAAGGGTATAGAACATGTGCTATTGAAAGAGACTGGATACAGAAGCAGGCAAAAGAGCCCATGTGCCTTCTATAAGCCAGACATTAATAAGACTTGCAAAAATGCAAAACAATCCAACGTTTCTCATTTCTTTCTTACTAAAAGTAATGTTTGACTACTCCTCTGAATCTTATCCTCTGTCTTAATTTTCAGGGACATCTCATTCATTCATTCACATAGATTATAATTTTATTCCTCAGGTTTTTGTACTGGATCATCTCCTCTTTCCCTCTCCTGTATCCTTATTTTCCTCTCCAGTGGAGAGGAATTGCCCCCAGCATACAAATATGCTTTACTATCTCCAATTCTAAAACAAAAACAAAAACCTCCCTTAACCCCAATATCTCTCCAGCTTCTGCCCCCATTCTCTGTCCCCTCTCATAATCAAGCTTCTTCAAATGTCTATATTCCATTTCCTCAGCTCTCATTTAATCTTCAACCCACCCCATTATGGTTATGGCAACATGACCTGACTAAAGCTGCTTCCTTTATCATGTCCAACTGCCTCTATGCTCTCTGATCATCTCTTTCCTCTTTTTTACTTGACTTTTGAGGAATCAAGTAAAGACACCTTCTTCTATGCTAGATCCTCCAATCCTATCTACTTTCTAAAGGTTGAGAGGTACTCAGAGCTCAGTCCTGGGCTCTGCTCTTCTCTCTCTAGTATCTCCCTAGACCTCTTTCACTCCTATGGACTTTTTCCAAAATTATTTTTGAAAAGGTAATTCATGGACATAGGACTAAATTCAAAAAGGCACAAAAGGCTATGCAGTGATAACTAAGCTTATCTACCACCCTTGTTCCCAGCTATCCAATCCTACTCCCAAGAAAGTAACTGATGTTATTCATAGCTTATTTAACCTTGAAGAGATACTCTATGATTTTACAGGTATCTACCCTCAGCCTACATTTTTTTAAATATAAAACACAAATTATAGTCTACACTGTTTAGTACCTTTTTTCTCTCTAATAATGTATCTTGGATATCATTACATATCGGTATATATAGAGCTATTGCATTCTAATGGCTGTATTCTACTCTGAAAATGTATTAAAATTTACTTAACTAGCCCCTTAATGGAATACATTTAGGTTGTTTCCAGACTCTAGTCACTGTAAAGAATGTTGTGATGTTCCCTGACCACACCATTTTGCACATGTGAACTTATATGTGGGCTACATTTTTAGAGAGGGAATCGCTGAATTGAAAGTTATATGCCATTAAAAATGACAGATATTCTCAAACATTCTTGACAGAGGTACTGACTTACATGCCTAACAGCAATGTAACTCTCATGAAATTAAATATCATCACCATATTGATGGCACCCAAAATCATATCACCGGCCTCTCTTTTTTATTACTTCAACATGTCACAAACATAAAATTTGACATGACTCTTTGATTTGGACTCTCACTGCTCCTTCTCCACTGTTTCCCTTCTTCTTTTAATCCATCCATAAAATTAGTAGCTCAAACTAGAAACTTGGGAGCCATCCTTGACAGCTCCTTCTCTCCTAGTCCCCATATCAATCTAGCACCAAGTTATGTCAGTTCTACCACTTACTCAATCCTCAAACATTTACTTCTCTTTTCTTAACTGCCATGGTCCTAATCCAAGCTTCCATAAACAATTATCTGGTATACAGTATTAACTCCCAATTTGTCTCCCACATCCACTCTGCCTTTCTTCTAAATTAATCTGTATTTTTCTTTCAGAGTATCTCGCTCACAAGTAGAACCAAGTAGTTCTTTGTGTATTTATTACATCTCCTCCACTATAATGCAAGCTCCATAAGAAACTATGACTGTTTTCATTCACTGTTGTGACCCTAGAATCTGACACTATAGAAACTCAGTAACTATGTACTAAATAAAAACAGCATGAACACAAAAAATGACCTTCATTCCATCTAAGTCTAGGGTGGAAGCAGGTGAGGAATTATCCCACTAGAATCTGTAATAATCAGTTTCCCCCAATACAATGTAAATTCCTTAAAAAGAGAACAATCTTACTCCTCTCTGCATCATCAACACTGGTGCTTGACATATAAGATAGCCAATAAATATTTGGTAAATATAAGAATAAATGAGCCAATGTTATAAAACTATATACATCTGTGGTTATTAAATGATTTCCTGTCCTTTGTGGGACAGATATCAGATATATAATAATGCCACCTTTTCTCTTTGGCATCTAGAAGTCTGAAAGCAAGGAAATGTCAAAATTCTTCTTGTATTATATTAATCAGTTACAGTTAGGTGGCTAACTTACCAGAGCAGACTTCCCAACGCCTCCTGAACCAAGGACCACTAGCTTGTACTCACGCATGATGTGATCTGTTTAAATACTGACGATCTGAAAAACAAACAAAAAAATCAAAGATTAAGAAACATGCTAACAGTCTAATAATGTACACTACTGCATCAAACATAGGAGTTTGTTTTGTTTTTTTCCTTGTAAGACTATCAAAGGGACAACAGAAGCTACATGGCAAAATCCATACAGATTTTAACATAAGTTTATAGGATTACTTTCAGATATTTTAATTCACCGAAGATCATCTTTGACTAGGCATCAATTATGTTCATATTACTTCTAAAAATCTTTGATTAGAAAACAAGATGATTAAATCCAACAGTTGATAACCTTATGACTACAATGATAAACCCAATTCTTTGCAAAGCTATCATTTAAACAACTTATGTACTGTTTAAAAACATTCACTCATGAGCTTTAATATAATGTACATGCTATTTTATTTGTTTAAAATATCCTACAGTAATTCTATACTATTTTGTTCATTATTGTATTATAGCTGAACCATTTAAAATGTCATCTTGAAAATAATTAAAGATGTGAACAGGAGATCAGATGAAATTGCTAAACACTATAGGCAGTTATTAGCAATATACGCCATAAGGCCCAAATAGCCAGAGAAAATAAAAGGAACGTAAACTTTATTTTTTGTCTCCATGATTATCTTAAAAGGTATAAAAACAGGAAATAATTTTCAGTGGCCACGGTGGAATAACTAGAAACAGACTTTTCAACCCACAATAACAGCCAGAACAGTGAACAAAAAAATATAAAACTCTTTTTAGATATTGGATAATAAGCAGTGTAGGACTGTGATTTCTGAGATGCAAAAGAAATGAAGTGAGACCTAACACTGCCCTGGCTTTCTGCCTAGAGGCATTTTTCAGACTGTGGTGAAGGGAGAAAGAACTCAAGCAGAGCTTGGAAGTGGGCCAGAGAAGTGGAAGCTAAGCATATAAAATTCCAGAAATCTGCAGAAGGATTCACTTGAGTCTGTGGCCAAGCCCAGCACACAGACTAACTTCAAAAGGTAAGGCAAAGAATAAATAGAGATTTACAGGTGGAACAATTCCCAGAGTCATATGGTTCTGACTAGAAGTCTTCCTTGTTGAAAAACTAGGAATTCAGTAGAAACCTCAAAAGACTCTTATCTTAGTAGCAAAGCTAAATAAGCTCTAGAGTAAATGATATTCTAGATGCTTCCTAACAAAGCTTAAAACAAGGCTCAAAAGGATGGAGTTGATCCACGTGTAACTCAACCACTTGTCTGAACAAAGTCCAAAATTCTTTAAAAGAAGCAGAAAAAAAAAATTCCACCACTCAACCATATAAAATTAACAATGTCCAGCATCCAATAAAAAATTAATAGAAATGTGAAGAAAGAAAATGTGACCTGAGGCCGGGCGCAGTGGCTCACGCCTGTAATCCCAGCACTTTGGGAGGTCGAGGCGGGTGGATCACGAGGTCAGGAGATCGAGACCATCCTGGCTACCATGGTGAAACCCCATCTCTACTAAATGTACAAAAAATTAGCCGGGCGTGGTGGCGGGTGGCGGGTGCCTGTGGTCCCAGCTACTTGGGAGGCTGAGGCAGGAGAACGGTGTGAACCCGGGAGACGGAGCTTGCAGTGAGCTGAGATCGCGCCACTGCACTCCAGCCTGGGCGACAGAGCGAGACTGCGTCTCAAAAAAAAAGGGACCTGAAACCAGAGTGAAATAAATCAGCTGAAACCATCCCAGAAACGAGATGATGAAATTAGCCAATGAGGACTCTAAAACGGCTATTATAAATACGCTCAAAAATTTAAAGAAAAAAATGAGGAAGAAAATGGCACACATATAATAAGAACCAAGAAGAACTTACAGTATTCAAAAACAGTATGTGAAATAGAAATATCACTGGAGGGTATTAACAATATATTAAATACTGCAGAAGGAAAGTTCAGGGGATCTGAAGACACAGCAACAGAAAATACACAAATTTAAACAAAGTTCAAATGTGATGAGAATAAGAGGAAAGAAGAGAAGGGGAAAGGGAGACAGGAGAGAGGGAAGAAAGAAGCAAGGGTAGAAGGGTTAGGGGTGTAATAAGAAAGAAAAGAAAAAGAAAAAAAAAAGACTAGAACTACAGGACAATACCAAGCTATCAAGCAGTATAATATATATGTAACTGGAATGGGGAGCAGTGCATTTGAAGAAATAATGACATTTTCGAAATTTGATAAAACTGATATATCTGGCCAGGTGCAGTAGCTTATGCCTGTAATCCCAGCACTTTGGGAGGCCAAGATGGGCAGATCACTTGAGGCCAGGAATTAGAGACCAGCCTGGATAATATGGTGAAACTTCATCTCTACCAAAAATACAAAAAATTAGCTGAGCGTGGTGGCATGTGCCTATGGTCCCAGCTACTTGGGAGGCTGAGGTAGGAGAACCCCTTGAGCTCGGAAGGCAGAGGTTGCAGTGATCTGTGATTGTCCCACTGCACTCCTGCCTGGGCGATAGAGTGAGACCCTGTCTCAAAAACAAAACAAAAAAACAAAAAAAAAAACAAAAAAAAAAAAACAAAAACAAAAACCCATCTACACATCCAAGTAACTCAATGAGCCCCCCTCCTGAAGGAGTATAAACACAAAGAAAACCACAACGAGGCACAATAATCAAATTCCTGAAAAGCTGTCAAAACCAGAAAATCTTACAAGAAGCCAGAGGGAAAAAATTTAGATAGAAACAAAGTTAAAATATACAGACTTTGGCCAGGCACGGTGGCTCACGTCTGTAATCCCAGCACTTTCGGAGGCCAAGGTGGGCAAATTGCCTGAGCTCAGGAGTTCGCAACCAGCCTGGGCAACACGGCGAAACCCCGTCTCTACTAAAGTACAAAAAATTAGCTGGGCGTGGTGGTGTGAGCCTGTCGTCTCAGCTACTTGGGAGGCGGAAGCAGGAGAATCGCTTGAACCTGGGAGGCAGTGCTTACAGTGAGCCGAGATTGCACCACAGCACTGCAGCCTGGGCAACAGAGCAAGACTCCGTCTCAAAAAAAAAAAAAAGAAAGAAAGAAAAAAATATATATACACACACACACACACACACACACACACACACACAGACTTCTTGTGAAGCTATGCAAGACAAGAAAATAGAACATCTATAAAACAAAGAAAAAACTGGTCAACCTACAACGATAAATACAATGAATATATGTTGAAGAAATGAAAGTAAAAGATTTTTCCCAGACCTTATCCTCCTGGTGGGGGCAGGAAAAAAAAAAAAAAAGCTGGAGGCAAAAAGTTCACCAGCATACATTTAAATCGTGAACAAGTCTTTTTTTTTTTTTTTTTTTTTTTGAGACAGGGTCTCACTCTGTTGCCCAGGCTGGAGTACAAGGAATACAGCGGTGTGATCATAGCTCACCCAAGATCCCAAGCTCCTAGGCTCACGCAATCCTCCCACCTCAGCCTCCTGAGCAGCTGGCACTACAGGAGTGCACCACCACACTTGGCTAATGTTTCTAATTTTTTTTGTAGACACAGAGTCTCACTATGTTACCTAGGCTGGTCTCAAACTCCTGGGCTCAAAGGCTCCTCCCACCTTGGCCTCCCAAAGTGCTGGGATTACAGGCATGAGCCAGCACACCCAGCCACAAAAGTAATTTCACCACTTAAATCAAAAATGGTAACAATCACAGGGTTTACATGTAGAAGTAAAATATATTACAATAGTAGAAGAGAGAGAAATAGAATACTTAAGGTCCTTAGATTATATATGAAGTAATATAGTATGTTTTGAAAGTAAATTCTCATATGTTAAAGAAGTATATTGTAAGTCCCAGAGCAACCACTAAAAAACAAACAAAATTCAACTCAGGCTAGGGGTGGTGGCTCACGCCTATAATCCCAGCACTTTGTGAGGCTGAGGTGGGTGGATCACCTGAGGTCAGGAGTCGGAGACCAGCATGGCCAACATGGCAAAATCCCATCTCTACTAAAAATATAAAAATTAGCTGGGCATGGTGGCAGGCGCCTGTAATCCCAGCTACTTGGGAGGCTGAGGCAGGAGAATTGCTTAAACCCAGGAGACAGAGGTTGCAGTGAGCCAAGATTATGCCACTGCACTCCACCCTGGGCAACAGAGCGAGACTCCATGTCAAAAAAAAAAAAAAAAATTCAACTCAATCAAAAAGAAAGTATGAAAAATGCAAACAAATAAGCAAAAAAAAGCAAAGAAAAAAATGGGACAAATACAAGGCAAAAGGCAAGATGGTAGAATTGAAAGGAAATCACATCATTACCTTAAATGCAAATTGTCTAAACATTCCAATTCAAAGGCAATATAAAAAAGCAAGACCTAACTATATGTTGCTTCAAGAAACAATCTTTAAATATGGATATAGGAAAAAACATCTATTGGCAACAAAGTCACAGTTGCTGCTAATATTACTGCTGTGTTTTGTTGCCTGCATTCAAAATAGAAACACTGAATTTCATTCAGAGGTTAGTGAAAAAAAAAAGATATATAGATATAAAAATATTTTTTCTTTCTATAAGAGTATTGGGAACCCTGGATTAAGAATCCCTACCTACTTTAAACAGTTACCATTTTAGGTTACTTTAGTCCAGTTCTCAAACTTTTTGGTTCCAGGTCTTCTTTATAAACTAACTTTTTTTTTTTTTTTTTTTTTTTGAGATAGGGTCTCACTCTGTTGCTCAGGCTGGAGTGCAGTGGCACAATCACAACTCACTGCAGTCTCCACCTCCCTTGCTCAAGTCATCCTTCCGCCTCAGCCTCCTGAGTAGCTGGGACTACAGACATGCACCACCACAACTGGGTAATTTTCTTTTTCTTTTTCTTTTTTTTTCTCTTTTGCAGAGATGGGGTCTCATTATGTTGCCCAGGCTAGTCTCAAACTCCTGGGCACAAGTGATTCTCACTTTTGGGAATTTGAATCATTTGAGACTAGCCTGCGCAACATAATGAAAGAGGCCATTAAGTAAGGCTCAAGACGCCTCGGCCTCCCAAAGTGTTGGAATTATAGGTGTGAACCACCATGCCTAGCCAACACTTTTACATTCTTTTTTTTCCAACAGTATCAATAATCACTTTATTATACTTTAAATTCTGGAATACATGTGCAGAACGTGGTTTGTTACATTGGTATACATGTGCCATGGTGGTTTGCTGCACCCATCAACCTGTCATCTACATTAGGTATTTCTCCTAATGCTATCCCTCCCCTTGCCCCCCACCCCCCGACAGGCCCCGGCGTGTGACCTTCTCCTCCCTATGTCCATGTGTTCTCACTATTCAACTCCCACTTATGAGTGAGAACATGTGGTGTTTGGTTTTCTGTTCCTGTGTTAGTTTGCTGAGAATGATGGTTTCCAACTTCATCCATGTCCCTGCAAAGGACATGAACTCATTCTCTTTCATGGCTGCATAGTATTCCATGTGTATATATGCCACATTTTCTTTATCCAGTCTATCATTGATGGGCATTTGGGGTTGGTTCCAAGTCTCTGCTATTGTGAATAATGCTGCAATAAACATATGTGTGCATGTGTCTTTATAGTAGAATGATTTCTAATCCTTTGGGTATATACCCAGTAATGGGATTGCTGGGTTAAATGGTATTTCTGGTTCTAGATCCTTGAGGAATCACCACACTGTCTTCCACAAAGGTTGAACTAATTTACACTCCTACCAACAGTGTAAAAGCATTCCTGTTTCTCCATATCCTCTCCAACATATGTTGTTTCCTGACTTTTTAATGATCGCTATTCTAACTGGCGTGAGATGGTATCTCATTGTGGTTTTGATTTGCATTTCTCTAACGACCAGTGATGATCAGCTTTTTTTCATATGTTTGTTGGCTGCATAAATGTCTTCTTTTGAGAAGTGTCTGTTCATGTCTTTCGCCTATTTTTTGATGAGGTTGTTTCTTTTTTTTGTAAATTTGTTTAAGTTCCTTGTAGATTCTGGATATTAGCCCTTTGTCAGATGGATAGATTGCAAAAATTTTCTCCCATTCTGTAGGTTGCCTGTTCGCTCTGCTGATAGTTTCTTTTGCTGTGCAGAAGCTCTTTGGTTTAATTAGATCCCATTTGTGGCATTTTGGCTTTCGTTGCCATTGCTTTTGGTGTTTTAGCCATGAAGACTTTGCCCATGCCTATGTCCTGAATGGTATCGCCTAGGTTATCTTCTCGGGTTTTTATGGTTTTAGGGCTTATGTTTAAGTCTTTAATCCATCTTGACTTAATTTTTATATGAGGTGTAAGGAATGAGTCCAGTTTCAGTTTTCTGAACCAGTTTTCCCAACACCATTTATTAAATAAGGAATCCTTTCCCCATTGCTTGTTTTTGTTAGGTTCATCAAAGATCAGATGGTTGTAGATATGTGGTGTTATTTCTGAGGCCTCTGTTCTGTTCCATTGGTCTATGTATCTGTTTTGGTACCAGTACCATGCTGTTTTGGTTGCTGCAGCCTTATAGTATAGTTTGAAGTCCGGTAGTGTGATACCTCCAGCTTTGTTCTTTTTGCTTAGCACCATCTTGGCTATATGGGCTGTTTTTTGGTTCCATATGAAATTTGAAGTAGCTTTTTTTCTAATTCTGTGAAGAAACTCAATGGTAGCTTTATGGGGAGCACTGAATCTATAAATTACCTTGGGCAGTATGACCATTTTCACGATATTGATTCTTCCTATCCATGAGCATGGAATGTTTTTCCATTTGTTTGTGTCCTCTCTTATTTCCTTGTGCAGCGGTTTGTAGTTCTCCTTGAAGAGGTCCTTCACATCCCTTGTATGTTGCATTACTAGGTATTTTATTCTCTTGGTAGCAATTGTGAATGGGAGTTCACTCATGATTTGGCTGTTATTAGTGTATAGGAATGTTTGTGATTTTTGCACATTGATTTTGTATCCTGAGACTTCGCTGAAGTTGCTTATCAGCTTAAGGAGTTTTTGGGCTGAGACGATGGGGTTTTCTAAATATATAATTATGTCATCTGCAGAGACAATTTGACTTCCTCTCTTCCTGTTTGAATACCCTTTATTTCTTTTTCTTGCCTGACTGCCTTGGCCAGAACTTCCAATACTATGTGGTGAGAGGGCACCTTGTCTTGTGCCAATTTTCAAAGGGAATGCTTCCAGCTTTTGTCCATTCAGTATGATACTGGCTGTGGGTGTGTCATAAATAGCTCTTATTATTTTGGGATATGTTCCATCAGTACCTAGTTTATTGAGAGTTTTTAGCATGAAGGGGTGTTGGATTTTATCAAAGGCCTTTTCCACATCTATTGAGATAATCTTGTGTTTTTTGTCATTGGTTCTGTTTATGTGATGGATTATATTTATTGATTTGCATATGTTGAACCAACTTTGCACCCCAGGGATAAAGCCAACTTGATCGCAGTGGATAAGGTTTTTGATGCGTTGCTGGATTCAGTTTGCCAGTATTTTATTGAGGATTTTTGCATCGATGGTCATCAGGGATATTGGCCTGAAATTTTCCTTTTTTGTTGTGTCTCTGCCAGGTTTGGGTATCAGGATGACACTGGCCTCATAAAATGAGTTAGGGAGCAGTCGCTCTTCTTCTGTTGTTTGGAATAGTTTCAGAAGGAATGGTACCAGCTCCTCTTTGTACCTCTGGTAGAATTCGGCTGTGAATCTGTCTGGTCCTGGACTTTTTTTGGTTGGTAGGCTATTATTTACTGCCTCAATTTCAGAACTTGTTATTGGTCTATTCAAGGAGTTGACTTCTTTGTGGTTTAGTCTTGGGAGGGTATATGTATCCAGGAATTTATCCATTTCTTCTAGCTTTTCTAGTTTATTTGCATAGAGGTGTTTATATTCTCTGGTGGTAGTTTGTATTACTGTGGGATCAGTGGTGATATCCCCTTTATCACTTTTTATTGCATCTATTTGATTCTTCTCTTTCCTTCTTTATTAGTCTGGCTAGTGGTCTATTTTGTTAATCTTTTAAAAAAACCAGCTCCTGGATTCATTGATTTTTTGAAGGTTTTTTTTGTGTCTCTATCTCCTTCAGTTCTGCTCTGATCTTAGTTATTTCTTGTCTTCTGCTAGCTTTTGAATTTGTTTGCTCTTGCTTCTCTAGTTCTTTTAATTGTGATGCTAGGGTGTTGATATTAGATCTTTCCTGCTTTCTCCTCTGGGCATGTAGTGCTATAAATTTCCCTCAAAACACTGCTTTAGCTGTGTCCCAGAGATTCTGGTACGTTGTGTCTTTGTTCTCATTGATTTCAAAGAACTTATTTATTTCTGCCTTAATTTTGTTATCTACCCAGTAGTCATTCAGGAGCAGGTTGTTCAGTTTCCATGTAGTTGTGCAGTTTTGAGTGAGTTTCTTAATCCTGAGTTCTAATTTGACTGCACTGTGGTCTGAGAGACTTATTATTTCCGTTCCTTTACATATGCTGAGGAGTATTTTACTTCCAATTATGTGGTCAATTTTAGAATAAGTGTTATGTGGTGCTGAGAAGAATGTATATTCTGTTGATTTGGGGTGGACGGTTCTGTAGATGTCTATTAGGTCCGCTTGGTCCAGAGCTGGGTTCAAGTTCAGAATATCCTTGCCAATTTTCTGTCTCGTTGATCTAATATTGACAGTGGTGTGTTAAAGTCTCCCACTATGATTGTGTGGAAGTCTAAGTCTCTTTGCAGGTCTCTAAGAACTTGCTTTATGAATCTGGGTACTCCTGTATTGGGTCCATATATATTTAGGATAGTTAGCTCTCATTGCATTGATCCCTTTATCATTATGTAATGCCACTGTCTTTTTTTAATCTTTGTTGGTTTAAAGTCTGTTTTATCAGAGACTAGGATTGCAACCCCCGCTTTTTTTTTTTTTTGGCTTTCCATTTGCTTGGTAAATATTCCTCCATCCCTTTATTTTGGGCCTATGTGTGTCTTTGCACATGAGATGGGTCTCCTGAATACAGCACACTGATGGGTCTTGACTCTTTATCCAATTTGCCAGTCTGTGTTTTTTAATTGGGGCATTTAGCCAATTTACACTTAAGGTTAATATTGTTATGTGTGAATTTGATCTGGTTATTTTGCACATTAGTTGATGCAGTTTCTTCATAGCTTCATTGGTCTTCATATTTTGGTATGGTTTTTGCAGTGGCTGGTACCGGTTTTTCCTTTCCATATTTAGTGCTTCCTTCAGGGCCTCTTGTAAGGCAGGCCTGGTGGTGACAAAATCCCTCAGCATTTGCTTGTCTGTAAAGGATTTTATTTCTCCCTCGCTTATGAAGCTTAGTTTGGCTGGATATGAAATTCTGGGTTGAAAATTATGTTTTAAGAATGCTGAATACTGACCCCCACTCTCTTCTGGCTTGTAGGGTTTCTGCTGAGAGATCCACTGTTATTCTGATAGGCTTCCCTTTGTGGGTAACGTGATCTTTCTCTATGGCTGGCCTTAACGTTTTTTCCTTCGTTTCAACCTTGGTGAATCTGACGATTATGTGTTTTAGGGTTGCTCTTCTTGAGGAGTATCTTAGTGATGTTCTCTGTATTTCCTGAATTTGAATGTTGGTCTGTCTTGCTAGGTTGGGGAAGTTCTGGATAATATCCTGGAGCATTTTCCAACTTGGTTCCATTCTCCCCGTCACTTTCAGGTATACCAATCAATCGTAGGTTTGGTCTTTTCACATAGTCCCACATTTCTTGGGGGCTTTGTACATTCCTTTTCATTCTATTTTCTCTAATCTTGTCTTCACGCTTTAATTCATTAAGTTGATCTTCAATCTCTGATATCCTTTCTTCCACTTGATCAATTCAGCTATTGATACTTGTGTATGCTTCACAAAGTTCTCGTGCTATGTTTTTCAGCTCCATCAGGTCATTTATGTTCTTCTCTAAACTGGTTATTCTAGTTAGCAGTTCCTGCAACCTTTTATCAAGGTTCTTAGCTTCCTTGCATTGGGTTAGAACATGCACTTTAGCTTGGAAGAGTTTGTTATTATCCACCTTCTGAAGCCTACTTCTGTGAATTCATCAAACTCATTTTCCATCCAATTTTGTTCCCTTGTTGGGGAGGAGTTGTGATCCTTTGGAGGAGAAGAGGCATGCTGGTTTTCGGAATTTTCAGCATTTTTTCCCCTGAGACGGAGTTTCACTCTGTTGTCCAGGCTGGAGTGCAATGACACAATCTTGGCTCACTGCAACCTCCGCCTCCTTGAGTTCAAGTGATTCTCCTGCCTCAGCCTCCTGAGTAGCTGGCACCAACCATTATAAATGCACCACACCTGGCTAACTTTTGTATTTTTAGTAGAGACGGGGTTTCACCATGTTGGCCAGGCTGGTCTCAAACTCCTGACCTCACGATCCGTCTGCCTCAGCCTCCCAAAGGGCTGGGATTACAGGCGTGAGCCACCACACCCAGCAGTTTTCAGTATTTTTGTGCTGGTTTTTCCTCATCTTCATGGATTTATCTACCTTTAGTCTTTGTGCTGAGGACCTTTGGATGAGGTTTTTGCATGGGCTTCCTTTTTGTTGATGTTGATGTTATTGCTTTCTGTTTGTTAGTTTTCCTTCTGTTAGTTTTCCTTCTAACAGTCTGGCCCCTCTTCTGCAGGTCTGCTGGAGTTTGCTGGAGGTCCACTCCAGACCCTGTTTGCCTGGGTGTCACCAGCAGAGGCTGTAGAACAGCAAAGATTGCTACCTGCTCCTTCCTCTGGAAGCTTCATCCCAGAGGAGCACCTGCCAAATGCCAGCTGAACCTCTCCTGTATGAGGCGTCTGTCAACCCCTGCTGGTGAGAGGTGAAGCCAGCTGGACTTCCTGGGTCGAGTGGGGACTTGGAAAACGTTTGCGTCTAGCTAAAGGATTGTAAATGCACTCTGTAAAAACACACCAATCAGCACTCTATGTCTAGCTAAAGGATTATAAATGCACCAATCAGCACTCTGAAAAAAGCACCAATCAGAGCTCTGTGTCTAGCTAAAGGATTGTAAATGCACCAACCAGCATTCTGTAAAATGGACCAATCAGCAGGACATGGGCAGGGACAAATAAGGGAATAAAAGCTGGCCACCCCAGCCAGCAGTCGCAACCCGCTTGGGTCCCCTTCCACGATGTGGACACTTTGTTCTTTCGCTCTTCATAATAAATCTTGCTGCTGCTCACTCTTTGGGTCCGTGCCACCTTTAAGAGCTGTTAACACTTGCCATGAAGGTCCGTGGCTTCATTCTTGAAGTCAGCGAGACCAAGAACCCACCGGAAGGAACCAACTCTGGACACACTGGGAGGTGTCTCCCAGTCAGGAGGCACAGGGATCAGGGATCCACTTAAGGAGGCAGTCTGTCCCTTAGCAGAGCTTGAGTGCTATGCTGGGAGATCTGCTGCTCTCTTCAAAGCTGGCAGGCAGGAACATTTAAGTCTGCTGAAGCTGTGTGCACAGCTGCCAATTCCCCCAGGTGCTCTGTACCAGGGAGATGGGAGTTTTAACTATAAAGCCCCTGACTGGGGCTGCTGCCTTTCTTTCAGATGCCCTGCCCAGAGAGGAATAATCTAGAGAGGCAGTCTGGCTACAGTGGCTTTGCCATGCTGCAGTCTGACCTTCCCGGAGGCTTTGTTTACATTGTGAGGGGAAAACTGCTTACTGAAACCTCAGTAATGGCAGACGCCCCACCTCCCACCAAGCTGGAGTGTCCCAGGTCAACTTCAGAATGCTGTGCAGAGAATTTCCAGCCAGTGATCTTAGCTTGCTGGACTCCATGGGGTTGGGACCTGCTGAGCAAAACCACTTGGCTCCCTGGCTTCAGCCCCCTTTCCAGGGGAGTGAACAGTTCTGTGTTGCTGGGGTTCCAGGTGCCACTGGGTACAAAAAAAAAGAAAAGAAAAGAAAAGAAAAACCTCCTACAGCTAGCTCAGTGTCTGCTCAAACAGCCGCCCAGTTTTGTGCCTGAAACCCCAGACCCTGGTGGTGTAGGGACCCAATGGAATCTCCTGGTCTGCGGGTTGCAAAAACTGTGGGAAATGGGTAGTATCTGGGCTGAATAGCACCGTTCCTCATGGCACAGTCCCTCACGGCTTCCCTTGGCTAGGGGAGGGAGTTCGCTGACCCCTTGCACTTCCCGGATGAGGCGATGCCCCACCCTGCTTCTGCTAGCCCTCCATGAGCTACACCCACTGTCTAACCCAGTCCCAGTGAGATGAACTGGGTACCTCAGTTGGAAATGCAGAAATCACCTGCCTTCTGCGTTGGTCTCTCTGGGAGCTGCAGACCGGAGCTGTTCCTATTCGGCCATCTTACCCGGAACCCCCACTTTTACATTCTTAAGAGCTTTCATTTATCTGGGTTCTGAGGAAAAGATGTTGGATTTTTTTTCCCAAAATGCTTTTACTGCATTTACTGATAGTATATGGTTTTTCTTTTTATTGTATCAATATGTCTACTCTTACCACTTCTATTGACATTGCACTAAGCTAGGTATAGTACATATGCAAAAGGAAGAAGTAAAACTGCTTTTATCCACAGATGACAATCCTGTATGTAGGAAATCTTAAGGAATATACAAAAATGCTACCAGACTAACAAGTGAATTTAGCGAAGTTGCAGGATAAAAAGTTGATACAAAAAAAAAAACCCACCTGAACAGTCATGTGCTGCATAATGACATTTCAGTCAACAGACTCTATTACATATACGGTGGTGGTCTTATAGATTATAATAACATTTTTACTGTAACTTTTCTATGTTTAAACACACAAATACCATTGTGTTACAACTGCCTACAGTATTCTGTACAGTAATATGATGTACAGGTTTGTAGCCTACAAGCAGTAGGCTATACAATACAGCCTAGGTATGTGGTATGCTATATTATACATCCAGATTTGTGTAAGTACACTCTGTGGTGTTCACACAATGATTAAATTGACTAACAAGGCATTTCTCCCCATTATGAAGCAACATGTGACTGTATTTCTATACACTGGCAAAGAACTGAAAATTGAAATTAAAAAAAATGCCATTTACAAAAACATCCAGTAAGAAACTACTTAGAGATACATTTAGCAAAATATGTGCAAGACTTATATACCAAAACTACAAAACATGGCTGAAATTAAAGACTTAATAGAGAGCTATGCCATATATTAGTATTTGCCCATATTATTAGTAAGATGTCATTCTCTTCATGTTGATCTGCAGATTCAATGCAAACTCAATCAGCAGTGTTTGTAGAAACTGACAAGATAACTTTAAAACTTATATGAAAATGCAAATAATTCAGAAAAGCTAATATGGTTTTAAAAAAGAACAAAGTCTTATATTATCTGATTTCTAGACTATAAAACTGTAGTAATACATATTGTGTGATATCAGCATAACGACAAACATACAAATCAGGGAAACCAAATTAAGTCCAGAAGTCGAAACACAGCAACACATTAATTCATTTTTAATAAAGGTATATTGTGACACCCCATCCTGCAAGACAGCTCTCAATCAATGATCCTGGTCTCCTTGTATTCATACCTTGTATCGTTCCCTCTCATTATACATATCCTTGAATAAGTTCCCTCCCATGCTGAATCAAGATTCGTCATGTGACCAATACGATACGGCAGAAGCTAAAATATGTGACTTCCAAGTCTAGATCCTAAAAGGCACCGCAGGTTGTGGTGTGGTCTCTTGGATCATTTGCTCTGAGAGAAGCCAGTCACCATGTCAGGTGAACACCAGCCCTTCAGAGAGGCACACCTGAAGAGGAGCTGAGGACTCCTACCAAGAACCAGCACCAACTTGCCAATTATGTTAGTGAACCACCTTTGAAGCTTATCTTGATTTTAGCCTTAAAACAAATATCTGCAGCCTCGTGAGATATCATGAGCTAGAACCCTCCAACCAAGTCACTCTCAAATCCCTGATCCACAGAAACTGTTGACAGAAAAAAAATGATTATTGTTGTTTTAAGCCAATAAAATTTGGGTCAATTGGTTACAGAGCAATAGATCATTAACACAAGTAATTCAATGTGTAAAAGACATTATTTTCAACAAGCCAAGCTGAGAAACAATGTTAACTTCAACTTCTGTCTTTGTAATAGCCAAAAATCTACAGACAACCCAAGTATCTATCAAGAGGTGAGTAGATAAATTGTGATATATCCAACTGACGGAATACTACTCAGTAATGAATGTAAGGAATGAATTACTTGCAACATGGATGAATCTCAAAAACATGTTCAGCAAAATAAGACAGACACAAAGAGTAATATTCTGTAATTCTACTTTTATAAAAATCTAGAAAAGGCCGGGCACGGTGGCTCATGTCTGTAATCCCAGCACTTTGGGAGGCCGAGGTAGGCGGATCACCTGAGGTCAGGAGTTCGAGACCGGCCTGGCCAATATGGTGAAACCTCATCTCTACTAAAAATACAAAAATTAGCTGGGTGTGGTGGCACGCACCTGTAATCCTGGCTACTCGGGAGGCTGAGGCAGGAGAATTGCTTGAACATGGGAAGCGGAGGGTACAGTGAGTTGAGATTGTACCACTGCACTCCAGCCTGCACAACAGAGAAAGACTTGGTCTCTTAAAAAAAAAAAAATCTAGAGAAGATAAAATAAAATCTAGAAAAGATAAAACAGTGACAGAAAGCTGTTTGGGGCCAGTGGTGGTGGCACAGGGGTAATGGCTACAAAGGAGCATGAGGATACTTTTTGGGGTGATGAGAATGATCTGTATCTTGATTGTGGTAATAGTTGTATAGGTATATTTATTTACCAAAACTTATTGAACTGAATTATTTAAAATATATACATTTTATTACATGTAAATCACAGCTTAAAAAGTTAATTTAAGTTAATTCAATGCGGGAAAGAGAGAAATTTCTCAGAATACTAGATACATACTGATATGGTTTGGCTCTGTGTCCCCACCCAAATCTCACCTTGAATTATTTATTTGGGAAATTTCTCAGAATACCAGTTACATACTGATATGGTTTGGCTCTGTGTCCCCACCCAAATCTCACCTTATTTATTTTTTATTTTTGAGACAGAGTCTCTCTCTATAACCCAGGCTTGAGTGGCATGATCTCGGCTCACTGCAACCTCTGCCTCCCAGGTTCAAGTGAGTCTCCTGCCTCACTCTCTCAAGTAGCTGGGATTACAGGCGCCCACCACCATGCCTGGCTAATTTTTGTATTTTTAGTAGAAACAGGGTTTCACCATGTTGGCCAGCCTGGTCTCGAACTCCTGACCTCATGATCCGCCTGTCCTCAGCCTCCCAAAGTGCTGAGATTACAGGCGTGAGCCACCATACCCAGCCTCACCTTAAATTTAATAATCCCCACGTGTCAAGGGCAGGGCTAGGTGGGGATAATTGAAATCATGGGGGCAGTTTCTCCTATACTGTTCTTGTGGTAGTGAATAAGTCTCACAAGATCTTTGATAAGGGGAAACCTGTTTCACTTGATTCTCATTTTCTCTTTGCCTGCTGCCATCCACGTAAGATGGGACTTGCTCTTCCTTGCCTTCTGTCACGATTGTGACGCTTCCCCAGCCACATGGAACTCAAAGTCCAATTAAATCTCTTTCTTTTGCCCAGTCTTGGGTATGTCTTTATCAGCAGCATGAAAATGAACTAATATACATACATAGTGAGGACACTATAAAGCAGACATAATGGCAAATATCATTATTCTGAATCAGGCATTTGCAAAGTATTTTCTAGGTACCAGTTCTGTACTAGGTGTCAAGGAAACAAAAATGAAAAGTATGTGTTTTCCATCCTCAAGGAGCTTATAAAGGAGAAAGAAACAAATAACTACAAAGCAATGGGAATAAAGCTGGTACAAGACAAAATTAATGGGCTAGGGAAGGATGGACGAACAGAGGAGACTCCAGGCTGTTTTTTTTGTTTTGTTTTTTTTAGACAGAGTCTCACTCTGTCGCCCAGGCTGGAGTGCAGTGGCGCGATCTCGGCTCACTGCAAACTCCGCCTCCTGGGTTCACACCATTTTCCTGCCTCAGCCTCCCGAGTAGCTGAGACTACAGGTGCCCGCCACCACACCTGGCTAATTTTTTGTAGAGACGGGGTTTCACCATGTTAGCCAGGATGGTCTCGATCTCCTGACCTCATGATCCACCCGCCTCGGCCTCCCAAAGTGCTGGGATTACAGGTGTGAGCCACCACACCCGGCCCAGGACAGTTTTTTAAATTTTGACTAGCTCATATGAAGAGCTAAGCAAAAAACTGAATAGGAATATTTCAGCTATAATGCTTAGAAGGACATTCCAAGCAAAGGAAACAGCTTAAGCAAACACACTAAAGAATTAAATACAAAAGATCCAGG